>NC_000007.14:94021930-94324960 GCF_000001405.40 Homo sapiens | reverse complement strand
CATCAGCTGTGCTAGAGAAACTCGACACTCATAAATGTTTTTCTCTTTATTACTAGGGAGGTTTTTAAGAAGACTAAAAGCTCATGAGTAGTTGTAGAGTCTGATAAACACTTTCAGTTATAAATCCTGGGATTTTGTATGCTTTTTCCTTTAGCTAGAATTTAACTTTATTTCTCTTTAAATTTCTTTACCCTTATAAAAGTTATTTCTCTTCAATACACACAAACACATAATCTTGAAATGATAGAGTTCCTTCTTATTTCTGGCCAATCATTCCAGGCCATATTCTTGACCTCTTCCTCCAATCCAGGATGGGGTTCCATCCAGAAGCTTGAGGAATTTGATCTCAGTTGGCTATAGAAAGCTGTCTTGTTCTTGGCAGTTCATGTTTCCCAGGAGCTGGATGCTGCCTCTCCACCCCATGTCTCCTGGTTATTACTGCAAAGGGCAGACTTTCTAGAATAGTAGCAACAGCCCAACTAAGAGGATTTATTTACTTTCATCTTAACTGCACCAAAGCAAGTTGATTGGGAGGAAAAAGCCCAATTCTTGAATGTCTTCAATAAGGTTTGGTTGCTCTCATTAAAAAAAAAAAAAAAAAAAAAAAAAAGATATCTCCAAGAACAAGCTATGGGAACTAAGAATAACAGAGGAAACTGGAAATTCACTTACTTGGAAGGAAGGAAGGGGAAAGAAAGGAATAAGCAAGAGAAGAAAGAGAAAAATAAAGAGAAAAAGAGAAAGAGGAAGGGAGCGAGAAAAGGTGACGTGGCTGTTAACATTAGTTTCTGAAACCAGCTGGAATATTGTGTGTCTCTTAGCTTCTGCATAATGAATAAAGGTTTTCCAAATGATATAGGTTTGGTTCCAAGAGGGAGGAGGCCACGTTAGCACTCATTCCTTCAGAACCACAGTATTGCAGGCTACACCATCTCACTGCCTATTTTCCTCATCTGCCAAAGGGGAAGGGGGTGGAGTTGCCTTTAATTATTAACCTTTAAAATATCCTCTTTATTATTTGTGGTCATTGCAAAAGAAAAACTTACATTCGTCATCTCAATCCTTATTTTAGTCCTTTCCTTCAGCCTTTCCCTGCTAAAACTTTTGCCTGAACAAAACCCCAAATTTAACAGATGTATAGCAATTAGACCAAAGAGAGAAAACCAAAGAAGTCAGGTCCTGTGTGATACCCACCCCCGCCCAGTAAATCACAGAAAGAAATCCCTGAGAATGCCCTAAACCTACCTCTTGGGGACCTCTTCTTGGCTGTATCAGAGGATAATATCCTAAATGGCTGCTTTTTATTTTAATAGTTCCAAGGAGGCAAAATGAAGTTTATTCCTCTATTATATTTATTCCTCAATCATCTCTGAGCATTTTCTATACAATTAATTAAGGTTTCCATAATCAAATAAAAAATGCCTTATTAAGGAATTAGGAATAACAAATGAGAATGCAGACAAATTGATCTGAACCTTTATTTGGCTCCCTCGTGCTTAATTTTTGATGGATTATTTGAATTTGTATGTCTTAGAATTTTCATGTGTGAGATTTACTGTGTGAATCTGAGTCACGATGACACTGATGTGTGTTACGTTCCTCAGAATAGCTATAGGAAAGGTAAGCGTAGCTCTATCACCAAACTCTGAGGTAAGAAAATTTCTCTTGGCATTTCTTTTTTACTGGTGAAATAGAATATTGGGTTTTAGGGTTCAAGATCTGCTATTTGAATATGAAAACTGGTGTTTAGCATTGTCCTTATATGTATTAGGCATCTGGTGTTTGCTTCATGGATGAATGCCGATTGGCATGATAGAAAATATAAAATCAAATGAATGTATGAGACACAGTTTTCCTGCTAGTTCTCAGATGTTTGTCTTGGAAAACAATAAGAAAAGTGAGGTGTCTTATTACTTGTCTTGGAAATTCAAATTGATATGTAACTGAAATGATTGTTATTTTAACACATAAGGGATAAGCAGTCTTCTATGCCCAGTGATTAGTTTAGTGGCTACTTTTTGCTTTCTCTGACACATGTGTATGCCCAGAGAATAGAGGACTTGGTCAACATTCACGTTTTGGAACTATTTAGCTTCTTTGATTTTAGGAAGATACAACTAGGGATGCTATGTTTAATGGTATAACCACAAACAATAAGCCAGACATTTAATGAGCATATTGTGGGAATTATATTAAGGCTATAATTTAAAGCTAGTGCTGTATCTTCAGGAGACTAAAGAAATTAGCTTGATAAAACACTATACAGTAAGTCATTTAGGCTTTTTCTTTGCTGGGACAAGGAAGTGTTTCACATGACCATAAGTTTTTATAAGGGTGCTTTAGGATAAAATGGCACTATGGGGAAACCAATAGGCATGATGAAATGGCGCTGAATATTTTATTCTTTCTATGTGGTGAATTTCTAGTGCTAGATTACATAACGGAAGGCATTAATGTACCTGACAAATTTTCTGGAAAATTATCATTTATCCTAATTGGAGTGAGTACACAGAAAAATAGACCACGATGGAAAGGACCAGACAGACCTATCCGTTGAAACAAGGTTTGTGTCCAGGAGTTACTCAGCTGTGAGCAGTGAACATTGAAAAAAAATCACTTCAGGGGAAAGGATCCAACTGAACTGGGTACAGTGAAGTGAGTTGGTCCAGGTTTCTGAATCTTCCATTTTGATCCAGCTAGGAATGGAACAGACAATGAAGGGAAGTCCAACAAACATGAACCTATCTAAAGTCCAATGATCAAAGGAATTTGTAGGAAGCTAAAAAGTGATGCTACCACTTAGATCCAAATATGAAAGAAAACATAGCCAGAGCTAGAGCAACTGGGGTCAGAGTGCAGGTGTACAGGGGCTCAGATGAGACAAAAGACAGGTCACAAGAATACCTCAATACCTCAATTCTGAGATAGGGAATGGTATGGTTTGGCTGTGCCCCCACCCAAATCTCAACTTGAATTGTAGCTCCCAGAATTCCCACATGTTGTGGGAGGGACCCAGGGGGAGGTAATTGAATCATGGGGGATGGTCTTTTCTGTGTTATTCTCTTGATTGTGAATAAGTCTCACCAGATCTGATGGGTTTATCAGGGGTTTCCACTTTGGCTTCTTTCTCATTTTTGCTTGCTGCTGCCATGTAAGAAGTGCATTTCAGGCCAGTGCGGTGGTTTACACCTGTAATCCCAGCACTTTGGGAAGCCAAGGCAGGAGGATCACCTGAGGTCAGGGGTTCGAGACCAGCCTGACCAACATGGAGAAACCCCATCCCTACTAAAAATATAAAATTAGCCGGGTGTGGTGGTGCTTGCCTGTAATCCCAGCTATGCGGGAGGCTGTGGCAGGAGAATCACTTGAACCTGGGAGGTGGAGGTTGTGGTGAGCCGAGATTGTGCCATTGCACTCCAGCCTGGGCAACAAGAGCAACACTCCATCTCAAAAAAAAAAAAAAAAAAAGAAAAAAGAAAAAAAAGAAGTGCCTTTCACCTCCCACCACGATTCTGAGGCCTCCCAAGCCATGTGGAACTGTAAGTCCAATTAAATCTCTTTTTCTTCCCAGTCTTAGGTATGTCTTTATCAGCAGCATAAAAATGAACTAATACATTAAATTGGTACCAGGAGTGGGGTGTTGCTGAAAAGATACCTGAAAATGTGGAAGCAACTTTGGAAGTAGGTAACAGGTAGAGATTGGAACAGTTTGAAGGGATCAGAAGAAGACAGGAAAATGTGGGAAATTTTGAAAATTCCTAAAAATTTTTTGAGTGGCTTTGCCCAAAATACTGCTAGCAATATGGACAATAAAATCCAGGCTGAGGTGGTCTCAGATAGACATAAGGAACTTGTTGGGAACTGGAGCAAAGGTGACTCTTGCTATGTTTTAGCACAGAGACTGGCAGCATTTTGCCCCTCCCCTGGGGATTTGTGGAACTTTGAACTTGAGAGAGATGATTTAGGGTATCTGGCAGAAGAAATTTCTAAGCAGCAAAGCATTCAAAAGGTGACTTGGGTGCTGTTAAAAGCATTCCATTTTAAAAGGGAAACAAAGCATAAAAGTTCAGAAAATTTGCACCCTGACGATGCAGTAGAAAAGAAAATCCTGTTTTTTGAGGAGAAATTCAAGCCAGCTGCAGAAGATTGCATAAGTAGCAAGGAGCCTAATGTTAACCCCCAAGACCATGGGGAAAATGTCTCCAGGCCATGTAAGAGACCTTCAAGGCAGCACCTCCCATCATAGGCCTGGGTTCCCAGGGGCAAAAAGTGGTTTCATGGGCCAGGTCCAGGGTCCCCATGCTGTGTGCAGCCCAGGACTTGGTGCCCTGTGTCTCAGCTGCTGCAGCCATGGCTGAAAGGGGCCAACATAGAGCTTGGGCTGTGGCTTCAGAGGGTGGAAGCTCCAAGCCCTGGCAGCTTCCATGTAGTGTTGAGCCTTTGAATGCGCAGAAGTCAAGAATTAAGGTTTGGGAACCTCCACCTAGATTTCAGAAGATGTATGGAAACACCTGGATGCCCAGGCAAAAGTTTGCTGCAGGGTTGGGGCCCTCATGGAGAATCTCTGCTAGGGCAGTGCAGAAGGGAAATATGGGGTCAGAGCCCCCACACAGAGCTCCTACTGGGGCACTGCCTAGTGAAGCTTTGAGAAGAGGGCCACTGTCCTCCAGACCCTGGAATAGTAGATGCTTACTGACAGCTTACACTCTGTGCCTGGAAAAGCTGCAGACACTCAGTGCCAGCCTGTAAAAGCAGCCAGGAGGGAGGCTGTACCTTGCAAAGTCTCAGGGGTGGAGCTACCCAAGACCATAGGTACCCACCTCTTGTATTAGTGTGACCTGGATATGAGACCTGGAGTCAAAGGAGATCATTTTGGAGCTTTAAAATTTGACTGTCCAGCTGGATTCTGGACTTCCATTGGCCCTGTATTCCCTTGGCCAGTTTCTCCCATTTGGAATGGCTGTATTTACCCAATGCTTATAACCACATTGTAACTCGGGAGTAACTAGCTTGCTTTTGATTTTACAGGCTCATGGTCAGAAGGCACTTGCCTTGTCTCAGATGAGACTTTGGACTGTGGACTTTTGGCTTAATGCTGAAATGAGTTAAGACTTTGGGGGACTGTTGGGAAGGCACGATTGGTTTTGAAATGTAAGGACATGAGATTTGGAGAGGTCAGGGGCAGAATGATACAGTTTAGCTGTGCCCCCACCCAAATCTCAACTTGAATTGTAGCTCCCAGCATTCCCACATGTTGTGGGAGGGACATAGGGGGAAGTAATTGAATCATGGGGACAAGTGTTTCCCATCTTATTCTTGTGATAGTGAATAAGTCTCACGAGATCTGATGGGTTTATCACGGGTTTCCACATTTGCTTCTTTCTCATTTTCTCTTGCTGACACCATGTAAGAAGTGCCTTTTGCCTCCTGCCGTGATTCTGAGTCCTCCCCAGCCATGTGGAACTGTAAGTCCAATTAAACCTCTTTTTCTCCCCAGACATGGGTATGTCTTTATCAGCAGTGTGAAAATGAACTAATACAGGGACCCATACAATGAAATGTATAAGTGGCCCCTGCTTAGAATATGGATTGGCCTCAGTTAAAAGATAGACCTAAGCTCTAAGATGAGAGTTTGACAGAACAGGCATATCTGTTAGTCAGGCTTATTTGAGACTAGGAATAGGGAGCCAGGCAGGACATTATATAATCATCAATTATATAATTAATCATTACACAATCTTCAATCAAATATATTGATCTTTCAGTGGACATTCTGTGACACAATTTTAAGTATATTGCATTTGCAATCTTTATTAAGCATAGGATTAGCTTTTTGGCCATGAAAACACGTTGTTCTCTTTTACTTGCTATAAGAAATAGCTATGTTTCTTTTCATCCTCACTCATGAGTTCCAATACCCCAAATATTAATACAGGGAATATATTGGCCTCAAAATGCATTTCCTAAGTTCATTCATTCACTAAGCATTTATTGACCAATAATCACATGACAGATTTAATGGTAGGGTCTGAGAATAAAATGTTAATCTGGTGTGGGTGGATTTTATTGTTTGTTCACACAGCATTACTTCCCCTCTCTTCTAGTGACAGTACCCTTTTCACTTGAGGAAAACCTCCCTCCTCAATTCCAATTCTGGTAGGGCTGCCTATCACATGGCCCCACTGGTCCAGGCCAGATGGCTGGGAGTATGCTACATGACTGATTAGCCACAGTGGTTCCTACCTCTGGCTATAGCTATTGGTCCTAGCACTGGACCAATCTCAGAGCATTAGTCTAAACCCAGCTCAGATTTTGTACTTGGATGCTAGGAGACAGAGGATTTTTTTGTTTTGATTATTGAATTGTGATGATGTAATCTAAAGCTGTTTATAGCCAAACCAGCCCCCATCCTAGGTTCTCTCCTAACATTTGCAGGAAGTTATCGATAGTGAGAAAGAAGATCACTAACATATCAAGAGAAGTACAGGTGAAAGTTGGTGAGCTAGAGATGAAGAGAAGATAGAGATATAGAGACCATGGATGATGAAGGGAGCTAGAAATAGAAGAAAAGGAGCATAGAGAGAGAAGCGCAGGTAAGAGATGGAGATGGACAAAGAGAAAGAGAAGACTGACAATTTCAAATAAGTATCTGGAATGCCTGAATATATAGGCAATATATCCACTTTTTATCATACGTGAATTTCAGTAGGCTTTCTGTCACTTGCAACAAATGGAGACCTTGTTAATATTAAACAGACACAATTTTTGTCCTCAAGGGACAGATAATCTACTGGGAAGTCCCAGAGTTAGGTAGGCAATGCCAAGGAGGTGGGGTAAGATCCGGGACAGATAAAGGCAGGTGGTAGGAATGCATAGGAAGAGAAGCTGACCATGTGAGGGAAGACTTCTCACTGGAAGTGTCATTTGAGGTAAGACCGAAGCATCTCCAGGGGGGTGGGTGAAGAGTGAGGGGAGTGCTGCAGGTAGAGGGAACAAAATGCTTGAAATTTCCAAGGCAAAAGAATGCAAAACAAGTTTGAGAAAATGGAAGAAGTCCTGATTATCTCTGGGGGTAGTCAGCAAGGGAGGAATATTGAGAGATGGCTCTAGAGAGGTAATAAAAGGGCAGATCCTGTGAGGCCTCCTAAAATGGTTAAGAATGTTATGGGTATATCACTTATTTGCTTTATATTAAGCACTAGCTATACTCCAGACATTAGGCCAGAAATTCAAGACAGAAGACAATAGTTTGTCTATGAAGATTATAGTCCAATGACTTTTCTTGGATTTAAGTATTTAAAATTTGTAATAATTCAGTTTATTTTCTTAGGTCCTTCATATTTTCTCTTCCAAATGAACATTACTTCATCAAGAGAGTCAAGAGGAAAAATGAAAATGATTGTCAGATTACTCAAATATATTATGACTTTGACTCCTCAGTGCCTCAGTTTTCTCATCTAACATAGGTTAAAATGGGTAGAGGTGGCTCCTTCAGGGAATATGGAAATTAAGAAGCAGTACTTTATATGAATGACTGACGCTTTTCTGCAATTTTAGTTTTTGTTGAATATTCCAGTTTACAAACTCAAGAGTAAGCTGTCAAGTCTCATAGTTTGGCCATACAGGAAAGTAATAGAAAGTGCCAAAGACAAAGGCCCCTAGTTCATCTTGAAGGGTATATCAAATCCTTTATGTTATGCTCAAAGGTGTCCACTGAATTGATCAATGCCGTTATTCCGACTGTGAAAGAAATTGCAGATTAATCAGTAGTATTGACAGAGGTGATTGTTAAGAATGGCATGTCCTGAATTATTTTTGTCAGATGAACATAGTAAAATATTTGCACAGAAATTCACCTGGCTACCATGAGACTTCAACTTTTTTGTTTTAAATCTGTTTACCCTGGAGTAAAGATTGTGAGGTTGGTAAATTAATCGGTGGCAAGGGTAAAACTGTATATGCTAGAGAATTCTACTACACAAAAATCTCCTTATTGTCTCTTTTACCTAATGGCATTAATGTGGAGAGTGGAATGGTTGCCCTCACACCTCGAGACAAGTGCTGTTCAGGGCTTGATTAGATGAGGCCAGTCCTTCTAGTCACCTGCATCTCAGGCACTCATCTACTGAAGTGGTGAAATAATGACGACAATGCTATTATTAATTTAAAACTTGTGTTGGCAGTTTTGATTAAAAAATAAAGGAATTGTGGGACTAGAAGGGACCTGGAAAAGACAGTTAGTTCATCTTAGATATATAACCATTGACCCTGCTTTTTAGGATTTTCAGAAAAAGGAATTCAGAATTCAGTACTCTGTACTGGTAGGAGATGTGTTGATTCTTCATTCATTCACTTACTCTATTATTCAGCAATTACCTGTACAGGGAATGGAAATGAATTGGGCAATAAGGCAGACATAATTTTTCAGCTTTCATGGAATTCATAATCCAGTAAGGAAGAAGGGCAATAAAACAAGAAAGTTTGATAAATGATGACATATGTTATACTAAGCTAAGTATAGGGGGCCACAGGGGCCCATAATGGGGGCTTCTCTCACTTGGTCTAGGGGATTGGGGAAGGCTTGATGGAGGAAGTGAGTTTCAAGTTGAGTCTGAAAGAAAAATAAGAGTTTTCAAGTGAAGTCAGGGTTTGGGTGGGGCAAGGAAAGGGGGAAAAAAGACAATATTCTAGGGAGAGGAACCGCATGTGTGAAGGCCAGAAGATAAAAGTTTCAGGCAATGTTCCAGAATCTCTATTGTCTTGGACATCAGGCTAAGGATGGCCTTTCCCATGAGAGGTTGTCTTCCTGTGTTTGTTGTCCGAATCATGCCTCATCCACATCATAAAGGTTTGCAAACTAGTTGCACTCCTTTCCATGCTCGTTGCTTGGTGAAACTCCATCAGAGGCCTAGGCCTAGGCTTAGGTGTAGCTTGGAAGGAGGAATGTGAGCAGAGTTCTACCTGGGGTCTGGTGGCCCTGCGGTGAAAAAGTTAGTGATTAAGAGCGCAGGCTCTGACTTAACAAAATCTCGGCTTGGAGTCTCAATTCTTCTATTTCCTAAATTTATATAAATGTAACATGGAAACATTAACAAAAAAAATTTTTCCTATAGATTTGTTATAACAAATTAATGAAAGAGATCCCTTGGTACAATTAAAGAAATCCCTTGGTACATTCTCAATAGGTATTGTTATTGTTATTCTTGTTGTTATAATTTCTTTCTCATCTGATCTGAAGAAGCAGAAGTGAGTTTAATCACAGTTACTGAAGAAAACTATCATTTCTTACTTTCTATTCTTTAGATTTATTTCAAAATCATGACATCTTTTTCCCAGCCATTAACTTCACTATTTCAGCCACAGGTGGTCCATAAGTTGCCCGATGTGTAGTTCTGAGTTAAAATCCCTGAGTGTGTGTTTATCACTAATTTTGGGGAATATTGGAATATTGGAAGCCCAAATCTAATTAACATCTGGTAAGGTGTGTACGTTTCCAACAGCATAAGGCTGGTAATGGCATACCCCTCAAATGTGAGAGAAGATGGAAAGCATGTCATTGAAGTTCTGTTAGTGATAGTCACAATGACATCTGCTTTTTAGACCTGGATGCTGTTTTCCTGGAACTGGGATTTAATGCATTATATATTTTTCTCTTCCTGGGGGAGAATAGTGAAAGCAGACCTAAAAATAAGCATAATCATGAAGGGCTGATTGTTTAAAAGGCAGAAAGGTCACGAAGATACAGGAAGGGAGAACCACAAGCTAGAATTACTAATTCTAAGCCCCAGTGGAAGATGAAGAGGCTCTTATTTACACATACTGGTCTCAAGTCTGAGACTACCCAAGATAAGAGGCATAAAGGTCCCCATTTCAAATTACCAGGCATCTGTAGCTAATGACTATATTCAGTTATAGTGCATATGGCAGGTGAATGTTCTCCTCTCCAACTTGTTCCTGCTATTATCCAGATAGCTACTCTTGTTTTTCATTTTTGCTTTTTTTCTTGCTAAAATCACAGAGCTGAGCAAAGTAGTAGCAAGCCATCGGGACCTGCTAATCAAATCTGAGAGACCAGGGCTCCAATCTAAGCTCATCATATGACTTAAGAGGCCCTCATTTAGACAGGATCTGAAAAGTCCCTTCTAAAGCCTTTACAAAGTGAGAATAATCTTCATTAAGTGCTACAGATTTCACAGAACAAAAATGGATTAGGGGCTTGTCACAGGAAAGATAATTAATGTGCTGGAGAGAAGTATAGGCAATGGAAAGAAAAATTTCTCCATAAGAAAAGAAAAAAAAATTACAACAGCCAGGGCGGATAATGATTAACGGTTAAGAAGCAGTTCCTGCTGGCTTCATTTTTACAGTATAATTAAGAGAGTGAGAGAGGTCGGGTGAGAAGAGACACATACACATGCACAAAAGGAAATAACTCACATACAGAAATACAATTTTAGAATTGAAAGGTACATCAATAGTTTTTGTTGGTACATTAATATTTATTCATCTCTTCTTAATGTAAAAATTCATCTTTTCTTGTGTTGAAGTCCTCCAAAACATCTTGCCAAATTGCCTTTCGATATATTCTTGCTGAAAATATTGTTGTGTATTGGGAAATTATTTTGAAATTATTTTCTAAGTTATTTTGTAGCTGAAGAAGTCTTAGGCGGCAATTTTTCTCTACTGTTTAATTCTGCTATCTTGCTTCTCATAGTTCGTGCTGCAATTGGTGTTATTTTAGGCCCTGAAGCAAATGGTTCTTTCCCCCTTTTCTAATTTCCTCCTTTCCAGACAGTGGGGCTTGGCTTTTTATCAAGGAATCAAATGCCCACCCTATGGGCCTTCTGGGACTTTTTCCAACCTAAATACATTTCTTTCCTGTGAATGTGTAATCATTTGCAAGTGAGTACACAGCTGAAAACCTGTTGATAGGAAATGCTAGAAGAGCCAGTTCTTTTTCTGTGGTGCCAAATGTATCTTGGATAAAAAGAATTAATAATTATGACTTGCTATTTACTTATAATTGCAATCAAAATTCAAGAGGAAAAAGGAGATTGCCCTTTCTTAGGTAGGGTGTCATATGATATCTGCACTTCAGTGGAATTGTACTGAATTCAGAATACAGTCCTAGGCTTTGAATTTCAATTAGATTCCATCCACTTGAAATATGGTTCCATGTTAAACACAAACAAAAAAATCTAAAAATGAGTATGATGGTCTAGCTTCATGGCTTACTGGGAGACAGAACCCAAAAGACCTCGTTGAAATGAAATGATCATTATACAGGATGTGTTAAAGTGCAACAGTGTACAGAGAAGAAGCTCTTAATTCTGCCTGGGATTGATTTCGTGTGGGTTTGGATTTCTTGGAGGAGGTGTGGTTGAAGTTAGTGCTTGAGGAATTGAGTAGGGTGTCACCTGGCAGAAAAGTGGGGAAAGGGCATTTCACTGCCATCAGAATTATCTTGTGAGATAAAAATGTGATAATGACATTCTATTGCTCCAAAGCTTCCAATAAACTCACTTTACTTACACAAAAAAAGCCCCAAATACTTAGAACTCATTATTTTAACACTCTTTCATAAATGCATGCTTAACAACATAATGTTTTTCTGGTGTCTTTGAGGGCAGGCTTAATGTGCAGAAAAGACTACTTGTGATTCTTTTGGATTTTCAAATTAATATTTGACTTATTACAGATATATTTTTTCCTCTGTCGTTTACATTCAACTTAGAAAAGCATATCTCAGCAATCACTTTCAAGCAGATCTTCAAAACCTAATTAATTAAAATTGCTTAAATATTTCTAACTGAATTTTTAAATTTAAAATACTTGATTTTTTAAGACCGTAAACTAAATAACAAATAAAATCTTTTAATTACTTAAGTGAATTTTAAGAAACACAATAAATTAAATTTTCGAGTATGATGACAGTTGTTTTTTTTTTAAATGCCTTGATACTACTTCTAAACTTAGGAAAATTCTCTTATGTCTTTGAAATTAAAGTGCAAAGTTTGACAAATTATCTAATTATATAATTTAAATGGGAATTGCAGAACTAATTTATTTGATGCTCCAATATGCCAAATTCTCTTATGCATTAAAAATATTAAAATACCAAATATATACATATGCTCCTATTTATAACTCCCAAGTTAATAATGTGGTTTTAGTTTACTTTATTATCTATGTATTTATTTCTAAATTCCCCAGGTTTATATGACATCCATTGTAGCAGAGACTGCTGGCTGCCATGTAGTTTCTAATCTCTTATTCTTTCTTAGTAACAAGATCTTGGTTTTGTTTAGAGTAACAGTAGGCCAGATAAATTACATTTCCCAAATTGTTTTGCATTTTGGGGTGCATATGAGACCAACATCTGGCCAGTGAAGTGGAAGTGTTGTGTGTGATTTCTAGGAGAGCTGTTTAAAGAGCAATGACTTATTGGTTATCAGGCTTTTTTTTTTTCCCCTTACCTTTTTGTTATCTCCTCTTTCTTCCAGTTGCCATCTTGAATCACAAAGTGATTTGAGGCTCCAAGCCATAATCCTGGATGGTGAAGTAGAAAATAGAAGGAATTTGAGTTCTTGATAAACATAGACCTTCTATGATATCTCTAAACTATTTGGAGTTTTCTTTCAAGAAAAAAAAAGGGTTATTTCTGTTTATTTGTTACATATAATCGAATCCAATCTGAGCCTGGTCGATCTACCAAGGGGATAGTTCTATCATTCCAAGCAATGTGCCTTTTCTATTTCAGTACACTGATGTTACTTATACATCAACTATATTAATTACTTATACTGTTGATAAATTTTATATGGAATTTCTACTAAATGCTTGATCTTGAATGTTTGACTTGACTCTTGCTCCTGACACTGAGGGGGCACACTGAATCCTATTTACACGCATTTTAACATGGGCTCTCTAATCTACAAAGAAACCCCAAATTAAATGTACCGTATTAGTCCGTTTTCATGCTGCTGTAAAGACATACCCAAGACTGGGTAATTTATAAAGATAAGAGGTTTAATTGACTCACAGTTCAGCATGGTTGGGGAGGCCTCGGGAAACTTATAATCATGGCAGAAGGGGAAGCAAATAATTCCTTCTTCAGATGATGACAGCAAGGAGAAGTGCAGAATGAATGGGGAAAGCCCCTTATAATAGCATCAGATCTCGTGAGAACTCACTCACTATCATGAGAACAGCATGAGGAAACTGTCCGCGTGATTCAATTACCGGCTATTGGGTCCCTCCCATGACACATGGGGATTATGAGCACTAAAGTTCAAGATGAGATTTGGGTGTGGACACAGCCAAACCATATAAGTTACCAGGTTACTTAATTCTGAAATGTGCTTTAAATCTTCAGTGTCCTGTCCAAGTTGCTTCACTGCCTGATATGATTCGAATAATATATTTACTGACAGATTCCATTAACAGTTCTTCCTGTCTAGTGGGATCATATTTCTTTAAAATATTTAAATGATATGTTATCATGGTCTGACTATTTCTTATGGATTCTTGGACCTATTATCAAATAGCAACCTATTTTTCTGGATGATCTCTTACCACCCTCCTTCTAATACACTGTGCTTTGACCTCGTGTTTCCCGAAGAGTATAAAACAGACCAGTAGTCTTATAAAGGTACACTATGGAAAGAAAAAGGGCATTAAAGAAATATCTCATTCTTCTTTTGAAAACTCACATGCACATTAGCATATTAAATGCTCAGAAAAGTCCTGTAGTAAAGATACCTATTTAATTTTACTCTGTCATTAACTACATTTGAGCTTAACCCCCTTTAGCTTCAAGAACTCTTACATCATAATCTGCAGAATTTAATGACAAGTGCAATTCTAGTGATTAAAAAACTCCTTGTTAGTTTCCAAACATCAAAGCTTTGCTTCTCCATTCCCTACTGCCTGAATTTCCTTTTACTCTTCTTGGTTCTTTCTTCTCACTCTTCTTTCAAGACCTAGACCCTGGCTCATCTGCTCAAATGAAACCTCTGACTCTTCAGTGTTGTTTGTTCCTGAATTTGGGCTCCAGATTAAGTATGCATGTGTCACTACCTGGGGAACTAGCCCTTTCTGCTTTAGTTTTTTTGTTTGCTCTTTGACTTCTCAACTTGATTGGGAACTCTTTGAAGACAAGGACCATCCACCACAGGGCTTGGTATTTCATGGGGTACTGAATTAAAATAAAAGTTTAATAAATGAAAGAGAAATTTAGTTCAATTAAATAAATCTGTATTCATTTATTTTTTCAGTCATTTCTTCACCCATTTTTTTCCCAAGAAATATACCTGTACATTGAATTCCTGCTTTATGCCAATCACTCTATTGTGTACCTGGAATAAAATGGTGAATAAGAAGAGGAATAATCCTTGCCTTCATGGAACTTATACAAGAGGTGCAGGGGGTCGGGGGGTGGCGGGGGGGAAGATAGAGAAACAGAGAGAGAGAGGGGCATTAATTTTTTAAAAATAAAGCAAATAAAAGATAAAATGAACTCTCTGGCAAGTGAATTGGAGGGAGACAGATACAGAGTAATTAATTGTAGTAGTCATCTAGCGCTGCCACAACGAAGTGCTGCAGACTGGGTAAATTAAACAGCAGGACTTTATTTTCTTACAATTCTGGAAGGTCGAACTCCAAGATTAAGGTGCTGGCAGGATTTGTTTCTTCTGAGGCCTCTGTCTTTGGCTTGTAGATGGCCACCTTCTCGCTGTGTCTTCACAGACCACCTCTCAGTCAGTGCATTGTCTGTGTCTTCATTTTCTATTCTTTTAAGGACACCAGTCATATTGGATTAGAGCCCACCCATACGATCTCATTTAACCTTACTTACCTCTTTAAAGGTCCTGTCTCCAAATACAATCACATTCTGTGGTACTGAGGATTAGGACCTCAGTGTATGAATTTGGAGGGATGCAATTCAGCTTGTAATAGCGCTATAGGAACTTGTAGAATTTTACCAAACTGTAGAGGTCAAGGATTGCTTCACAGAAGTGTTGAATAAACACAGATGTGAAGCATAGAAATGAAAAATTAAGACATGGGGTAGAGTAAGGTAGAGTTCAGGAGGAGAAAGTGGTGAGAACAAAGGCACATGGTGGACAGGGGGGCATGTGACAGGGTTCCTAGAGTGACAGAGCACCTGGTGAGAGGGATGGCCAGAGAGGAAGGTGGGCGAGACTGGACAGGTTCAGGGAGGTTAAAGATCCCCTTACTTATAAAGCAATGGAAATCCTTTGCATGTTTGAAACAAGGGTGGTATGATCAGATTTACATTTTGAAAAGGTCATAATGGTTGCAATTTGGAAAACAAGTTGGAGGAGTGCCGGAATCAACGGGGGAAAGAATATAGAGAAAAGAAAAGAAAAAAGGCAGGGGACTGGACCTGGAGGAGTGCCTGCATTTAATGGCTGGGGAAAGAAGAACGAGCCTGCTAACGTTTTCCAAGAAGCAGCCCTGAGAAGGAGATGAGAAAAAGATCAGTAGCTGGAGGAGGGCATGGGTTCAGGTTTTTAATTTTTTTATTGGAGAGGCATGAACATGTTTAAAAGTTGACAGCCAGCTGCTATGGAAAATAGTTTGGTGGTTCCTCAAAAAATTAAACATAAATTACCAGAAGACCCAGGAATTTTACTTCTAGGTATCCACCCAAAAGAATTGAAAATAAGGATTCGAACAAAAGTAGCACTGTTCACAGTAGCCAAAAGACAGAAACAACCCAAATGTCCTTTAGCTGATGAGCAAATAAAATGTGGTATATCCATACAATGAATAGTATTCAGTCATAAAAAATGAATGAAGTGGGCTGGGTGCAGTGGCTCATGCCTGTAATCCCAGCTCTTTGGGAGGACAAGGTGGATGGATCGTCTGAGGTCAGGAGTTTGAGACCAGCCTGGCCAACATGGTGAAACCCTGTCTCTACTAAAAACACAAAAATTAGCCAGGCGTGGTGGTGTGTGCCTGTAGTCCCAGCTACTCAGGAGGCTGAGGCAGGAGAATCACTTGAACCCGGGAGGCGGAGGTTGTAGTGAGCTGAGATCGCACCACTGCACTCCAGCCTGGGCAACAGAGTGAGACTCTGTCTCAAAAAAAAAAAAAAAAAGAGTGAAGTATCGATACATGCTACAACATGAGTGGACCTTGAGAATATGCTAAGTGAAAGAAGCCAGACATAAAAGGTCACATATTGCAGGATTCCAGTTATATGACATATCCAGAATAGGTAAATTCACGGGGACAGAAAGCAGATTAGTGGCTGCTAGAAGCTGTGGGGAAGTTAGAGGGGAATGATTGCTTAATGAATCTGGGGTTTCCTTTTGGGTGATAAAAATGTTTTTCATGGAACTAGGTGGAGGTGATGGTTGCCCAGCATCATAAATGTAATAAATGCCACTGAATTATACATTTCAAACTGGTTAAATTTATTTTCTATAAATTTTATGACATTAAAAAAAAGCTGCTGGGAAGATTCTGGGTGAAAAGCAGAGAGCAGTGTTAATAAAAAGTGACAAGTTTCTGATAACTTCTGAAGAAATAGAATTAAAGTAAAAGTGGAGAGATTTGCCTAAAATAAGTGTGGGATAGCTCCTTTATTGTAACAGGAAGGAAGGAAAAAAGAAAGATGGGCAGATATAGATGAGTTTGTGCATTTGCTATTGAGAAGTTGAGGAGAACCCATATTATAGCATGTATTTTCTCTGTGAATTAATGTGTGAGATCACCATATGCTGAGAGAAAAGGGGCTGCAGGATGAGTTAAAGATTTAAGGACAATTTTAATTTTTTTTTTTTTTTCTGAAAAAGTTATTGGAGAAAGTGAGAAAGTATAGACCAGAGATAAGTATTAAGAACTGGTTAGGCTCAGAGCCTGCTTGATATTGGGCTTTTGAATTTACAAAGGAATTTACCAAACTGCCATTTTATGTGATCCTCCATGCCCCCACCCACACACAACTATGTTTAGCTACTCAGGTGCAGGCATGGAGAAAGAGCTGGATAACCCAGGATTGGGGATTTGCTGGACTCATGTAACTAAAGATAGTATAGCAAGAGAGTTAAGATAATTGACAAGAGGGCTACTGAAACAATGAGTCATGCAATTAGGTTATCTCAGGAGGGAAATGAGGGAAAGAAAGAAACCGTTGATTAAGAGAAAATAGAGGGATCAATGCATTGGAAGTGCAGATAAGGTTGAATAAAGGCCAAGGGGTACCCAATCAACTACACTAAAAATAGAAGATATTATAAGAAGGTGATGCAAGAATTAATGATTTTGTTCGTGGGAACAGGTGAAATAGAGGAGATGACATGAATGAGGGACTACATTGGAATGAAGAAGAACCTGGAGGAGGTAAAAAAACTGAAGGCTCCGGATGTCGGGTGAGTCAGAGGGTTATCTGTGAAGGTATTGGTTTCATTCAGCCTTTTGACAGGACTTTAGTAGTAACCAAGTTGGGAGCTGGATGCCAAAGCCTTTGGCTAAAGAGAGGGAATAACAAAGTGGTGGCTTGGGTGCAAGTGGGATGGTTAAAGAGTAGTAAAGCCAAATGGAATGGTTCTGATGAGCAGTATTTGAGAAGACAGGTTGGAAGAATATTGAAGTAACAGGGAGTATCGGGCCGGGCGCAGTGGCTCATGCCTGTAATCCCAGCACTTTGGGAGGCCGAGGCGAGTGGATCACGAGGTCAAGAGATGGAGACCATCCTGGCCAACATGGTGAAATCCCCTCTCTACTAAAAATACAAAAAATTAGCCGGGCGTGGTGGCGAGCGCCTGTAGTCCCAGCTACTCGGGAGGCTGAGGCAGGAGAATGTTGTGAACCCGGGAAGCAGAGCTTGCCGTGAGCTGAGATCGCGCCACTGCACTCCAGCCTGGGTGACAGAGCAAGACTGCGTCTCAAAACAAAACAAAACAAAACAAAACAAAAAACACAGGAGAGCATTAACATTAGCTCCTGGCCCTAGAATAGTTGAAACCTGAGATAGACAATGACCCAGGAGTGTGTTGCATTGACCAGGTGATACATTTTAATTAATGCAGGAAGGAGGAGGAAACCCTTGAAAAGGGGGTTGAGTGTACTGAGTGTATCAATCAGGGACTGGTGGTCAAGAAGACGGGAATGATTCCAAGTCTTTCATACCATGGGAATTTAATTCAAGACATTGGTTACAAAGATTTTGGCAGGACTGGAAGATGAAAAGGTGAGAACTGAAACGGCTGAAGAATTATAAAGGGAAGGGTGGATTCTCAGTGATTGGAAGGTGCTCATGACCATAAACCAGCCCTTGCTATTATACTATGCTGCTGAGGAAACTGTCATAGCCAGTCCTGGACCCATCTCTGCCAGGGCTAGAACCACTAACAATGTGCTGCCCTGGATGGGCTGCTGGAGTCCAGAATTCTGACTCTTGCTTTCAGTACAATTGCCTACAACCAGAAGCAGGAAACTGTCCCCTCTCTCTCACCTTCTGATCTCCTACCATTGTCTTCTATTGGCAGAAGGAAGCAGTTGATAGGGGTTCTGAGAAAAGACGTTTGCAATTTTCCAGTCCCAGCAATGTAGATCCAAGGGGAGAAAGCTAGGTGTGGGCTGAAAGAAAATGCTGAGTAACTGGCAGGGGGAGGGCTTGCTGATTATGGATAAGCTATTCCAGAGGGCACAGGGAAGGGTTTGGACTATTATGTAGAGGTATTCACTGGGCCAGGGGCAATGTGTGAAGAATAATGGGAAGCATCTCCTATCTAACTCTCAGTTGAAGATCTGAGAAAATATAAAGAAATGAAAGAAAATTCCCCCAAGCTACCACCAACACCTCTACTAATAATGCATCCATAGGTCTACCTTCCCTCCTGTTACCATAGATGAGCTCACCATGCTTGTCAAGGAAGACCAGTCCTGTGCCCTCTCCCCTACTCAAGGACATCATGCTAGCAGTTGTTTCCTCATTCTTTAGCATCATGTATTTTTTCTTTCTCAATTGTATCATTCCCACCAGCATTCAGTCATGGTTTAGTTTTCACGTTTAAAAAAGAGATAGAAAGAAGGAAAGAAGCCCCTTTCTTGATTCCATTGTATTGTCTTCTGACTCCGTGATAACGAATAGTAACTCTATCTTTCCTGTTGTTCAGACCACAAACTTTGGAATCATTTTTCTTTCTTTTTTTCTCTCACTGCTGCCCCCGCCCTTTCCATTCTCTGCATCATTCTATTGATTGAATCCTGGCAGCTCTGTCTTGAAGGTACATCATCGAGAATCTCACTACTTCTTACCAGTTTTTTTGTTTGTTTGTTTGTTTGTTTTTTGAGACAGGGTCTCGCTTTGTTGTCCAGGCTGGAGTGCAGTGACATGATCATGGCTGGCTGTGGCCTTGACCTCCCAGGCTCAAACCATCCTCCCACTTTAGCCTCCCCCATAGCTGGGACTACAGGCATGTGCCACCATGCCCAGCTAATTTTTGTATTTTTTGTAGAGACAGGGTTTCACCACGTTGCCCAGGCGGGCCTTGAACTCCTGAGCTCAAGTGATCCTCCTGCCTCAGCCTCCCAGAGTGTTAGGATTACAGCCGTGAGTCACTGCTCCTGACCTGCTTACCACTTTTGCCACCACTGTTTTAGTCTATCTTATACGCAGCAGCCAGATGATCCTTTGAAAATGTTTTTTGGTCATGTCAGTTCTTTGCTCAAAGCCACCCAAAACTTTCCTATGTCACGTAGATTGAAGCCCAAAGTCAATTCAATCACTCGTAGGCCTCTGCAAGATGTGGAGTCTTCCCTTTGACTTTTCTGACCTTATGCTACTCCTCCCCTCACTCATTCTGCTCTAATCTCATTGGTGCCTTGCTGTTTCTGAAACATACTAGACACACCTCAGGGCCTTTGCACTTGCTGTTTCCTTCTCCTGAGATAGTCCTCCCAGTTACCCACATGACTGACTCACTTACTCCTTTTAGGTCTCTGCTCAAATGTCATCTCTGAGAGGTCTCTTTGACTAATCTACACAGAGGAGCAACTGCTTGCAACCTCTTAATATTGATCAACATCTGCCAGACCATCTATCTACTTGTTTATTTTTCCCTTGTTTTTCTTCCCCTACTAGAAGGTAAGGTTGAAGAGGACAGGGCCTTTGTTTTCATTTTGTTCTTTGCCATGTCTTGAGAAAGTGCCTAAAAGGTACATATTGAGTTGAATGAGTACATAAAAGCATGGAAGATAGATGGATAAATAGATGGATTGCATTTTGTGAAGAAGACACCAGACTAGTTTCCTGGCTCTGTTCTTCGGCTTTGGATACCAGCTCTGTGATTCCCTTGATACTTGTGGGAACTAGTGAGACCTACAAACTCTCAGGGGAGGCCATCATCACTTCATTCTGACCCCAGGCCTTTCTACTTTGATCCAAAGGGACTCACTTATATTTCTAGATTAAGCATTTTATTTTTTCACTTTTGAAAGTTTGAGGATTGTCTTTGTTTTCTTAGTTTTCTCCTGAGAAAGAACACAAACATGTTAATACTGATGAGGAAGAATCTCTTAATTCACGAAATGTTCTGATTTTTAGTACATTTCTCTTGGACTTGATGGCTGTTTTGGTTAGGAATGCGGCATTGAACTCCAAATTCTGAATATTATGCAGAAAAATCTACACTTCCGAATACATTGATTTATATCTGGTAGGAGCTTCTGAGGAGTGTGTTATTTTCCCCAAGCAGTGTACTTTTTTTTTTTAATCTCATAAAGGGCAGGATAATTTGCATTGCCATTTTAAGTTGTTTGGAAAATATGTTTATCTCTCTGTCTCTCTTTCTCCCTCTCTCTTTTATCACTTTGGTTGCTTTTGAGTATTAGTGAATTCTTCCCATGTCCATTAAAGATACGCGTGTGTGACAGAGTGACTGTGCTCCCCATTGCATGCCTGCCTCCTCCTCTTGGACACATGAATGAGGAGCTGGGAGGGAAAGGGTGCAGGCAGAGAGGAAGCAAGAAAGAGCAATAACCAAGACGGAAAGTATGCGTAAAGGCGGGGAGAGAGGCTGGAAGAAAGACGCTAGAAGAAATCTGAGAGGCCAGCTTCAGGGGTAGAGAGCAGCTGTACTGCATATTGCTTTCTGACAAATCAGTTGAAATGTTTCATAAAAGTCCTCAACCCTTTCATCAAATGCAGGGTTTTTGTTTTGTTTTGTCTTCTTTCTTCTGAAAAGCATATAAAGGAGTTGAGAATGCAATGTTTAATTAAGGGAAAAACGGTTCAGTTCCTGTGAGTAAATTAATTTCCACCTTTAGGCAACTTAGTGGAGTGTTTCCTAAGCCAAATGGAAGACTCTGGAAAATAAAGATCCCCAGTAGCTGATCCGATGAAAATAGATTAAGGTCTAGGATTTTTAGAGGAATGGACAGAAACATTTTTGGTCTTTGTAGTAAACCTGTTTTATATTGACTAAGCAAACCAAATCAGACAAATGGGCATACTTGGTCAATTCAATTTTCCAAGGCACGTCACCAGAGTTGCAAGGTGACTTGCAAGTGGTGGTGATCTAGAGACCCAGGGTGAAGAGGATTTCTGGGAATCTGGCTTGATATAATTATTCAAGTTGCTCCTTTTACTTGACGGCTCTGTGTAATTCAGGCCTGACATTTTGCTTTGTTTACACTGTATATTTGTATATGCTAAGGGAAACTTCATCTGCTAAATGATGTTAGCAGATGATTGGGAATAAACATTTAAAATGTTTGCTCCGGTGCTTTCCGTCTTGCTTATTTTGGAGGTGGGGGATGGTGCATTTTAAAACATGGGGCCATACTAGATATAGTTGGGGGATATGGTAATAAAAAGGACAGGAAACTGTCCCCACTAAGGGACATAAGAAATACAAGCAGTCACAATGGAGGTCAGACATTGGCAAGGCCATCTATATAAGAAAATTCAGATGAAGGAACTTATGCAGATGTCATTATTTGCTAGCTTTTAGAGAATGAGTAGGGTGGGGGAGTAGGGAGTCATTTCAGAAAGAGGAACATAGCATGAGAGAAGTTATGGGAAGTAAATAGATGGATTTAGCTGGCTCCAAGTTCATAAGAACGTTTAAGTATGAGAAAAAAACAAACACAAACAAGAAAGGTTGTAACCAGATCACTAAATGCTGACTTCCAGGTTAAAGAGTTGGTTGGAGAAAGCAAACCCTTGGAAATATCCTCAGGAGGGAAAGGAAATCAATAGTACATTGCAATGGCTTCTGAATCTTTTCATATTATCTAATACTTTCATCTGTGGGTAAATTTGTTGCAAGGTTCACAAGATTAACTGAAGAAGTTTACACTGTTATAAAAAAACTAGAAAGTTGTTAAAAGTTACTTCTTAGATTGCGTCTTTTAATTAAGAATAAATTATTAGCAGATCTTTGTTGTCTTAGTGTTTCAACCTTAAAATAGGTAACAGAACATGAACCAAGTAAATATCAATGTCAGTTTACAAGTTTGTATTGCACTAAACTGTTATGAAGCAAAACAACTAAACTTTAATTTCTGCTTTCAGGAAAACTTTTTACTTATGTAACTAATCTATCAATTCATGTCATACTAGATTTGGGGTACAAATTAAGGTTATGCTTCACTTAGTTTTCATTAACACCGTTTCTTTGTATTTAAACAGGCTACTCCTTTTTTTCCATTTCTTTCTGATACATTATGCATATTTAAACAAACAGAACAGAAACATTTAGAAATAAAAGTATGTGATGGTTTTCCCACACCAGTGTAAGCATAGGATGGTGGATTCCATTGAAAAGTCTGAGTTTTTGGGCTTGGGTGGATGAGGGATTGGGAAGACGGATCAACTCCTCAGAGCTAGAGTTCTTTTCAAGTGTGGCAGTCAGGGACACAGACTCCTCCTCCTCCTTTTCAATGGCCCAGTTTTAGAGTTGGGTTGCTACTGCTGTCTGTAACTGTTATCTAAGAAGTTTCAAAGGTATCTACATTTAGTTTTGTTGGCTTTTTGAACATTTCTTTAAAACTTGTCCTTGGGAAAGTTAGCAAGTTTGGAAGCTGCCCAAAAATCTGGAACTGGGGGAGGGAGAAGGAACTTTGTTTTGATTGTTCTTTTACTTCATTGTCTGGCTCTCCCTCCACGCCCCCTATCTCTGTCCCTCTTCCCCATTCCTCCCTCTCTTCCTCTGCTTCCTCCTCCTCCTTCTCCTTCTCCTCCTCCTCCCTCTCTCTCTCTCTCTCTCTCTCTCTCTCTCTCTCACACACACACACACACACACACACACACACACACACATTTTTGGAGGAGAGCTGCAGTTCCTCACACAATTTCCCTTCTCATCCGTCTTGAAACATTTCGTTTTCCCCAAACCTGAGACAACAATACGATGATGTATAGTATGGATGTGTGTGCATGCACGTGTGTATGTGTGTGTGTGTTTGGTCTGTGCTGTGGAAGGACTGAAAAGAGAGTTGACTGGGGCTTCTCCTCCAGGCCTCAATCTGGCATTAGTCCATTTCTCTCTTTTCCCTAGGTGGTCTTAGATGATGGGGGGAGGAAAAAGTTTTGCTGTGTCATGAATTACGCTTTTAATTTCCACAGGCTTTAGAACATTCTGGCCCTCTCAGTGAAAAACACTTGTGGCCTCAGAGCTTGGAGGTTGGAAGTGGGGGAAATATTCCCTTCAGGCCCTGTGATGACTTTTCACAGTGGAAGGCTGCAGGGCTCTCACAGGGGGAGATTCCATTTGTCTGAGCCTGCAGAGTGTGAGTCACTGCCCAGGGAGGGCAGAGTTCAGCCCGAGGAGCTAGTGAGCCCCTGCTGCCTTAAAGGCACAATGCAGGGATACCGCTGAAGGGAGGGGAAAGTGCTAGCCACCAAGCGACTGGGCTAGTCCTCAGTAATTTCTAGCTGCATTATTTATGTGGGGGTCATTAGGAAACCTAAATTTCAGTGAAAAGTCAATCGTTTACTCAAATTTCCCTGTACAGAACAGAGAAACACATACTGGATTTTACAAGCCTTTGTGAAATTGAGGTCACCTGCATCATCCACATGGAGAACAAGAATATTTATTGTGTGATTAAAGTTCTGATCCATAGGGGGAGGAAAATCATTTGCATGTCACAATTTTTTCCGCCTCCTTAATTTTCAACCCACTCACCTCATAAATTAACAACAGGTAGCATCAATCTCTCTTCAAAATATGTAAGACACTTGTAACCTTGATGGGGCAGGGGGGCTCTTCGGGTTTCACCAGCTGGTGAGAACAGGTGTTGTCATTAACTTGAACACCCACATCTTGAAGTCCAAGACTCTGCTTGCCTGGCTGCAGGAAGTCCAATGTGTTAGAGAATCCTACTCTAGATGCATTTCCAGGGAGTGTGTACGTATACTTATAAATCCTTTCTTGTCCTTTCTTGCTGAGATGACCCCTAAGTTACCCAGCAGCCTAGGGCCTTGACAGACCCAGAAATGCCTTTTGCACTTGCCATTCTGACTGCATGCATCCTGGGCATTGCTACCAGGATTTGGACATACTGCCACTGCCATGATTCGCGTTGGAGGAGCTAGAACTCAGGGACACTCCCACACAGGAACTATTATACTGTCACTAACCTGCGGCCACTCCTCGGAAGCGGAAAGATGCCAGTTATTTCTGTGATCTGTTCAGTTTATGGGTGGGGGTGGGACAGATTATTTTCCCCTGTACTTGACAGGTTTTAGATATGTATGAAGAAGTAACTTATATTTAACATTTTTATTGGAGAAACTTTGATGTGTACTTCAATTTACTAGCTATCACCTTTAAAACTCTTTGACATGCAGAAATTTTCTGGTTGATTTTTCATTGTCTTTTGAAGGTTGACTCATTTAGAAATGACGTGACATTTGCATTTGAAATCAGTACTGTATTTATTTCATTGTTCCGAGCCTTTCCAAATAAATCTGTGTGTTTTTTTCGTAGGATAATTGTGAGAAAAATAATAATGTAACAACCGTTTAGGACTCTGTGGGTTATTCATAGTTCACAACGCTTCCAACTTCAATCTTCACAAACTTTGTTTGGAATAGCAAAATGACCATGTTCCACAAAAGGAAATATTGTACTCCAGTACCATGGCCGGAACAAGATTAATAATAGTAACAGTAAAAAAATTAAGAACAAGCAACATAATTTTGCCAATGTTTCTTCATTCCTAATATCTTTAATAAAGAAAAATAATAAAACTGATCTTAAATGTGGAGAAATTAAAAGCTTCATCATGAAGATAAATGCATGGAGGGCAGGAAGGGCTGAGACTGGTTGAAGTTCTTTAAGTTGTGGTTTAAGATTAACATAAGGACACATACTACACTACAATTTTTAAAAAGCTGCTATGAGTAATAATATTCTTGATATATAGCATGGACACTGTATCCAAGATATTTTCTATTATCCTTATACTTGATACCCACTTAGATTGCTATATGTAGAATTTAGACTACCATTGATCAAAGAGAGAAAAGTTGGAAATAAAAACTGCAATGCCATTCAAAGTCCCAAATCGCAGCCACTGTAATTTATCTAAACTCAAAATATAGGAAGGAAAGACTGTCATATAGTGAACTTTTATTGACTGCCTACTGTTTGTCACACACTTTTCTGTTTCTTTACCTGAATTTAGTCACTTATACATCCCAACAGCTCCTTGAGGTAATGGACAGTGAAACGGGCCCAGCAAGTTTAAGAAGTTTGCCCCAAACCCGGAGCTAGATGGTGGAGGGCTGGGATACAGATCACAGCTGTCTCGTTTGGGAGCTTGCATTCTGAATCACCATGGATGCCTTTTGGATGTGAAATGTGCCTGAATGATGAAAGCTGAGCAGAGAAAAGAACTGAAGGTCATAATAATCTCCTAACAGAGAAAGCATGTCTTAGAGAACCAAAGACTTTGTACTGCAAACATCTTGTTTTACAGGTGGAGAAACTGTAGCCAAAGCAGCTCAGATGAGTTTGTGAAGGTTACTTACAGCTTGCTAATGGCAGAAGGAAGACTGGAGATGAAGTGGATTTTCCTGACATTCATTAATTCCACCAACATTTATTGTCCCAAGCACTTTTTTAGGTATTAAAGAGAAAGAACAAGACAGATCAGGTCCCTGCTGGTAGGAATATTACACCATGACCAGAACAGTGATTTGACATTTGAATAGACAACTAAGTGGAACACCCACACTAAAGTATTAGAAAGTGGGATGGGCTATGGGCAGGGGAAGGGGAGAGGCTTTATATACATTCTACTCCATTTTATAGATGAATTCACTAATGTTCAGTGGCATTAAATAACATGTCTAATTCATAAATGTTAGACACAAGATTCAAACCTTCACAGTAGAGAGAGAGAGAGAGAGAGAGAGGAGTAAGAGAATAAGAAGGACATCACAACCTCCTGGTTAGGGAGTAGCTCTTAACATGAATCAATAAATCTGGTTGGAGCAAGGTGTCTAGTTAGATTGTCAGATTTCCGGGAACCAGAGATACCCGTTTTTTGGCAGAACCTAGACAGCCAGAAGAAGCCTCCTACCTTGTTCTTCATGCTTAATTTCTTTAGAAAGTCAAACTCATGGATGAGCATTTGGCTCAAGTTCTTCAGCTCCAGGTCAGGGAATCTGTGACGTTAGGGAATATCTACCACTCTGGTAGCTGCAGAGGAGATGCAGAAACACTGGAGCTGGGGACAAGCATGCCACCTCCAAAAATTAAAAAGAAAAGAGTTTATCATATAGGTGTGTGAAGATTCATTTTACTGAGAAAGGTCAATTCAGCTGTGCCCCTTCTATATAGCTCCTTGGAGAGAATTAGCAAAGGCAGTCCCTTTAGGTGGAATTATTAGAATAAAGTATCCATCTCTGAAGGAAATTTGTAAAAGCATCCCTCCAAAAGTCTCCCCATTTGACTGTCAAATTAGAAAAGGAGCCCCATCAGGCAGCCCTGGGTCAGGTTTCTTGGATGGGTGGGCTGCACCACTGCTTAGTTTCCTGGTCCCTAATACTTTAAGGAGCCGGATGGGAGTGAGATCTGAACAACTCACTCTCACTTTCTACAATTCTGTAAGGGTAGGGAGTAGGAACTAGAATGGGGTGCTTTTTTTCCCTGTGAGAATTGCTATCGATCCTGTGGAGGGTTTCTCAGCCAGGAGACTCCATCACTCTGGCCTCTCTGAACT
Source organism: Homo sapiens (assembly GCF_000001405.40). Classification (NCBI taxonomy): domain Eukaryota; kingdom Metazoa; phylum Chordata; class Mammalia; order Primates; family Hominidae; genus Homo; species Homo sapiens. Next base: position 94,297,747 of record NC_000007.14, on the reverse strand, counting down.
CAGAGCTCACTCACCTCCCTTTCGAAGCTAACGTGGCAGAGCTGGCTGGGAGGTGGTTACTGGCTCAGGGCCCTGAAACACTGAGTAATTCCTATGATGGCTGGGACTGGAGACACCATTCCAGACACTTCCACGTTGTCTAAAAGCAAAAAAAAAAAAAAAAAAAAAAAAAAAGTCTCCACCACCCAGCCCAAACGGTTAGAGGCAGATTCCTTGGTGCTGAAACAAGACCTATCCCTTTTATGGAAGGCCATTGCTGGAAATTTCCACCATAGAGGAAAGCCAGGGTTCTTTTTCTATTTTTTACAGAACAGGGAGGGAACAAGTCAGGGGTGAGAGATGAAAGGGGATGGCTGAAGGGAACCGCACCTCTTTTCCTGAAGTTTTTGCATGTATATGATCACTCTTAGCTTATAAAGACGAAGATTTGAGCTTCCTTGCCGATCTCCTCCAGTGTTGACCACTTTTATGGAGCCCCCAGTGCTATACTAGAGCTATGGTCTAATCAAGGCATCAACAAGCATGAAGTTTATGATTTCAGAAGAAACAGGACAAGACATATTGCACATCAAATCCTATAAACGACAATCCAGCATGGCCAACAAAAATAGACCATTGCAGCTGTGCTCTGGCTGAGTGTTTATTTATTGGAGAAGAGAAAGGTACAATCAAGAAAAGGGGGAATCATGTCAGGATGTTATTGGAGTCAAGCAGATTGACTGCCTGAAGTGAAAGCCCTGGCCATGCAGAGTAAAGGCCAGCGATTGGGTCAGAGGCAGGAGAACATTGGAGGCATGGACTTACAGCCCCAGTATTGATTTTACATTGAATTCCAGGTTTTGCTGCAATTAAAAGCTACTGCAAGGTTTTGAGAAGAGAAATGGTATGATCAAATAATTAGAGCAATGTGGTTTTCATTTTAATTAGGAAAGACCACAGGGATGAGAGAGATGAGAGGATCAGCTTGTGAGGTAATTCACTAACCAAATAAGTTCAGGAGCCAAAGAGGTCTTTCTGAAATCGACAAATTAAAGCTACAGTGTTGTCTGACATTATAACAAGAGGTTTTTACTGTTATTATTATTAATTTTATCTGATTCAGTTACCTTGTTAGTTCTGACAGACTTGGATTGCTAGCTTGATTAGTTCCCTCTTATTTGTCCAGAAACACCAAAACACCAAAATTATACCATTTTATCAATGTATGCCTTTATATATGGCTATGGTTTAGGCAAAGTGAAGAGAAAAATGTCTAGACTAAAGGTGACTGAATTCTTTCTCTATCTTATTTTGAAAAGAAGGAATTCATGTGTTTCTTTCTCATCGTCAGCCCTAGTCTTTTTGGGACATTTTAGTCTGAAATCTGAATGTGCTTACCAGCTGGGAAAAAATTTGACATTTACTTGATTTTGTCCCTTGGAAGTAAAAAAAAAAAAAAAAAAAAAAAATGGCAGCTTTATTAAACAACAAGTCTGCTTATTTCTTTCTTCAATCCCTCCCCAGGTTGCAGGCTCTTTTCAAAGCTCTGGTAGACCTCTAACCAGTTTTCTAAAGGTAATTTCCCAAAGTGCTGCCTCTAGCCATAGAAAATGCCACGTAGGTTTCTGGATTTATAAAGGCCGAGAAAGCCATTTTGGTTACATTTGCAGCTTTTTCTGTGGTTCTGGGTGGTAACGCCCGATTGCCAACATTATTCTTTCCTTCTTCTGGGAAGAGCCATAATTGTACTTGGCTTGGTTGACACAAAGGCCTCTGAAAAATATGAAGCTGATCCCTCTAGTGTTCTTTTGTGAAGACTACAGTACAGAATGTTGAAGGGAGGGAAACAGCAGCACAATGCCACAAACAACAGCTCCAAAAGTTAATTTGTTTTTTAAATGACATTAATAAAATGATTTGCAATGACAGTTTTGTGTGCTGCATAGAGTAGTGACAAAAGAAAATGTTGGCACTTTGAAACAATTCATATATGTATTGCAGGCATGCAATTGGCTACCTTTATGGGAGAATGTGTGGCATTGAGAATTATCTGAACAGATAATAAACAATTTAAATAACATTGGCCAGAGTTATCAGAGGTACAGAGGCAATGTAAACTTGCCTCGTTTTCAGAAATGAATTTACTCCACTGGGTAGGATTGTCTGACTATATTCATAGGCTTTTTCTGGTCATAAACAGAGAAGAAGAGATTTTACATATTTCTACATTCCATTTCTGATGTTCCCTGATATTCAATAAAAACAGTATGCTATGTTCTTTATGTTTTTCTTTGACATTTTCTTCTACGTTCAGACATTTATTAAACAGCTATTCTATTCCAGGCACTGAAGATACAAAAATGATAAGAGAGACTCACTTCTCTCAATAAACTACATAATCTCACTGGGAGATAACTTCTAACTACAATAGAGATGTATGCAAAGAGCTTGGGACAGGGAAATGATATTAATTATTGATATTATTTAGTAAGGGGGATGAGATATTTAAACTGGGTTTTGAGGAATGACTGAGAGTTAGAATTCTCAGGTTGGAGACGATTGATGATTTGGCATCTCTAACTAACAGCTTGATTGGGTCCAGTTTTTAGAGAGAGCTGTGGCACAGTGGGCAGCTGTGCAGCCTTAGCTCCTCCTGCAAACCACCTCAGAATTAGTCCAGTGTCTCTTCTAGTAGCTTCTACCGTTCACATTAAGTAAAAAGAGCTACACCATAGAAATGTCACTGTGCAGTTTAATGAACATAAAATGTGGAAGCATCATAGGGATCGATATTTGGACTGCTGCTATAATTTGGAGCAGAAAGAGGAACTGAGAAAGCAAAACTAAGGGAAATAGTGATAGTAGAACCAAATTCGCTGTGCAGCTAAAAGCAGGTCCTGATTGAGGGAGTCAGGCTCTGTTTGATGATTTCTAAGAGCGCTTCCAGTTCTAAGAGTCCATGAGTCAATTTTCAGAATTATTATTCAAAGGATTGATTGCCCCAGAGTCTAGGTAACCACACAGCCGCTTGAGATCCTACCACACTGATATTTCCAGCAGGCGTTGCCTAACAAGTCTTGTATAAAAAAAGACCCCCAACTGACAAGATAATATGAACAGTGACACTGATATGAAAGTTCACTAGCTGGAAGACATTGAGGCAGTTTTCAAAGGCTTTTAACTCTGACTCTCTTGGGCTATATTTTTACACATTCAGATCATTTGGTTCATAAGTAAGATTAATGCCATCTGCAGTTACTATATTTACAGTTTACATGTACCATCAAAACCAATTCATAGTCATAAAAGTTAAAAGCATGTTAAAGGTCTTTAAAATGTAGAAGGCAAAAATTGTGTTGTAATTGAGCATGAATGTCAATATAGTAAAAAAAAGATCTTATAGGCAGTTAAAGTATTATTATTATTGTTTTATTGAGACTTAACTTTAGTATTTCAATAGCTCCCTAATCTTACAACAAAACATATTTTAATGGCAAAGGCACCAGAGTATCCATCTAATGAAATTACTCAAGTGTAAAATGCCATAAGAGGCATGCTGAAACACATATTAAATAGGAGAATTGAGAACTGCAGATTTAAATTGATCATGCTCATTGCTGGTTCTCACAGTTCTTTGGACATCAGAGTTTTTCTTGTAAAACCTTTCTTCTAGGCTGTGAGTTCCCATCGGTATCTTGAGATCGCCCTTCTGTCTTTAGCCTCTTCACTCCTGCATTCATCACAGTGAAGATTGTTGCATCCATCCTTCCAGTGTAAGATAATTTTTATACATGCTCTCAGAACAAATGGATCCTAAATGAATCTGGGAATCAAAATTTACATATTTAAAAGGAGATCTGCATTTTGTAGTGGGGATATATACTAATTATAGAAGGGGTATGGAGAATGAGAGAATATACATCGTGAGACAGGGCATAAGTTCATTATGCTCTTGAAATCTAAGGATGGCTTACACTTGAATTTCCCAGGGATCTACATCCTTTGCAGGTAAATGAGTTCATGGCCCAAATTTTATTGGCTGATTTTATTTTCATGAATGATGTTGGACTTGAGAACTTCCAAAATGCCCATCTTCTACCAGACATTTTAAAAACTGTCTCCAGGGGATGTCTCCCATGTGTGAAGGAATAAGCAACTTCTCTTGACCTGCAGCTGTATTCCTGCACACTGCAGGGTCTCTTTCTCTCTGCTTTTCCCTGCATTTTAGCTCCCCATCCAGTGATGCTAATGCTTTCCCAGGTATATTAGCTACTGTGCCTGACACTGCTGATTTTTACTGGATATTGACCCAGGTTCTTTAGAATCCTTGAGATGCCAAATCTGGGAAGAGAAAGAAGGAAGGGAGGGAGACAGGGAGGAGAGAAGGAAAGATTTTTCTCCCTGATTTTGTTTCATGATTGACAGTGCTGTTTATGCCTTGGCGTGTTACGTAGTAAAACATTCTTTGAAGGTTTTACATACAGCTCTTTCTCACTGAGACTCAACATTGTCTATATGCATAGAAAAAATATCAAAAGGTAAATTTGGGATTCAAAGTTATTTTTATTTTCTTCTCAATACTTAAAATTTTCATTAAAAATTTTGAGTAGGTATTAAATTTTACTTAAAAAAGAAAGGAAAACATCTACAACTTAGGGTTCTGAGCTTGAGTAAGAGGTCCCCAAACTAAAATTTAACAGGGAAAACCAAAATCAGTTTACCATTCTGAGTTAACAATTTTATCAATTATTGATTTGTACCCCATTTATACATAAAAGAGTTTGATGGCATCTATGATAATTAGAGAAAAGCCAAGGTTAGAAATGAAAGATAAAGCCCAAAGAAAAGGAGAGTATAAAGAGTGCTCAAGGAAGAAATAAAAGTAATTTACTCTGATAAAAAAGAATCTAAAAAGACTAATGGAAAAAGACCTTGTCACTGAGGAAAATGAGAAAGAAGGAGGCACTGCTTACATCAATAGGTAGTTCTCTGTCTTTATTTTCTATGGCGCTATATTGTGAAATCCTGCTAGCTCTTTGATAGCTGACCTGGAGGGCTAAACTAAAAAATCCAATTACTTTTCTAGAAGCTGTAGTGATGACCAACTAAACTGTGGCCCTTGGGGACAGTATTTGTATCCTTTGACAGCAATTAATGAAACCAATAAATCAATTAGTTAAATTAAATTAAGGTCTACCCAGCTGTTTCCACAGCCTACCCATGTGTAACTAAATGTGATTATAAGAGTGCCCTTGATGTGAAACGGATACAATTCAAGTGATCTTTGCTGTCTTTATGTCCTAACTGTACCCCCATTTTATAGAATTATAGTTATTCTACTTTTATCTTGGCTCTATATTGGAAGAACTTTGCTTGGGGGAGAGTTCTTGATGGAGGCAGCAGAAATACTCTTTGTTTGTACCACTGAGTGATAAGCAACAACACCAGGGACCAGTTTGTTCTATTTGTTTTTTTCTTGGAGTTAATATATCTCATTTTTCTTCCAAAATAATCACTGTATCAATATCTGTTTTCAGTTTCAAGGAGGAGGTCTTTTCTTCCTTGACAATGCTGACTCCTCCAACTTCTGCCTTTTTCTCTAAGACCTTTCTGATTGCTCTCCTTCCCTCACTGGATTATGCTGTTCCTCTGGTTAGCTTCATTTTATTTCCCTACTTCCCAAAGAAGTAAACTGTTTCCCTGATTCTGCTTCTTCCCCATCTCCTCCACACATCAGCATTCTCACATCTCCAGCCACTCTTCTCTGTGTTATCAATATATCTTCTCTACATTATCAATTGCCTACCTGACAGGTAGGCAATTGTTCTCTACTGATCATGACAGAGTTAGCCTGTCCCCACCCAAGATCCTCCCCTTGACTTCTCTCTAGACTTGGACACTCTTGACCAATCCTTCCTTCCCAAACTGCTGTGAGATTAGCCATAATACATAATCACATCCTCTCTTTACCTCTTTGAATATGTATTCTTTATCACCTTCATTAATTCTTACATCCATCAATTCCCTCTCATGTCCATTAAATATATATCAAGTACCCACTTGGAAGGCATTGCTTTAGGTCCCAAATATAAAGATAAATAAGACATGCCCTTGAGCAGCTCATAGGATAGTAGAGGAGGCAGAGGTGCCCAGAGTGCTATAATGTGGCCGAATTGTAATAAAATCTGCTACAAGGATATACAGGAAGAAGGGATAATTTTGCTGGGTTGTAACAGAAAAGGACAAGGTAGTGATATCTATGTTGAGTGACCAGGATAAGAAGAAATAAGTTATTTCAAACATGGAGAGTGGGATGTATAGAGACCTGGAGTCATAAAATCCGATATGGAGTTTGGTGACTTTGAGAGTATTGTCTGTGCAAGACAATGTTGAAAATGTAGACTGTGGCCAGACTCTGAAGAGCTTTGAATGCTGGACTAGAGTTTAGACTTTTTCACTAGAAATGTGTGGGTTAAGATTTTTGAGAAGATTCACATAATCTTACATGAGTTGCAAAAGACACTTGTCAGCAGTGTGGGGAATGGATTGGAGTTGGGGGACCATTTAGAAGCTCATTTCAATGGTCTAAGAGAGAAATGATTAGGACCTGAACCAGGATAGCTGTGGTGGGAAAGAGTACTAGACAGCTTCTGCAGGAAAAATGGGTAAAAGATAGTGTTGATTTGATGTTGAGAATTGGGGATAGAGAAAAACAATGTAAATATAACTCCCACATTTCTGAAATAATTTTTAGGAGCTGTCATGCCCCTGTGCAAATGTTCTAATACTTTCTCACTGTCTCTTTGCAGTGTTTGAAATAGAGTTTCTGTATCAGTCATCATTCTTTTGGTTATAAGCAAAAGAAATTGACTCTGCCTAATCACTCTGAGAAAAAAAAAGAATATTTAGATGGATACTGTGGTTTCTCACAAAGGTCAAGAAAGGCTTGAACAATCCAGCATCATGAAGGGCAGAAATCAAACTAGTGACAGGTATCTCAGAATAAGGAATTCATGAATATTTTCTCTAGAATTCTATTATTGAAGTAAATGAATTCCCACAACCCTAGGCTCTCAGTTCAAATCTGTACACATTTGGGGTCTGATTGGGCCTAAGTGAGCCAGTTGTTTGCTCAGCTTCATTCAGCTGAGACTATAGGAGCAAGGTCAGACTGTACAACTCTGGCCACTAGAGGCCATATCCTTGTGTTCAAGGTCAGCCTCTAAATAAAGAGGGGTCTTTGGGAGTTGGACAGATACCCCATGGGAAGGGTGTTCTATATGCCCTGAATTGTTTTGTGTCATGGATCTTTCCCAGAAAAAATACTCAATTACAAAAAATACATAAGGAGTTTCATGAATCCTTTGAAAATTATGCACAAATCCATATTAAGAACCCCTTTTCTTAAGAAATAAAGTTCACACTTCTTAGCCTGACTTGCAAGGACCTTTGTGATTGGATTTCTAAGAGCCTCTCACTGGTCTTGTATCTCATTCTTCTTTCTTCAAACACTCGCAGTTAAAGAAAAAATTACTTTCCAAACTCTGAAGCTTTAATCATGTCATCTCTTTTCTTTATAAGGAATGTCCAAATCCTCTTATTGAAAAATCCTACTCATCCTTTAATGGTCGAACTGAAAACCTGTTTCTTTTATGAAGTCTTCCTTGACTCATCCATCAACACAGGGGTGACGCCCTCTCTCTTCTTATCAGTCATAATACTTTATACCTATTTTTCTCATGACATTTATTACTTTCTTCTTTCCATTATAGTTTCTATATAGCTTATCTTTGCTTTTAGATCCCAAGATGATCATAAACAGAAACTGGGTGTCATTCAGCTTTATGCCTTGCACCTCTAGTGTTCTCTGCGTGCGTGGGGCTCTCAAGACAAGCTTGAAAAATGAGTGAAAGGCTACTTACTGGGGAAGAAAGGGCCCCTGTCTAATTTTATCCTGCTTGTATTTTTACAAGCTCTTCTTTTCAGAGGAATGAGTTATTTTTTCCTTATTTTTCTTTTTATTATACTCATTTTCTTGGGCTTTGTTTTATCTCTGCTTATTTCCCGGCAAATCCTATCTTCTTCTCCTTTTTATTTTTCATTTTCCCATCGTGATAAAAATTTCCCCCTTTAGTTTTCTAAAATTATTATTAATTTGAATGACTTTCTTGTTTTCATTTGTCCTAAAAACCACAGCCTTTACTTTGGCTTCATTATTCACAGGCGGGAAAAATCTGATCATTTAGATAAGCACTTTCTCCTAATTGAAAAGCATTGTTTTCAGATGCACTAAAGGGGAGCTAGAAAATCACAGAAAACAGTGACTGATACTTATATTTTAAACAGCAGCGTTTTGCTCATTCCCACTCCACTCCAATATTTTTACTTCCTTAAAAATGATAGATTTAGAAATCACCACTAAAATATTTAAATTAACTTGAGCTGAATGAAAGAGTCTCTTCTCTTTGTTTCAAGTGCAAAACCACACTTGCAAAATGGCCCAATAGGAATCTTTTCTCTGTGTGAACTGTTTCCTGGTGGAACTGGGATTGGAGGTGGTTGGGGGTTGTTATGCCATGCATGGAAAAACAGCATCCTCTGCTGGTGGGAAGGCCTCTGAGGCTTGAGAAGCCTGAGTGTTGAGAGTCAACAAAGCTTTGGAAAATTCTTAGCTAGCATATCCACTACAGATTGGAAATCAATTCAAGATTTCTAATGATTATCGCTCATGATATAACTGAAACTTAGTTAACTTCACAACATTGAAAATCAGTAATAAATCTTCCTATCCTTCTTTTTTCTCCTCCCCCAGGACTTTCCTAACAGTTAAGAATTGCTCTTATTCTTAAATCCCTCAGAAATTCTCATGATGCAAAATTTTTATTATGGTTCCATAACAACATATGTTGGTTCAATGAGAGCAACTTGATGTCATCATTATCATTAAATATTTCATTAGAAATCAGCTATGGCGGTGTTCTTGGGTTCTCTATGTAGCTGCTTTATTAGGGAGCCCATCTCATAAATTGATGTCTTCTTGGTATTTATACACCCTTGGCTGGGGTCCTCAACCAGCCATCATTAAATGAAATTTCCATCTGTAGCAAATATGTGTGAAAATGAATGTATCTTGTATTTATTAGAAAAATATGGTAGTTGACATTTTCTTCTGTCTCATACAGACCACGTTGGCTCAGCTTGGCTTCTCCTACTTCGGATTTCTGTCAGTTAGCTAACACCCCAAATTATTGGCTTTACCATGCTACTCATGAAATCTTGCAAAGTGGCATCTCTCTGGAGGAGAAGTAAGGTGGGGTAGAGTTAAGGACAAATAATCACTGGGCAAATACAGTGACTTTTATAAGATTTATGAATTGCAAAATTTCATCCATCCATCTCTGTAATTGTCAGGCACACGTAGTTTGTTGTTGTCATGACTGACATATTTCCCAGAGTGACCATCTGCTGTATGAAGCAATATGAAGACAGGAGAACATTCCACAGGCTTTTTCAATAGGAAAGTCCCCAGGAAGTTCCATTTGTAGGTATTTTCATATGAACTTGATGGGTTGGCAGTTTCTTTCATTAGTGTGCTTCAAGGACTGTGTCCATGCTATTACTTTTTATCTCTAGCTCATTTGGTATTAAAGAAGTTCCCAGTATCATATCAGCACATTTTCTAAATTTCAAATTGGTTTCAATTTAAGGCATGTTGTTTTAAGAATGATACCCATTTTTTCTCAGGGGGCCTGACGCAGATCTGAACCAAGTCTGGGTTTATCAAAATTTTTTCTTTGGTCTGGTTTCATGGAGAAGGTTAATAACTAGTAACTAATATCTGCATACATTCTTTTGCCTTATAATCACAACCACATCCACTTACAGTTCTATATTCTAATTTCTTTATGATGAAGCAATTAGCATTAAACCATCCTGAGCTTATTATGATTACAATGGCTGCTATAATCATAGTTAGTCATAACTATAATTATCATCACAAATATAGTGGCTATTAAACTAAATTTTAATAACTCACTCTATCATTAATATAATCGTTATTGTTAACTTCATGCCTTCTTATAAGCTGCATAATAATGAATAATTGACAAAGAAGTGGAAATATGAATCACGAAGCACAGAATAAGAAATCCCGTTCCCTGTACTAATGGTGTAAGTACCAAAATTTACTGATAAACTTAGAGTTTGAAACTCAACACATTCTTCTCAATACTAATAGTTTTATGAATAATGTTGAGTCTTCCAAGTAAGCTTCTGCTTCAAAATCTATTTAAAGTATAATACAGATTAATATAAAACTAATAGGACAAGCAAGAATTGGATTGGGCATCTAGGTCAGCATCAAGCCATACAGAGAAGGAGGGAGAAAGAGAAAGAAATTTTCTTTTCTTTCTTGGAAGCAAGGCTGATGATAGGCAAAGTTTAATAATAGTGCAATTTTCTCTCACCTCCAGTTCTAGTTCACTACAGTGGAATCTCACCTAAGTTATGCCAGGATGGTGGGAAAATGGCTATTTTATTTAGGATCACTGAGCAGAGGAAATGAACGCAAACCTTGGAAAGAGGCTTCCACCCACATGTCGGGGGCTTGTCCTTGCCTGTAGCTGTTTTCTTCCTTACCTGGCTCTCAGCATTTGAGAGTGCCAAGAGTTTGGGATACACTTCTGTTGTAAAAGAGTTTGGGGTGTCAGGGAAGAAATCTGGAGGTTAGCAGCTTTTGCGCCTCTATTCTTCACTTTTTTTTTTTTTGAGACGGAATCTTGCCCTGTCGCCCAGGCTGGAGTGCAGTGACACCATCGCGGCTCACTGCAACCTCCACCTCCCGGGTTCCAGCGATTCTTCTGCCTCAGCTTCCCGAGTAGCCGGAACCACAGGCGCATGCCACCACGCCCGGCTAATTTTTGTAGTTTTTAGTAGAGACGGGGTTTCACCATGTTGGCCAGGCTGATCTTGAACTCCTGACCTCGTGATCCACCCACCTCGGCCTCCCAAAGTGCCGGGATTACAGGCGTGAGCTACTGTGCCCGGCCTCTTCTTCACCCTTAACTTACCGTCTGCAGTTCTGTTTCCGCAGTCTCTCCTATAGCTGCCTTCTACTGGTCATTCTTAGTAACCCAATTTAGCGCAGGCTTTTCCATCTCTTGCTACAACTACTGTTGGAGATTTCATACTTCCATACTCTCCTTTCCCAATCTCCAGTTTTTCACCTATACTGCTCTTGATTTTTTTCTCCTCCAACAGAACATTATTTAATAATATATTCTGTCTTCAACACTGTGCTATGTGGTGTTATTCCCTTGCTTAAAAATCTTTACAGCTTTCTTTTGCCTATATAATAAAGTCCAAATAGACCCAGTAAGCTACTCTCCTAGAACATCTCCTAGTATGCTGCATCTTTTATGCTATGACTCAGTAACACGGTTCTCTGAATGTAGCATGCATTTCCACATCATTTTATGTTTTTCCAAGCTGTTTCCTCTGCCAGGAATGTCTTCCCCCTTATTTTCCTGTCAAATGCTTGCTAGTCCTTCAAGATCAAATTTAAACTTTTTTTTTTCATGAAGTATTTCCCAATTGCTAGTCTCATTCACCTTAAAAGTAGGATTAGTGGCTCTTTTCTGTATTTTTAACTGATAACTTTACTGCAGTCCTTCATCTAGCACATATTTCCATCATCAGCTATGTGCCAGGCACTATGATAGACGTGGAGGATGAATGACACAGGCAACGACCCTGTCCACAAGGAGCTCATCTTCTTTTATTTTGGCCTGAGAAACTACAGTGATAGATTTGCCATTTACTTGAGAAAGGCCATAAGGGGAAACAGGGGTGGGGGTAAAAACAAGAATTCAGTTTTTGGAATACGTTCAAAAGATCTATTGTACAATATGGTGACTACAGTTACTACTAATGTATCGTATTTTTAAAAAATGACAAGAAAGAAGATTTTAAATGTATTCACCACAAAAATGATATGTATATGATGTAATGCATATATTAATTAGTTTGATTGAGCCATTCTACAATGTATACATATTTCAAAACAAGCAGTTGTACACAATGAATATATGTATATAATTTTCACTTAAGTAAGTAATTTTTTTTAAAGAATGCAGTTTTTGACCTGATTGTGAAACACTATTGGATATACACATAGAGGCACAATGTGGGTAGATGAATGAATGAGTCTAACATACAGGGGAAAAGGTATGTATTTGGGAATTGTCAAATATATGTCTAGAAGGCTCCTTAAAGTCATTAGATGAATGAGATCTCCTGGGAGAATGAGAAGAGTAGAGATCCGAGGACTAAACTAGGGGGTCACTTGAATGCTGGAAAGACAAAGAAGAGCCAGCACAGGGGATCAGGAGAGCAATCAGTGAGATGGGAGGAGACCCAAAAGACAGTGATAAATGAAGAAGGTGTTTCAGGAAGGAAGGTTGTGCCCAACTGTGTCAATGTTGCTGATGATCTGAAGAAGATGAAGACTAAGAATTTATCTTTGGATTGGTAATGAGCTGGTCACTGGAGACTCTACCAATGGTCGATTTGTGGGGTCAAAAGTTCAACAGGAGTGAGTAGAGGAGAGAAAGAAAAGAGAGGAAGCAGAGACAGCAAGTATAGATAATTATTTCTAGTGTTGTAGTGTCAAGGAGGTAGAGAAGTCAGGCAGTTAGTGGCTGGAGGAATGGGAGATCCCAAATTCATTTGCATGGTGATGGACTGACCCAGTAGAAATGGAAAATGTCATGACATGTATGAGACAAAGGACAACTGCAGCAGCAGTGTCCTTCAATAGGTAAGAAAAGGGTTGTCCTTAGGAGCACTGACCACTGATCCATTTTAATTGTGGGGAATGCAGAGTAGGTGGGCCCACATGCTAATATCTTGGTAGATTTGGTAGTAAAAATGGTGGTAGTGGTTGTGGAAATTCTCGCTTTTTTTTTCTTTTTTCCAGAGTGAAGTAAAAAGCCAGTCCAGCTGAGAGTGAGAGACAGGGAAAAGGCTTAGAGGTTTGGGGAGAGAACAGAAAGAGTGAAATAATGATCTAGGAAGAGAGATAATTCATCTTCCTTGTATTCTTCTATTTCTTTTCAATTCTATCTTTCCCACTGGAACTCCCTTCACTGAACTTCCAGCAGAGGCTTTTCCCCAGAGAAGGGTCTTGAAAAATGTTGACTGCATTAATTAATTGGAAGCTCTTCTCTTTCAAATCTGGGCATGGGGGACGGTCAGCGGTTCAAGGCTGTTTCAAAGGCTTTGGATAATTAGACTACTCTCCCTTGTAAAATTTACCCACAACCCTTTCCATCTTTCTGTATTTTAAACTAGTAATTTAGCACGCTTGCATCTGAGCCACATTTTGCAAAAATATGTTTCTGTTGACATCAGATAAGAGTTGAGTTGTGAAATACATCTCTTTAAAGGATTAACTACGCTTCCAAAAAGGCTCTTTGTTGTGAGATTTGCTAACAGATGGGAAATTCTAGGCTCTGGGTGTTAACAGTATTCTTGTGATTGCAGAAAAATAGCTTCATTTTGTGTAAGCAAAATGAACATATACATGTGAAACATGATGACATTGTAAGTAAATATGCAAATAAGAATAGAAAAACATAGTTAAGTTGCTTATGGAGTAGAGAAATGAAAATGGAAAAAGGTTGTTTGTTAATTAACCAGAGCATGCCTAGAAAATATTCTCTCTACCATTTGCCTTCCCAGCATGGTTTCAGGAGCTGGGCTGGCAGAAGAAGTATTTGATACAGCCCTAACTCTCAAATGTGATACAGTTTTGGAGAGAAGCCGTCCTTGTTTTAAAGCATTGGAAAAGTGCTAATATAAGGTGTGGCAGCAATTCTGAAAGCAGTAGAAATCTAGTTTAGACTGAAGCAGTTAGGAAAGGCTTCCTGGAGGAGGCAGGCCTTATGCATTGGCAAACTCTTATTTCTTTGAGTGTAACTTGTGTTTGAAGGGCTTGCTTTGATAAAGTGGAAACTCTCTGGCTTTAAACTTCTATTACACTGGGCTTTCTCTCTAATTAATTTTTTATGGGTATAAATTATATCCCTTCAACTGCCGTGTTTGTTATTCAACAGACATGTTTAGAGCCTACTAAGTGGCCTGGCGCTATGGGTGCCCTTGTGAACTATTTGGTGTCTGCCTTTGAGAAAAATCATAGTATAATAGACAGAGGTTAGCTGGTATGCTTCCTTTTTTTTTTTTTTTTTGCTTTTAACCCAACTATAGTAAAAATTTCCACTTCTTGCTAAGCTATATATCAATTTTTTCCTCTCTTCAAGAAAAACGTCTTTTTAGGTTGATATATGGAAGATACTGGCAAAAATCACTTGGCCAGTAAGGCTCCTGAGGTACTGCTTGGTGGGGAAAGTTGAGGAATTATAAGGAGCATCTGTGGGGTGTGCACAGGAAGAGCCTATTTTAAGTTTACTGTCTAAGTAGGAGATGAATTTCCTTCCAGAAAGGGCTTCTCCTCCGCCTTCCACTGTAGAAGATGCTGATTGTTGAGAAGCTTCACTTGCAGCAGATTCTGGGCTCTTAGGTATAGAAGAACAAGGGATGACTGCTCCTTTTCATTTAGCACATATTTATCAGTCACCTACTATGTGCAAGGCACTAAGACAGATGTGGAGGATGCACAACAATGGCACAGGGTCTGCCCTCCACAAGCTTATATAGGTTGAGTATCCCTTATCTGAAATGCTTGGGACCAGGAGTGTTTGGGATTTCAAATTCTTTAGAATTTTAAAATATTTGCATATACCTAATGAAATGCCTTAGAAATGGGACCCAAGTCTAAACACGAAATTCATCTATGTTTCTTATGCACCTTATATACAGAGCCTGGAAGTAATCTTATGTAATATTTCAAAATAAATTTGTGCATGAAACAAGGTTTGGATTGCATTTTGATTTCAACTTATCACATAAGACCAAGTGTGGAATTTTCCACTGTGGTATCATGTTAGTGCTCAAAATGTTTTGGATTTTGGAGCATTTTGGATTTCAAATTTTTTTTTTATTAGAGATTCTCAACCTGTATTCTATTACAGACAATAAGTAAATAGAGAGATACATAAATAGCTCGTGTACTGATTATTGTTATGAAGAAAAACAAGCTGTGTAAAGCAGAGTAAGGGGGAATGAGAGAGAAAAGGAGAAGCAGTGCTATTTTGGATTGAGAAATCCACTCTGATGATGTGAAATTTGCACAGAGACATGAAGAAAGCAAGGAAATGAGGAGCATGTGGGTCAAGGAAGAAGCTCATTCCAGGAAAGCAAGAGACTTAATGAAGGCTAGGAACTTAGGCACTGTCCAACCGGCAGGTGCACAGATGACCCTCTGTAGGAGGCTGGCATGGCTAGTGGCTGATGGTGTGGCTGGAAGGGACAGCGGGGAGGGGGTGGCAGCAGCAACGTGTAATGTGGGACTCACAGAGGCACAGTACGAACCAGCCAGATGTCTCTTCTTAGCCATGCTGGCCGAATATCCCCTGCCTCATGGCGAGGACTTGATCTCTTACAGAGTTCTGACTCTGTTATCTCAAAAAGCCCTCTTGTCATTTTCAGGAAGTCCTGAGGTTGTTACTGCCTCTTGCTTATAAAAACCTTTACAGCTTCTTTTAGGGCACTTGGGAGAGTATCTCTTTCCTTCCCATGTCCCTTAGAGTCATGGAGAAACCAGTTCCTGCCACCTCCCAAGCTCATCTTGGACTGGGGTCACCCTCTCTTCCTCCGTTGCATTTCCTTCACCATGGCAATTTCCTCTGATTCCTCCTTTTTCTTCCTGATGCTTTTCAGACCCTCCTCATCAGCAAACCACATGGCTTGTTTCTGCTTCTGCTCCTGCTATAGGTCCTAATATTGGCACCCTTGACTCAGAAAGATCTTCCCAGGCCACCTAATACAAAAGTAGTTGCACCCTTCTCAACATTACCCTGCTTCCTTCATATCTCTTAATATTAACTTTCTTAATATTAATTTTCTTCATATTCACAAAATCTCAAAGGATCTCATATTTAATTGTTTATTAGATCTTGGCTTGTGTGATCAGGGACTTGCCTTGTTCACTGTTGTTCCCCTGAGGATCTGTCAGGATGCCTGCCATATGGGAGGAATCCTACATTAACTATAAATATTGGTGCATGAGAGAAAGAATATAGATGCCCTAAGTTTAACAGGTCCCAGAAAATGATCACAGTAAGGATTCTGGAGGGTAAAACTAAGTAAGCAGTTTCCTTAAAAAATCCTACCTTAACAAGGCTTACTTCTGTCTGGATGCTACATTATATCTTCCAAGTTTGATCCATTGACCCCTTTTTATTCCAATAGAGAGACTAATCTGGTTCAGACTATTTTCATTTTAATGTCTACCCCTAGTGTGTCTGAATGAATTAATACAGACCCAGCGTGGAACTGCTTGGAGAAACGGTACTGGCATTTTGAAACTGCAAGACTCTGATTTTGTTTAAACGATGCATTGTTCAGTCATTCATTGGATGACAATGTGAGAAATGATTTTTCCTGCCTTTGCTGTCAGGTGGTCTGATTCACTGAGATATAGAGGGGGCGGGGAGGGGTGCACCTATGGAGAGAGAATTGAACTATAAATGCACTGGTTTCTCTGGAATCAAGTAAAAAAAATAAAATTTGCTTTTGTGTTTATTCAGCTACTGGGAAAGAACACAGCTGTAATAATAATCCATGAAGGACAGACATTTGACTTGAATACTTTCTCACTTCTGTGAACTGTGATTTGAAGTGGGGACTACTTCCTGGCCTGCCTCTGGACTCAGGCTCTTGTCCCTTTGGAGTGGGGTCAGTTTTCCAGCAACGAATAAAACCTAGGGTGCCTGAATTTTCACCAGGGGAGGTGGGAGAGGAACACAGTCCAAAACAAGAGGCGGATTTTTTTCTTTTTTAAAGCAAGAGCCAGCACATTGAGACCTGTCTTTCAATTACCTCATTGAAAGAACAAATGTTACTACATTAAAAAATGACCTGTTTATAAATGGCAAAACGAATATAAAATAACTAAAAAGACAAACAGAGGTCCTGTTTTAGTGTAGGCAAACTGATGCACAGAGATCACCTGTATCCTCAACTCTAACTTTCTCATCTGCGTATATACCAACAGGAAAGTCTTTTCATCTGCTCTGGGAAAAAACAACAACAAAACCAAAACAGTAACAAAAGCCACACTGTTTGCTTATTTCATGTTTGAAGTAAAAGCCCTTCAGCTTCTAATTAGTCGCACCAAATGGTGTTTAACTTTAAAATGAAAGTTTTGTCATTATCGTGGGTTAATTTTGGTTGACCTTTGATCCTCCCTTCCTCAACTATTGCTGTAGATTACTGCACTGTCTGGTATGGTAGCCAGCAGCCACATGTGGCTATTTTAATTTAAATTAATTAAAATTTAAAACTTATTTGCTTAGACATCATCACCATTTTAAGTGTTCAGTAGCCACAAATAGCTACTGGCCACTGTACTGGACAGCACAGATATGGGGCACATACATCATCACTGAAAATTCTGTTGGGATTGTACTGCTCTAGAAACTAAAGGCATGAATTGGAAGACAGCATGGTACAAGAGAGTTTTCAAAGTATTTTCTAGCTGAGGGAATAATTTCTTGAACAAAATTGTGTATGGAAACTCAATACATACAAATGATAGTTATGGAGCTGCTCTTGCTAATGTCAACGTGGAGGGTTCTGGATCCCTGCGCATTTACCACCTATTCTAGCCCCTCAATCCCATGCCCAAACCCTCCAGGTCATCGGAGAGTAGAGGTTGAAGATCGCGAGTGCAGTTGGTAAGGTATCCTCCTCGGAGTGAGCACACCTGGGTTTGAATTTTGGCTCTTCCTCTTGCTAGTTTTGTGAACTTGGAGTTCTTGGAACTTTCTGAGAGTCAGTTTTCTTGTCTGTGGCATACATCAACTATCTCTGAAGGTTGTGAAGGCGGGTTGAATTTTCTCATTTCTCAGATGAGGAATTGAAGCTTGGCAGAACTGCATGCCCACCAGACGGCCACCCAGTGAGCGGAGGCCAGAGCTGGGACCAAACCCAGTCCTCTCTCAGTGCCATTTCACTCCACTGCTCTACAATTTCCTGTTCAAATTGAAATTTTTCAAGCCAAACTACTTTTTAAAAACCAGCTGTCTAGGTGTCACTTATGATTTTTTATTTCCTGGATCAATATAGCATGTGAATACTTCTAAATGTACTGAAGCAGAAGTTGCCACCCTTGAACTGGTAAATGCTGTTTGAGTAAGTCAAATCTTCTTTGATACCCTTCATACTTCTTTGATATGCTTCGTGCTCTTCTCTTTGCAGACGATGGAAAATAAAAACAACAAGCAAGTGAAACTCCCTGACTTATCAACCTTACTCAAGAAGTAAGTGGTATTTTTCAAAAATCCTCATTTTCAGTGGTGAGATTAGAAGCCAGCCTGATTGTGAGTTTGGAAAACACACTCCTGTTTCATGGGCTGAGCATGAACTCAGCTGGCCTGTGTGACCTCTGCCATTTCCAACAACAGCCGACCATCCAAGGACAATTTTGACAGATATAGGAGAAAGATGAGTGGTTCTCAATATTGAACTAACTATTAAATGATGTTAGCGTAGGATAACCAGGAATGGTGGGAATTTTATGATTATCAGAAAAATCCTTGCTGCAACTGAGATACTGATGGATTGCCTCTTGATACTCCCTAGTTCCTTCTTTCTTTCTCTAGATGGGAATTTCTGCCCTAGAGAGGTCTTGGAAACTTTCTCACCAGAAGAGCACAACTTGATGGCAGGAAGCTCCTGATGGAGGCCTGAAAATGGCCCTGAAAGGGATGCCAGGGGACCAGGGCTCCACTATTATCAGCGTGTGACTTTGGACAAGGATGTTAATGGCTCTGTGACTCAGTTACCTCTTCTGTACTTTGCTTAGGGGTCTATTGCTTTCCATTTTGTCTTTTTCATTTGTTAAATCCAATGATGTCACTGACAGTAAAAACTAGTAAATAGTAAAAAAAAAAAAAAAAAAAAGTAAAACCATGGCTTCTCTTTTGGAGATGGCATCCCCATGCTGCCTATCTTTTCTTACACTTACTCACAAATATTTTTGATGTACTTATAACTCAGGAAATACCTTCCGAGGCAAAAATGTGTGTGGATCAGTAGAGGTAGCAGCAGCAGTAGCTGCCAAGTGCCCTGATGGCCTGGAGTCAGATGGCTACATTGCACTCAGTTCTCCCATCTTCCATAGATACTGGATGTTATCCTTCAATGTTTGCCTTGAGCCAGATGGAGAGGAAAGAGGCAGAGTTAACTTGTCTTTCTATTTTCATTCTCCCAAATACAACTGATTTTTTACTCTACTCCTGGATACCTTTCTTATATCACAACTCTGATGATGTAACTTTTCTCAACCAAACTTTCAGGGGACCCTCTATGATCTCAGAATGAAACCCCAACTGTGTTGTATACATTTAACATGCATTCTACTTTCCTTCCTTCCTTACATTTTAGCTGCGTGGAATTCCTTGGCTTTCAATGTGGAAGAAAGTTTGTGGTCCTTGCCCCACCTCCCCTCCCCAAGGTTGCAAGAAGAGGGGGTTAGAATTGTGGCTTTCTTTAATTTGATCCAATGCTCCTTCCCCTGCAACTTCTGCTTCCATACAATTAATAACTATTTTCGAATCAATGAAATAACAATCATTCTTTAATACCTCAGTATAAACGATCTTATTAAAAGTTATGCAGCCTGGTCCAAAAATGGCACAGGACAGAGGATGGGGCCAGAATCTTTGCCAGGGCACTGCCAAGAAGGGCATGACCAGTGGAGACACTTGAGTGGATGGATGCTGTGTGTCCCAGAATATACATGGAGTTGAGGTACAGGCATGGCATTGAATATGAGTAGAGCAGTGCAGAAAGAAAGAAAGGAGCAAACTTCAGAAGCCTCACAAGTTTTCCTAGAGTCATCCCTGTGAGCTTCACAATCTAGCTGTCCTTAAGGAATGTTTCTTTTATGTGGAGCACTGCACACCTAAGACATTTTTAATGTTTTGCTCTGCCAAGTGCAGCTATAAGAAGGAATTTCCAGGTAGAGAAACAGAAGGATTGGAGAAAATTCTTAGAATCGTGCGTATAAGGCAATTCCGTTGCAGCATCATCTGCTGTGGTCCTTTGAGAAAACTAAGTGTTTATTTCCATGATTTAAAATCAAGTCAGTCTTTATCTAGGGTTTGGGAAGGCTTACATTGGCTCAGGACCAAAATGAAGATAGGACTAGAACTTTCCCAAGAATGTACGAATAAATGTATGTGTGAGTTTCAAGTTGCACTGGCAACACTTTGGAGAAGTTAGCACTTCAGAATCATGAGGATTGTTTAAGCTGTCATCCCATTGGCTGGCTGTGTGGAAGTTACCCATTGTATGGAAGGTGACCCTGACTAGACCTTGTACAGTCCCTTAAGATAGATTAATAGTGAAGTCCTCTAACATGTTTTCTGAACCTGTCAATGAAAGAAGAGAGAGATGCCTACCAGTGCAGAGGAAAGGAGTGGATATATCTTAAGTCTTTGTTATTTCTGTCATGCAGATGACTCAGGTATAAAAACTAGAAATTCTTCCTAATGTGGATTAGGGAACTCAGGCTTCACAGTATAAGCCAAACAAAAAAAAGTTTCATCACCAACAAACTGTCCTACCAGTTGGTGGCACCGTTATCCACATCCTTTGTTCCCCAAGGCAATACTGATGATAAGGCTACATTCAGTGACATTTAGTGAAACTGACTGCTGTGAGGGCTCTTTATAAACTTGCACCAGAAGTACATCTCTTTTAGTTTATTTTTAGGTTATGATAATAGGTGCAAGGCTTTACAGCTAAAGGATTCCTCTCTTATATAGTTATTTCCAGTAGTATGAATAATAGATATTCTAGTGGTAATAGTACTGGTAGCAAAAACTACTCTTCTGCTGCTAGGATTCTATGAATCCTACTACTTTTACTTCAGTTACTCCTATTATTGTTATATCACTAATTGTGCAGGTTTTGTGTCAGGGCTTTTGATACACGATGTTTAATGCTTATAGTCATTCTGTGAGGTGTGTAATATTATTCTTACTTTATAGAAGAGGAAACTGAAGTTCAGAAAGATTGATGTATCCACACAAATAAATTGCTGACTTGGAATTTGATCTTAGATGCATCTGCCTCCAAAGCTCACACTTTTGCATCACATTTTGTCTTTCATCTGCCCTTCATAATATGGCCATTGCTCCATAATCCCTGTCTTCAGAAGATATGCACAGCTCAAGGACTGTGAACTTCAAAGGGCTCTGCCGGAAGTCCAGATGGTTGTCCAAAAATGGCCTGTTTCCTTTGTGTTCACTGGCTTGTCTTGAATGCGTCAAAGTTATCTTAATGTCATTTCAAAGGCAATTGAGGGAGCATCCATGGAGATAAATTGTGCCTGCAGCCTGTTGCTGAATGCATATTAAGTTCTATTCATGGATTTCCTAGCAACCAGAGCTCTGTGACGCATGGAGTCAGTGAGCTTGCGTTGTACTTATGTAGAGAAATTAAATCACTTGGATTTTATTATTAATATTTTTAGAAAGCCTCACTAGATTAGCTGTTTGAAATGCATTGTTATCTGAGTTCCTGTCAGCAGCTGGTCCCAGTCACATCTGAAATCATTGAGGACTCTAATTTTCACAAACGCTCCAGTGAGAGATTATCTCCATTTATATATATTTACAATTAAGTATTTAGTTGGGAAATAAGGAAATTAAAAAAAGGAAAGTTGCTCTAGCAGCTTGTGATCTAGGCAAAGTTCTAAAACTTGATACAAACATAACATAAATAAGCAGCAAGCATCCTGGTGAGAAGAGACAACTGGGCTCCTTTGCTTCAAAGGGACGTGGTGAAGTGGAAGAACATAATTTTAGTAAACCTAGTTCTTCACAAGACATTTCATAAGGGTGAAATATTTTTCATTTTAGGGTTCACCGAATATACTGCTTTACAGGCTTAGAAAATTGACACATTTCTTCTTCATAGTCCCAACCAGCCTAAAGTGCTGCAGACATCTCACAAGTTTCTCTCAAGTTTTAATTTGTGTTTTATTGGACATACAAGTCAAATCTATGTGTGGTCTGCTGTAGTGGTATAAGTGTGGCATGCCAATGCATGGTCAAACACACACACACACACATACACATGCACACGCATAACTATTTAGGAATATCAAAAATTTAGGCATCTGATTCCTGAATTTATGTTCTTCATAGAAGGTACCTCTAAGACATTGAGATTTCTTAAAGAAACATCTTTGGGTTCAATATCCAAATGAACGTGACATATTTTAAAGTGGTCAATTTGAGAGAGTGACCACTTAATCCAGTGATTTTACTTTGCTTGGAATACTTTTAAAACTTCAATTTTAGAGTTGCCTTTAGTGGCACTTATTTTAAAAACAACATTAATGATGACAAATATTTTTCTTGAAAATACATTCTGTTTGTGCTCCTTGAGTGATGATTAAAACTGGAAATTAGCCATTAGTGTTTCCATTACCCACTATCAAAAAATATGAAAATGGGAACACATTTGGAGACACTAATGCATGAATCTCAAAATGAGCTTAGGTTGTCACAGTGAATGACGCACACAATGAAATGGTAATCTGAGGGATCAGTCCAACCCACCAGTGCCTTTGATGTGGTAAAGTCATCAGAAGAAGAGTTCCTTTACGTTAGTGGAGTTGCTTATATGATTGTCATGGCAAACGTAGAGTATTTCCAGTTAACAATGGGAACCAGAAAGGTAAACTGAAGGTTTTCACAAATGCTTAAGACTACACTCTCATTGAATACTTGGAACCAAAAAATTAAAAAGTACATTCCATCAAATCTCTATAAAATTATCTAAATTTTCTCTGCTACAGCTATTTGTTTTTCATAGAAGCAGTATATGTAAGTAAACATCAAGGTATTTGTTACCTACATGTTTTACCCATATCTTAATTATCTCCGAAATTGTTTGAAGAGTCTTAAAATCTCTAAGAAAAGGGCAAATAGATAAGCAGAGTGACATAGGACAATACTTATACTAGAAAATATAAAAACTTTCTAGCAGTCAAGGTTTCTAGGAGATCATTGTAGGTTACCTAATCTCATAATCTTATGTGAATAAGCATTTCAGTTCCTCAAGAGCACCAAAAGGAAGTCTCCTTGAGGGTTTTTGTATAACTCATATTGAACTATATAATTTTCAGAATCTTTGCCAGAAATTTTACAAAAATTAGAGTTTTTCTTATAAAGTTGTTTCTTATATAGACAGTTGACAAAAACAAGAGCATAATGAAACCAGCTCAATTGTCCCATAGAACTGATGTTTACAGTCTTTTAAAAATAAACATATAAATTGAAACTTACATTTGTCTTGTCTGAGTTTTTTCCTCAGGAAACCAACCCTCAGGTCTCCCAGACAGTATCAAGGAACTGGAACTCACCAGATCATCATATCCAGACAAGAAGCTAGACCCCTCATCCCCCATGATTTCCTTACCCCTCTCAAATTCCTGCTTACCCACATGTAGTTACATTCCTTCTTTCATATATAAACCCCCAATGTTCCTCTGCAGGGAGACAAATTTGAGACTGATCTCCCATCTCCTTGGCTGCAGCACCTGATGAAAACCTTCTTTCCTGGCAATCCTCATTGTCTCAGTGACTGGCTTTCTGTGTGGAGAGCAGGAGGACCCAGGCCAAACCCCTGATGTTTCAGTAACAATAATATTAAAAAAGAATTCAGCTAAGGCATAGATCTAGGTTCTTTGGGATAACTCTTGAATTTGACTTGTGCCACAAGCCATTTTGAACTCCAACTATGGTGGATGAGTATGCCAGACACGTGGACACATGATCTGAAGCCACAGTTAGTCAAAGCCTCTTGGTCATGGTGAGTTGAGGGTGTGAATTGCTCTCTGCTTCATTTCCATTGCCACCACATTTAGAAGCCTAATGTGCTCAAAGATTTCTTTGTAACATTAGTTGATAAAATGTGCCCCTTAGAGCCTCCACTGGGACCCCTGTGGTCATTGTGGGCTATCACAGCACTTACCCTGCTTATAGCCAGAAGGAATCCTATTCCACACATCACTTTTTCAAGTAAATTCATGTCTACAAAAGCAAATGGTTTGGAAACCACTTTTTTATAGGCTGATGTCAGTGGCTCATTTGTTCTTGGTGAGGAGTTTGGCATGAAGGCTTGCTTATTTAGAGAAATGAGCAGTTTTCAGATTTTCAAACACTTGTGCATTCTCCAAAATTGCTGATTATGCATGAATTTCATTTCAGTGTTAGTTTAATATTTCATATTAATGGCCACCTGTTGCCAGATGGGAAAGCAATGATGGTGTCCAATGAAGTATGCCCTTACAGTGGTACACATGGCTTACACAGGGCTGCTTTGGGAAAACAGACCTCTGCATATTTTCAGCAAAAATTAATTATTTTGAAATGGATGCACCAGTTTTCCTCCAAGTGGTTAAATGTCAATAAACTGGAAATAACTTGTCTTTTTAGGGACTTTTATGTTACTGCAAATTTGTGTGTGGGGTGCGTGTATGTGTGTATGTGTGTATTTTAGGCTGAAACAAGTGACCAAAGATGTCAACCATCTCTGACAATGTGCCAATTCAAAGGAACTTAAACAATTTTCAAAGAATGACTGATTCACATAGAATGCAATTTTGGATCTAAGTCATAATAGGAATTCTCTTTACTGCTGTCCTTGTAGCTTTTCTTTGACAGACTATATGGGAATAACTGAAAAAAATAATTCATTACTGAAATAAGGGAGTCTAGGAGATAGAATCTAGATGGTCTTGCTGATGGCAAGAGAAACTTGACCAAGATTTGCCAAAACTGACAGAAGAAACTAAGGGAAGACAGTGAAGACTAGTGTTTCTTTCACTAAAATTCTGAAATTTACCTACATCTTTTAGAAAATATTTTGTTTCAAAAAATCCATTAGAATTACTCAAAATTTCAAATCTTAATCAAAACCAAAGGATTTTTTCTTTTTATATGTAATACCACCAATTCTTTGAATATGTTGGTTGTTTTTACAATTTCCACCCTTTGATCCTTGTATTGTTAACATATAGAAATTACTTCACTACTTGTCTTAGCCTGAAAATATTCAGAATTGTGTATTCCTAAAAAAGTAAATTTAATTTAAGAATCTAAAATAAATAATATTTTATGTCACTAATCTCTTTGATAATCTTTGATAATTCCTATATCTCTAGTAAAAAGTTATAATTAGGTTATTACTATATTCTATTTTTCCTATTTTCACCTTATATTATTTCATTTATCTCCCTGAGTCATCATGGCCCACATGTGTGATTTAAAAATCTGCATAGTGTATATTCTTGTTAACAAATCTTATTTGCTTAGCCGTCCCAAGGTTTTCTTAAAATGAGGATTAAATGGCAATATTTATGAAGGGCTTAGTACTATATGTCTCATAATAAGTGCTAAATAAACATTTGTTAAATAGATAAACTGTCTTATTGTTGATAATTTTTCTTGCTTAATATTTTTGTATTATAAATAATACCTCACTGTCTTTAAATATTAAATTAAAATAAGGATTCTAGACTACTTCCTTGGCATATGATTCTTCAAATAGAAATACCAGGCAAAAGGCTCTGGTTGTTTTAAAAGCTTTTGCTTTGCATTATTTTCTAATTTATAGCAAATCTATGGATTATATATATTATATATATGGATTATATGTAGACACTAATAGTGCAATTAGTAATGTTTCTGTTTCTTCATGGTTCCACCAACTTTGGGTATTATAATTTTTACTTATTTTGCTAACTTATCAGGCATGTTTCTGGACAATTAAATTGCTGTACATGAAACTTCTGCAGCAGAATCACTTAGGATGTTTGTTAAAAATGTCAGAAATCTGGCTTTCTTGCAGGTCTACTCAAAGCATATCTTGAGGTAGGATTTGAAAATCCCAAGGTTGAACAAGTTTTCAAGGCAATTCTTAAGCACTCTAAAACTTCAGAACCACTTCCTTATAATTATCTCAATTTATTTTTCTTTAACCGAGAATAAAGCTTAGCATACTATTTTAGACTTGCAAGTACTGTAGGGAAATGGAAGGTTTTCATAGTAGTAAATGAATCTCTCAAATCTTTACTTTCCCTCCCCGCATCCCTCTGCACTTCTCTAATCTAAAACAGTGTGTGTGATTATCTCTCTTTTTTTAAATTTTATTATTATTATACTTTAAGTTTTAGGGTACATGTGCACAACGTGCAGGTTTGTTACATATGTATACATGTGCCATGTTGGTGTGCTGCGCCCATTAACTTGTCATTTAGCATTAGGTGTATCTCCTAATGCTATCCCTCCCCTCTCCCCTCACCCACAACAGTCCCCGGTGTGTGATGTTCCCCTTCCTGTGTCCATGTGTTCTCATTGTTCAATTCCCACCTATGAGTGAGAACATGCGGTGATTATCTCTTTTAAGCAAATTTGTTGCTTATGGTTTGATACATAAGTCCTTTTAGAGGACTAGATGTTACAAAAAACAAAATCTTACTATTTGAGGGAACATGCAAATTGCAATTGCATCTGATTTAGCTGTTACACATCCTGTTAGTATGCCCATACAAGCTACTGTTGGAAAATGAAATGGAAGATGTGGTCACGTGGTCATCAGAAATGATTGGCTATACCTTGGCAGAAAGAATGGTAGTTCTCTGGGGGAGAAATAGAAACACAATACCCTGGTTAAATAAAATAATTAAGACAATAAAATTGATCATAGACTTCTGATATATTTTATATACCAGGGTATGTTGTAATTCATTTATTAAGTTGTTTCAGTTTAATTCACTCTATCTCTGAAACATTCCTTTCATTTTTATGTTTATATGAGATCAGTTAAAAAAAGAAAAAAAAAGGTAGAAATAAATGTGTGGATAGACCAGGCTGAGGAAAGGTTCCGGAAATGAAGAAAGTTTAGCAATGAAAAGTGATTATAGTGGACTCAGAAAAAGTTAATGACATAAAAAATACTGATAAAAAAGTAGTTACAAAATCAATATATTCAGCAATTTTACTGTAGGTACAGCTGAAAAGTAGTGCTTTGCTTTCATTGCCTTTTATACAATTTTTCTCGCCAAATACACCCAGTCATGTGTAGAGTTAAACTAAAATGAAGGAAGATAGCAATGAAAGGGTAAACTATTGTTTCCCAACCTATAAAAACAGGAGGACACTCATTGTAAGTAAAATAAGAGAGATTTATTTAGGCAGGAGAATTTGAGAGGCCATTTTGAGAAATGGGATTAGACTATGGAGAAAAAAATGCAGGATTACATTTTTCTGGCCCTTACTAAGTATAGATGCACACAGGGAGTAGAAGGGAACTAACATTTTTCCAACACTTTGTGTGGATACACCCTGAGCTAGAGACTTTATACAAGTTTTCTCATTTACTTTTTCCAAAAAAAATTGGTGAGCAAATAATGGCATACACATTCAACATTCCAAACAAGGCATAAAATCTGAAGTATTTGGGAATCTTGCATATGTGGAGAGACACTTATCCTTTAACCTGATCCTTGGAGCTTTTTTTTTTTTTTTTAATATACTTTAAGTTCTGGGATACATGTGCAGAATGTGCAGGTTTGTTGCATAGGTATACCTATGTGGGTGGTTTGCTGCACAATCAACCCGTCATTTACATTAGGTATTTCTCCTAATGCTCTCCCTCCTTTAGCCCCCCACCCCCCGACAGGCCCCAGTGTGTGATGTTCCCTTCCCTGTGTCCATGTGTTCTCATTGGTCAACTCCCACTTATGAGTGAGAACATGCAGTGTTTGGTTTTCTGTTCTTATGTTAGTTTGCTGAGAATCATGGTTTCCAGCTTCATCCATGTCCCTGCAAAGGACATGAACTCACCCTTTTTATGGCTGCATAGTATTCCATGGTGTATATGTGCCACATTTTCTTTATCCAGTCTATCATTGATGGGCATTTGGGTTGGTTCCAAGTCTTTGCTATTGTAAACAGTGTTGCAATAAACATACATGTGCATGTGTCTTTATAGTAGGTTTATAATCCTTTGGGTTTGTATAGTAGGTTTATAATCCTTTGGGTATGTACCCAGTAATGGGATTGTTGGGTCGAATTCCTTGGAGCTTTTAATTTCCTTTCAATTCCCTATTTATCCCCTACCCTATGATTCTTCACGTCTTTTCATCCTCAGAAAATGTCAATATTATCAATAATTAGAGAGAGAGAGAGAGAGTACATACTGGATATATTATGTTTATCTTGTACCCTAATTTTTCACCAATATCTTTGGACCTCACTAAACATTTTCTACCATATCATTTTAATGGGTCCATTGTATTCTTATACATATACAGCAGTATGTTTAAATAGGAGACTTTAAAAATGTAGAGTCAGTTGAAACACAGTGGAAAAGCATTTTCCTGAATGAGGCATAAGCATTTCTTTTTCTGAACCTGTGTCCCCTTCCCCTACCTTGGCTTGATGGGAGACGACAGGTCACACAGCATTTCAATTTGTCTGTCTCTAAAATGTCTGTTTGTTACTCATCTCTCTTCAAGGCTTATGGTAATGTGTCATAGCCATATATTAGGCAAGCCATAAAAATGCAGATTTATCTAAATGACACTGATTTAGGCTTATACAATTTTAGAGGTAGAATAGGTTTTAGAAATTATCTAGGCTATCAACTGTATTTTATAGAAAAGATGACTGAGGCCCACGGAATTTAAGGGTAGAACCAAGATTAGAACCTGGTTCTCAAATCCTAGTCTCACGCTCATTCTATGTTATTGAAACCGCCTCTGCAAAATTATGACTGAGACAGTGTAAGACTTTGCCGACTCCATCTTGCTTCTAACCTCCAAGCTGTCCTTGTTCATCCCTGGGCATAGGCTGAACTAACTTTGGGAGAAACTTAGTTTGTAGTTCATAGTTTAAACAAAGACAGCCTTTCCCAAAGCAGATCTCCTTGTTGCCTGGGGACTAGACTAACATTAGCCACAAGATTAGAAATTATGGTTTAGGTGTCATGCACTGGAGGCTACAAGATTCTGACCCTCCCTAAATTGCTCCTAAGATCAGTGCTTGAGATCTTTTGCCGACCCTTCACTTGATGGATCAGCTGGCACCACCCAGATCTATAAACTGGCTCATCTGATCTTGTGGCCCCCACCCAGGAACTGACCCAGGAAGACAACTTCGACTCCCTATGATTTCAGCCCTGACCAATCAGCACTCCTGGCTCACTGGCTCCCCTCTACTCACCAAGTTATCCTTAAAAACTCTGCTCCCTGAATGCTAGGGGAGACTGATTTGAGTAATAATAAAACTCCGGTCTCCCGCACAGCCGGCTCTGTGTGAATTACTCTTTCTCCATTGCCACTCCCCTGTCTTGATGAATTGGCTCTGTCTAGGCAGTGGGCAAGGTGAACCCCTTGGGCAGTTACATTATCACGACTGATTTCCAAAGAGATAATTTTTTCTGGACAGTGAAATAATAATAATCTTGCCTTTCATTTGTATTATATTTTAAAATCCATTATATTCTCTGACTGGATTCTCTTAACAATCCTCTGAGGTAAGCCTCATGATCCTCTTTTTTACCCATTAGGAACTAGGGCAAAGAAAGATTAACATGTCCCAAAGCATCATAGATAGTTACAGAGATGGCACAACTCATCGTGGTTACATCTTTCACGCCAGAGACTATGTTATGGCCTTTATGTGCATTATCTTGTTTTATCCTTGCTTGAGTGAGTAGCCCAGCTATTAGTAGCCTGGTTTTGCACATGAAGAAAAGAAATTTTAGTGAGGTTGAGGTTACCCATCTGGGATGCGACATATCCAGGATTCAAATATATGTTGCTAGAGGGGGTATAGCTCAGTGTTAGAGCATTTGACTGCAAATATAGGTTGCCAGACTTCAAAGCCCACACTCCTAATCACTTTATCATGTAGCATTTATTTGTTAGTTCAGTCTCATTTAATACTTTATTTATTTACCAAATAATTGTGAAGGTCCCATTTTGTTCCAGGCTCCATGCTAGGTGCCGGGAAAAAAACAAAAACAAAAACAAAAACAAAAAACAAGAAATAAGACATGGTCTTTGGTTGAGGAGGGGAAATTTTATATGTAAAAATATAACACAATGAGTGTTACAGGGACTTTGATAGAAAAATGTATAAGGTCAGGTGGGGACAATTTAGTTTATATCACTGATTTTTTAGCATTTTTTTTTTTGAGACACAGTTTCACTCCATTACCCAGGCTGGAGTGCAGTGGGGTAATCTTGGCTCACCGCAGCCTCCACTTCCCGGGTTCAAGCGATTCTTGTGGAGTAGCTGGGGCTACAGATGCCCACCACCATGCCCGACTAATTTTTGTATTGTTGGTAGAGACGGGGTTTCACCATGTTGGCCAGACTGGTCTTGAACTCCTGGTTTCAAGTGATTTGCCCACTTTGGCATCCCAAAGTGCTGGGATTACAGGCATAAGCCACTGCACCAGCCTGATTTCTTCCCATTTAATACCCTTTCTAGAAATCTATGACGCATAGAAGATAAGTTTGGGTGGGCCTGAAGAAACAAGCGATGAATCTCAAGTTGATGTTGGTCTCTGTGGCTGACTCAACAATTAGCCTGGCTTTTTCTTCCTTTCCATGAAGAAACTTGATGCAGGCAGAGCTATTTTAATAAGTAAGTAAGATTATTGACATGACACATGGGGCAATGGTAAGGGTTAATAATGAAAATGATCAGAAAGCATTTGCTAAATGTTAAAAGCCCCAAAACACAGTCTTAATTATCTCATTAATCACAGATTAAATACAATTTCAGAGTTTAAGGTCAAATTTTTATATTAGTCCGCTTGAGTTGCTATAACGAAATACCACAGACTGAGTTGCTTAAACAATAGAAATTTATTTTCTCACAGTTCCGGAGGCTGAGATGTTCAAGATCAAGGTGCCAGCAGATTCGATTCCCAATGTGGGCTGTCTTCCTGGCTCACAGATGTCTGCCTACTCTCTGTGTCCTCATGTGGAAGAGTGACCTCTCTATCTCTCTCTCTTCTTATAAAGCCACTAATCCCATCTTGAGAACCCTGCCCTCATGACCTCATCTAACACTAGTTACCTCCCAAAGGCCGCTTTTCCGAGTACCATCACATTAAGGGTTAGGATTTCAACATATGAGTTTGGCAGGGAGACAAGTCAGTCCACAGCAGTGTGATTGTGCAATCAACAACAGTGTGAGAACTAATTATATAATCACACACATTTATTATTCTTTTTCAAGCCTGAGGAAACCACATTATCTTACACCCTTATGAATTTTAAATTTTTAGTGTGATGTCTCTGAGAGGTTTGAATGAAAAATTCAGCTATTTGCTTAGATGCTAAAGTGAGTAGCGTAGTAGAATTGGCAATAAGAAACAAATAAGGAATCACATTCTGCTAGTATGAGCTACGAATGAGAAATTTCTGCCCAAAGTCTTGGAACCAAATAAAAAATCAGCATAAAAAGTTAAATACCAAAGTCATGCCTTAAAGCTACTAGTAACATTTGACAATGTTGATCTAATTTTGGGATATGTTTACATCTAGAGTTAAGATTTTATTAACAACGAGAATAAAAATGTTAGCAGTGAACAATTATTTGGAGATCACAAATAATGATATTGTAATTTTTTAGAAAATCCATATTTTATTTTCTAGGCAGAGCAAAAGCGGCTTTGAGTCATAAAGAATGATACATTTAAAGACTTGGGGGTTTGAACTCCACCAACACAATACACCTTGACAAATCACTAACTTCTTTGAATTTTCTTGTATTTGAGACCTTCCTTCCTTCCTCCCTTCCTTCCTTCCTTCCTTCCTCCCTTCCTTGCTTCCTTCTTTCCTTCCTTCTTTCCCAACTTAGACTTATTAAGGGTCTATTCTGTGCTCATTAAGGACACCAGTGTTCAGGGAAAAATTCTCAATGCTAAAAAAAAATTTTCTCATAAGATGTGTTTAAATAAGATTTTGTTAATAAGAAAGGGTTGTAAAAGTGTTCAACATTTTAAATATATTAAGTTCTTTTCCCGTTGGAGTTGACATCTGATTTCAGGATTAATAAGCCAGGGGAGTTTTGTTCGTGGGTTTATTAAAAGAAATAAGATTAGTGACTTAGATAAGTTAACTGAATTCATTAAACTAAATTATTTTCCATAGTTCCTCAAGTCTTCTGCATTTTCAGAACAGTGCATTTTGCTTTTAAAATAAACGACATAATACTAATTATGTATTCTGAATTTTAGGAAAAGTTGAAACTCTACCTAATTCAACCTTATTATATATTGTGAAAGTTACCATACAAAATCCACTGAGCCACATAGGGTTCGATGACATGGTAGGTCGATAGCAAAAAGATTAAAATAATACACATTTTGCTCTCATTCCCAGCACCATGACCTCACATTAACTGCATGTCTTCCAGGCATTGCAATACCAGTCACTGGCCTTTGGTTGCTGTGCACTGACCTTTCAGGGGCTGTGGTGATGGTGATGCTGTAAGCCCATGTCTTTTCCAACTTTGTCCCCATTATCACTCTTTGTGTTTCCCTGGCTTAACATATTGAATGAGAAAAGAGAACATGATTGGATGGCTGAAAGAAATCACACCTTCCAATTTCCCCTGAGAAGCCTCTTGGGACATGGAGAGAGCAATTCTGCTTTTTAATATGCATTTTTCATAAATGCCTCAGAAATGAGTGCTGTCTCTGAATCACTAAAGCCAATTACATCAATTTATCATAAAATGTTCTAAAATGCATCTCTTCTCTTACAGAAACACAAAGGAACATATCCCAAATGTATAGTATAAAAGGCTCTCCCATAGTGGAGTTGCTTAGAATTAAGAGCTACATAAATTGAATTTCAAATCAAATGGGCCTATTAGTATAATAATTGTTCAAAATGGGATTCTAGGTCTCAGGTTGTCAAGGCTGCAGTATGTTTACAAGGTCTGAGCTTGTCCTTGACATTTTGACTATTGTTTTCTTTTAGGGTATCCAAGACATGTTATATAAATTCATGTTATATAAATTCATGTCTATTTTACTCAGATTTTAACAATTTAACAAATACTTCTAATGTGGTCATTTTACTCAGACTGCTTAGCCTCGTATTAAATATTGCAAAACTGATATTTACTGAGAAGAGTTTGGATCATTTGTGGAACTTTTTGGGAGAAGAGAGGCTTGAATAAACTAAGTTCAACTTAAGTAGAAAACCCACAAAAGTAAGGCACTTTGTTTATTAGTTTTTTACATCAAATTTTCTATTAAAGAAAATAGTTGGGTGGAATTCCATTTTAAGCAAACAGCGTCATTTTTGATAGCAGTCTCAGGAGAATGAATCAGTGGGTTTCTTTGAGCAATTGGTTTGTTTTTTTCTAGCAGATTCTCAGTATTTTATAACAGATGCTTCCCTCTGCATTTTATCTGCTAGAAAGATTCACGCCATACACATAGTTCACATTTTGCAAGTTTATCAGACTTTATAGCAAGTATTTTGTATACTAATATCACTCCTAATTCTATCTTTTCTTATTTAACTTTATTCGATTCATCTCACTTATAACAAATATATTCTACTTTGCTGCATTATATCTTTTTTGAATTTTCTTAAGTATTTTTCTTGAAATAAGGTATAGTACAAATAAATACTATTCATAATACTGTTTGTGTGATTAATGAAAGCATAGGAAATGATAAATATTAATATTCAAAAGCCAAGTGCCATTAGGTAATCCTCAAATAAATTACTTCAAGCTGCAGTTTAGAAACAAAATCCTGCTAGTTTTTTGTTCAATTAATTCTAAAGTGTATGTAAGTCCTAGCTACACAAGGCTGGGAGAAGAGATGGGAATCCTATTTGTTTTTAAAAAACCTACATACAAAAGAGTGGGGATTTAGTCTGCTTCAGACTGTGCCTGGTAGCTGTTTAATTTTTCCTATTGGCAATTGCTGCATTTGAAGATTATGGAGCCAGGCCAAGGTTGATAACGAATAATTTTCACCAGTCCAGTCATATCAGTTGTTAAACTATTGAAATGCTTTCATGAGAAGTATTTAGTAGAGAAGACTTTCCTTACACCCCCTTAGACTAGCAGTTACCTCCTAGTCATTCTGGCCATCCTGGCCATCTTAAATTCCTTGGCCTCACCTACAAACTGTCAACTTGACACCATAAATGGCCTCTAGTACCCTCCTTCATTCTGATTGGTTAGTATCTCAAAGTAATAATTTCTAACTTTTTGAATATTACCTGTGGGTTAAGTCTACACATGCAAACAAGGTAGAATCTTGCAAAACCAACTGGTAAATTAGAAGGCCAAAATGGTAAAACAAAAAAAATCCAGGCTCTCTCTACTAAAAAAAAAAGGGCTGAAGGTGGGAGGAGACATTTAAAATGATTTTGGATAAAACCGGCAACGAATCAATGAGCCAGTTAGTAAAGCATTTTTGAGTTTTTTATTATGTCTTTACATGCTAGGCATTTTAGAAACTATAAAGAAGTGTAATACCTGGTTGTGGAAGTGACAATATCCCTGTGACAAGATGATTGCCAATCCAGGCAAGGAATATGTTGTATAGACGTCAGAGGATAGAGAGAACATGGATTGAGTATAATTAAGTAGACTTATTGAAGGAGGTAGGACGTGAGCCGAGTCTTAAAGAATGAGAAAGATTCACGAAGGTGAAGATAAACAAAGTTAATTTTATTCTTTTGTAGATAAAATTATCCTTAGGGTGCTGTGCCACAGTCTTAATAGAAAGAGCCAAATATTCAGAGTCAGATTTGAGTCTGCACCTCAACCTTGCCACTCACTAGATGTAGAATTTTTGGAAAGTCACTCAATCCTTCTGAACCTCAGCTCAGCATTGTTGTGAGGATGGAACAATATTGTTGATTGTAATGCCATTAGTAATAATAAGCTTACCTACATGATCGTCTATGTCACATCCCTATCAGATTAAGAACTCCTGTGATTGTTTTTGGCCTGTGCCCTTGTGTGAGACCAACTCCAAGTTCATGGACATGTGGGTGTCCTGAGTGTTCCTGGTGGCCTAATGTTTTAGGGAAAACAGTGGCCTAGAAGTTTTAGGCAATGTTACTGGTGGTCTAGAACTTTTAGGGAAAACAGTAATTGCTCTTCAGAAGGTCAATTTTAGGCTGGCTTTGAATTCATCAGCTAATCACACAAGATTCCATTTTTTGCTTAAATAAACAGATGTAACTAGTGACCCATGTTCTTAAAAAATTTGTTCAGATACTAATTAAATTCCTTCCTTTTGCTCGTAGCTATGCTCCTGTTTAGGTATGCAGACCTGACTTCTTGACTGCAGATCCCCCAAAACCAGAATTGGGTGCTCTGAACATGCTCAAGAGAAAGTCAAATTTGAAACCCATTGTGTTAAAACCTGTTGTAAGGAAAAAAAAAAAAAAAACTACAAAGAACTGTATTTTGTCATCGTAATTACAGAGATGTAGAAAAACGTGTTTTCTACAAGATGCAAAAATATGTGAGACCTCTTTATAACACATGGTATGTTAAGAAACAGCTGTTCAGCTACGACATTAAAATGCTGGTTCTTGAGATGGGTCTTGTCTTATTTGCATTTGTAAGTATGTATTGGGTGGAGAATCTGGATAAAATATCACAGAACTTTAGGCTCTGGGATTTGAGTTAAACTTTAACTCTTTTGCATTGTGTTTGGTTTTCTTCTTTGTCCCATTGGTTTCTGACTGAATATGAAAACAGAAACTTCCCAAGAGGTTTTGAGGGAGTAGGAATACTTCTCAAAATTGAAATAAAAATCTCATCATGGGCACATATTCTCAACTGCTTCCAGGGAACAACAGCAGTTAGAGAAGGATTTTAAAAGATAGGAGAAAAAAGGAGTGACAAGATGGGGAGATGTATAATTTTTTTCCTTTCCTTTATTATAACTAGTTGTTTTTGGTGCAGAAGGTTGTTGTTTGTGGAGCTGGTCCTCAGACCTCTGAGGAGTGCTAAGCTGTGGCCACACCTCAGAAGCTCAAGGAGCCCTGTAATGCTGGGAAGGGGATGGCAGTTGCTGGTTTTGGCACCATAGCAGCTTGAAGGAGGGCCTCTGTTAAGCTGGGGCTCATTCCTTGAGTGTGGGGAGCTGCCTGCCTGGTGATTTTATCCCTAGGGAGAAGGAGAAGACCTTGGTTCTGAGATTGCCTAAAGTGGCTGGACCCAACAGGAAAAATGTAACTTTCCCTTCTCTAGTGCCTTCTATGGCTAAGAGGAAGTCAACTGGCAGAGGAGAAATGCATTGTGCCGATCTCCAACCACAGCTTCCCGCAGCTGAGTAAAGAAAGATGGGTTCGGAACGGAGAGAAATAGCCTAGAAAATTACTTTTTGAAATTCATTTTAAAAGTCTTTTGGTGAGAAACTCAAATAGAGTTTTGAGTTTCAGTTTCAATTATATTTTCAAAGACGGATTAAATTCCTAATACGAATTTTTGCCTATGTATTCATGTGTAACCACATAGGAAGGTTGCTCTAGTCATTCCTATTTACTTTACTTGTTTTTTAAAAATATTATTTTTAGTTTAACTTTCATGCGAATCAAATTTTCTCTAGCTTGAAGATTATGAATTTCTTCTTTGGAGACTTCTTCCTGTCTCAAATGTATTTCTTCTAGTGTCTAACTTCATGGAATAGAGAATATGAGTACAACATAACTACTAAAACTCAAATTACCAAAATAGAAAAGCTACAGACTAGCTCACTAGGGAAGTTAAATTGAAGTAAAATTAATAACACAGACTTCATTCAAAACTTTCGTTGTCAGAATGGCAAGGGTAAGAAAAAAATATTGATGTTGAAATACTGCCTTCTCCCATTGAAGAAAAGTGAAAAAAACACCTTTTTACTTAACAGTCTTGATTTTCTCCTTCATAGTGAAGGAAAGCATTCACTGTAAATTCATACACTGAGTATGCAAGGGAAAGAAACCTTTGCCCTTCTCCAAATCTTTCCAGGGTTTTCTGGATTGAGAATCACTAAGACCAGTGAAAAATGAGAAAAAATGATTTCCTGGTCTTGAAAATGAATTCTCTTTTTTTTTGGTATAAAATTAAGAACACTGTTCTGGGAATTCACATTGCTTATTTCTAGTCCTGGCTCTGCCATTAAAGACTGAGACCATTTTCAAGTAGTTTCTTGAACCTCAGGTTTCCTGTATGTAAAAGAGGAGTATGATCTCTCAGTTTAGTAGTCTGAGAAGAACAAGCCTTTCTAGGATGTGTTTCTTTTTATTTTGTCTTTTAAAAGTAGGGACTTTGGGAAAGGGAGAAGAGGGACAACTATAATGTCTTATCATTTTAAAAACTTGTTTCAGTGTTAGTCTTCTTTCTTCCTTCTGAGTTTCAGTGGACTATGGAGTTAACAGTCATTGTGACATTTTAGAGCCAGGCCTTGGTTCAAATTTTGTTTTTGCCTTGTAAGCTGTGATATTTGACATTACATAATGTCTCTAAGCCAAAGTGTCTCATCTATTCACAGTCATAAAGAGTGATATAAAACCTATCCCAAATGTTTTTGAGGAAAACATGAGTTAATAAATGTAAGGTTACCAACATAATCCTTCATACCAATAATATTAATAAAATTCTTAGTAGCAATAGCTAATCAATATTCTTGCTTGTGCTTCTCTGGTATACCGGCATGCAATGGAATGACAGCTATACTTGCCTGCACACTTTAATGAAAGCATTTGGCCAACTCATATGCAGGGTGCAGCCCACAGAGTGCATAGGCGCTGCTACTTTGACCTTAGCGTGGATTTCTGTGTGTATCTGTGTGTGTATATGGGTGTGTGCATGCATGTGGAGAATGGCTGGGTGAATTTCCCACCCTGCTGTCTTTCGTTTCCTGGTATATAAGAATTTCTTGATAAAACTGTCTTTCTCTGCTGCAGAACAAAAGATAAGGCCAAATTCTCCTTAATGTCAGGCTTGTAA
This sequence comes from Homo sapiens, assembly GCF_000001405.40. Classification (NCBI taxonomy): domain Eukaryota; kingdom Metazoa; phylum Chordata; class Mammalia; order Primates; family Hominidae; genus Homo; species Homo sapiens. The sequence goes on along the minus strand of NC_000007.14, from coordinate 94,259,564 downwards.
ACCACGTAGGGATACAGGAAAGAAATACTGACATTGTCATATAGGGATGGGTGAGGCTGTGGAAGAAATTATCGGAGCTTAATGGCACGAGGTTGGTTCTACTCCTAAACTACATTTTCAAACAATACAAAATTATATGATGATTTAGTGATTTACTAATGTAGCTTCATTATGAATTAGCTGCTTCTTCTTCAATATCTAGTAACAGTATTATTTAAAATTTTAGGAAACAAAGACCATGAAAGTTTAAATACCCTGCTCCAGGATACTAGTGAGTTTAGGTAACATTGCAAATGGAACGTATCTGTGGGCCTCTTTATCAAATTCCAGTGGCTTAACTGTTAGAGAGACTTGCTGTTTGTCCCAGCCACCTTTGCTATGGGTCCCAGGCCCACAGCACTTTGCTTTTCAGCCCAACAGATGGTGTCACTCAACTTGTGCCTTCTTGGTAAACACCCTTTCCGTGCTGGTCACAGGCTCAGTAACAGCAGGCGTCTACATCAGAGCCTGCTGTGCTGATCCAAGCTCAGGCTCCTTGTTTTCTCACAGGCACCAGGTCTCCTTTCCCCACCCCTATTTATTCTGAACTTCTCAGCAGCTCAGCACAGCAAGTCTGACAGGACCTGTCTTCCTAGACTGTTAATTTCACAGCCGGATGAGTAGAAAGGTAATTTATATGGGTCAGTCAGATTTAAAATGCTGCTGTGTCTCTCGACGAGGTGGAATGAGAGGATTTAAAAGAATCATTAGTGTGGTCCAGCGCGGCCGTCTGTGGTCTCTTCGACACAGTCCTATACCTTTTCCATTTGGTAAATGCCCCACATGGCCTCCACATGTTGACTATGGATTACAACCAAGATGAGAAACAAGCCACTGGGGGAAGATTTTTGTTTTCATTTATTTTTTAATTAATTGCAAACTTCCTCTTTCATTTGGCCTGCCATGCTTTGCAGATCCTGGTGACACAGGAGCTCTGTCAGCATTAGGAGCCACTGTGCCGAACTGTGAGAGACTTAAAAGCACCAGCCAGCTGCTTTGCACTCAGTCCTCAGGGAAGGTTGAAATAAATTTGCATGCTTGGCATTCACCTTCCAAAATGGCCCAACCAATGTTGCTGAAATCCATGTTTCTCCTTCCTTAATTCTCTCACTAAATAATATTTATAATTATAAATCATCATTTTCAAAACATATTTGTTAACTTTTAGTGGGTGAACAGAGTGCCTAGAGGTATTTTAAGGTACAAGTCCACAGAGAGTTTTTCTTGCCATTCAGGGATTTACTGACATTCCTGGACCTAGCTGGTTTGTACAGCAAAGAGAAGAGAAGATGTTGAAAGGCAGAAAAGCCAAAAGACAGGGTTTGGGGAATCAGTCACATCTGTTTTGGAGTCAGAATGATGTGAGTTGCAACCTAGCTCTGATGATGAATAACAGCATGATCTTGGCCAAAATTATTTAACACTCTCTCATCACCCTGATCCTCAATCTTCAGCTTCTTCATCTGTAAAATAGCTGTCATGAGAGCTAAATACTACATATATGAAGCACTTTACACCTATGTTGCATGTTCTGTAGATGGTAGCAATTATTACTATAATCTAACAGGAGAGCGGAAGTATAAATTATCTAAATATTGAATCATGTGTCTTAAAATCTAAATGGAAAACTTCCTGTTTCAACATAATGATTAGCTAGTGTGATGAAAACATCCTCTTGCTACAAACACCTAGGAAACACGAAAACATTTAACAACAACAACAACAACAACATTATTACTGGATATCTGAACCCCTGTGAAAGAAATAGAATTCTCCCTATGTCTAATACCTGAGGCGAGAACTGAAAACCTGAACGGCAATGGAGGGAAGCTAACCCTGCCTAGGTGGAGAACTTTGTCTTAGGAAGCCAGGTGCTTGGGTTTTTACAACCTAGATGGAGCCAGGGAAGGAGGCCTTGGGTCGAGGCAAGTAAAGAAAGGTAAAACAGACCGTGCCTAAAGCCAAGACCTTAGGCATTTTCAGTGTAAGTTAAAAGGTATCATTAAAAAATCCACTCAGGCAGCTTGGGGTGATGAGAAGGAAAAGTAGAAGCTCTGAAAAATGAAGCCGTTTGGCGTCTCTCCTGGAAATCACAAGCTATTACCTTACTGAGTTTGGAGTTTTTTAACTTTACAATTCCTGCTTGTTTGGGAAATCCCAAGCCTAGAAATTAATATGCAGTTTGTCCAAAGAAAGTAAAAAGAAGAGAATATAAAGGAAATGAATAAAAGTTAAAGAAATAGAAATAGAAAAAAAGGAAACAATATTGAGTGTCAATAAAGCCAAACATTGATTTTTTGGAAAGATAAAATAGGAACAATTTGAGTAAGACTAATGAAAAAAGAAAGAAATTAGACATAGATAAATTATATTAGGAATAAAAAAAGACAATTGCCGTGTGTGTGTGTTTGTGTGTGTGTGTGTGTGTGTGTGTGTGTGTGTGTGTCCAGAAGCTACCTTGGTGATAAACATGAAAGCTTTAGTTAAAAAAATAAAATTATAGAAAAATTGCCAAATTTGCCAAAATGACTAAGGAACTTTGTAATTGTTAAAGAAATTTATTCAGCAGTTAAAAGTAAATCCAGATGAAATTTATCAGACTCCAAGGGCTAAACGAGCAAGTGCTACAAATTTGAGAAATATGTAATTTCTTTTTAATATAAACTCATCTAGATAATAGAAAAAAAGAAATCCTCCACAACTTGTTCTATGAGGTTGATAAAAATGTGAAACCGAGGTTTTCAGAGCTCTAGTACCACAAAGGAACAATTTGTCAGAACTGTAGTATCACAGAGGAAAACTGCTAGCTGATTTCATTTATGAAAATGATGCAAAATCAATCATAAATAAAATATTAACAAAACAAGGCCAACAATTTATTAAAATATATAGCATGACCAAATGGGGTTCATTTTCGAAATGCCAAAATGATTAAACATTAGACCAACATTTATTAATTTTGTTTACCATATAAACAGATTGAAGATGCAAATCAATTATCTCAACAGATTCAGAAAAATTACTTGATAAAGTTTAGTACTCACTCAGGGTAAAAAACAAAGAAATCTGTAAATTTATAATAAAATTGAAAAATGAGAAAACTTCGTTAACCTGATATAGAATATCAACCCAAAACTCTCATAAATATTATACCTAGTAGAGAAACATTAGACGCTTCATCTAAGTCTCTTGTAAATGATGCCTGCAATTACCATTTCATTTAAATATTGTACTGGAGATTTTAGTAAGTGGAATAAGACAAATTAGTTAATTAAAAAATTTTAATGTGAAAAGATCAGAAAGGAAAAAATAAAATAATCATTATTATTGATGATATAATTGTCTACATGGAAAAATGTATTAATAAGAAAATTTATAAACTGTTCATACCAGCAATAGTTAAGCTAAATTCCTGGATGCAAGAGCAACATACAAAATCATTACTATATCTTTACACCCTCCCTAAAATTTAGTAAATGTACTAACATTTACTTAGTATTGGAGGGTGACAATTCTCCAATTAATTTATAAAGTAAATTTAGCTTTACAGACTTCATAAGAAAATGCAAAGTGTTATACAAAAGTAAAGATGGTTGAGAATGGTTTAAAATATTTTTATAGAAAGAAATAGAAAATGAGGTGTAGGAGGAGAAGGAGAAGAAAAAGAAGAGATTCACCCCACTCTGAGTAAAACTTACTTTACAGTCATATTAAATGAGATGGTGTTATTGATATGGAGACAGAAATAGATCAATGGAGAAGAATCTGGAGCCTAGGAACAGACTCATCTCCCTATGAGAACTTTGTGTAGAGTGGCCTTATAAATCCACTCATCAGTAAGCAGTGCTACAACAACCGGCTATCCACAGAAAAAAGAATGCTAGATTTCTCTTTCATACCATACACGAAAATAAACTGCAGCTAGATTAAACAATAAATGTAAAAAGTAAACCTTTAACATTTTCAAGAAAAGATAAAGAACAATATTTTATGACTTCAGGTAAGAGATATTTCTTAAACAACAGACAACTATTAAAGAAATAGTGTTAAATTTGGCTTCATTAAATAAAAAACCTGTGAATGACAAAATATTCCATAAAAGGAGCAAAAAAGCAATCTACACAGAAAGAAGATATTTTCTATCTATATAACTGGCAAAAGAATGGTATTCAGAATACATAAAAGCTTTCATATATCAGTAAGGAACAGAAAACAACCCATTTAAAAGTGAGAAAAGGATATGAAAAAGCAATTCACAGAAGGGGAAACTAGAAGATTTCATAAATATATGAAAAGATATTCAACTGCACTGATACATAGAGAATATATATTAGAATAATACAAAATACTATTTCATCCCAAGAGATAAGAAAGACAATAAGTCTGTTATCACCAAATAATGGTAAAAATGTAAGTAAACAGAACACAGGTAATGCTAGCAGAGGATAAATTGGTACAACCACTTTGGAAAACAATATTTCATCAATTAGTAATGATGGAAATGCATGCATCCTGAAGTTCTAAAATTCTATTTCTAGTTACACTTCTTAGAAAAACTCTCACACATGTGCACAAGGGGTCATCCACCGGGATTTTCACTGCAGCACTGTTTACAAAAGTAAAAAAAGTGAAGACAATATTAACTGCTTCTTGGTAGGGAACTGGAGAGATAAGCTGGGTTTATTTATACAATGAGTGTTGTACAGCAGTTAAAATGAATTCACTAAATCTACATATATCAGTATGAATAAATCTCACAGAGTATGTTTAACGAAAAAAGCAAGTTGTAAAAAGATACATGCAATAATTGTATGATTTGTATAAAATGTAAAAACGCAGCGACCAATAACATACATTGTTTATGGACACATGCATAAGTGATAAAATAGAATAGCTTAAAAGGCACAGATAATTCATACTCGATCAGGGTGCTTGTCACTCAAAGAGGGGAAGGAAAGTATGTTTCTGGTGGAGCTTTACCTGTGCCTGTACTTTTTGTTTCTTTTAAAAATTAAAACAACAAAGAGGCATATTAAGCAAATGTGATAAAACAATGACATAGTAGGTTTTGAATATGGTGGATATGTAAGGGCTGTATTATTTCTGTATTTTTCTATTTGTTTGAAATGTTATAATTGCAACCAAAAATTTAAAAAGTTAAATGGCCAAGATGTTTTATATATTTCAGATGAAGCTAAGAGCCTTCTTCCTGTGGAGGTTTGAATATGTCTCCAGTCTACAATGTCTGCCCTCTTTGAGAATTACTGATATGCATAGGAAGGAATTGTTATCTGCCGGTGTTTTGTTGCAATTTACTACTTGTGGTTTTTGTTATCAAAACAATGGGGTTTTCATTTCCCCAATTTGAAATATATTTTGATATTAATTATGCTTCTTTAAATCGAATGTGTTATTTGGAGATGCTTATATATGCTCCCTCCAACCTCATCTCATTCCAGCCAATTAGGAACCACAGATACAAAAAATTAATAGTACACATATTTTTTTTGACAAGTTCATTAACAGGGAGTTGGTGAGGTAAGAGAATAAGAGTTATTAGAGCCAGGAGTCCTGGCTTCTCTCTCTATTTACTAATGGTATGACTGTTTTCTGAACTCTTCAGTGTTGCAGTTCCTTTATCTTTAAAATGGAAATGTTGACTTATCTCTAAATCCTTTCCAGCTGTCAGGTTTTGTAATTTTATGAAGTGTGTAGGTGAAGTCAGTCATAAAACTAAGTTCGACTGAAATATATGAATTGAGGAGGAGCCAAAGGGCTCCTCAGTCTCATGATATCTCTTCCTCTGTCTTTGCCAGGTTGTCACTGTTTTTGGATTAAGGTAATGAAGGCCGAAAATTTGAAAGCCAAAGTTTTCTGAGAAAGATACACCATTATTGTTCATTAAAGTCTTGGCAGAAATGGATTTTAAAATAAGCGGGTCAGATTAGCATGCTTCTTGAATGATTATGGGAAATAGGAAAGGTGTGTTTTGGTCAGAAGGTGAGGTAGGAAGGCGTTAGAAAGAGGAAAGCACTGCCTTAGTGGGGTCCTTGCCATTTAGAAAGATACATAGGGTACCGTGTGCTTGGAAATATGGATCCTGAAAAGGGAGAAAGGGTGTGGAGAGGGATATGGTGCAAAAGCAAAGACAAGCAAGCACTGCACCACTCCATGAGAGCAGCTCCCAGAGTCACCTCTTACATTTCAGTTAATGAAGCAGTTGCTTGGACACAGAAGGTGTCTAGATGTTTTTTCTGTAATTAGAAAGGGTATTTTAAAATCCTTGGATCTGTGATAGGGTTGGTACTCTCATCTTAGGCTGAAATAGAAGAGGAGGCATCTGGCAAACTGCCAAAGGAAATGCCCCAGCAGCTGTGATCCTTCATCACTTCAGCAATCCTGTAACTACAGGATCCTAACTACCCTAAGCCTTGTGCCTCTGTTAGAGTTATGTTAGGGTTACATGAAAAAGGTAGAGGAAGCAAGGACAAAAAACCAAACACCACATGTTCTCACTCATATGTGGGAATTGAACAATGAGAACACTTGGGCACAGGAAGGGGAACATAACACACTGGGGCCTGTTGTGGGGTGGGGGGAGGTGGGAGGGATAGCATTAGGAGATATACCTAATGTAAATGAGTTAATGGGTGCAGCACACCAATTAACATGTATACATGTATACATATGTAACAAACCTGCATGTTGTGCACATGTACCCTAGAACTTAAAGTATAATAATATATGTATATATGTGTATATATGTATATATATGTATATATGTGTATATATGTATATATATGTATATATGTGTATATATGTATATATGTGTATATATGTATATATGTATATATGTGTATATATGTATATATGTGTATATGTGTATATATATGTGTATATATATGTGTATATATATATATATTAAAAAAAGGTAGAGGAAAAGGTGGTACAAACACTTTTCACAATGAGCAATTTACTCTTTTGTCATGTAGGAAATTTGAATTGGTGTTTAAGTTGTTAAGGATTCTACAGGAGAGATTTAAATGTAATTTCCTTGAGTCTTAGTTGCTAATTATTTTTACTAAGAGCTCTAAATTAAACATTCTCTATTTTGAAGGCTTTAAGGAGTTTAAAGTAATTGCTGTCACTGGAAATGTGTTCAGCATCCATTCTCAGGAGTGGAATTTAATCAGCCACGTAAGGATGGTGACCTCAGAAAGACAGCCAGAAGCATCAGCCTTAATTGTATTAAGAATTCAGTGTCCACACAAATGAAAAACTACCTTTGACTGGTGGAAAGTTTTGGAACTTAAAGTTCAGTGAATTTAAGGCCATCATGTGTGGAATAGCTAGAAGATTGCTTTAAAATTTGTCTTTCTACAGGCTGACTTAGTCTTACAAGCAACTCAATTAAAAAATACTAAGATTGATGATTTGGGGGTTGAAACAGCAACCAAACATTTTTTTTTCTGCCTGATTGTACCCTAAATGACATTAGAAATTGTTTTAAAAAAGTTCTTTCAATTAATTTTGCTGCTGCTTTGTCAATCTTACCAAGAAAGCTCTAAATATGTATTTTAAAAGAATCTATAAATATAGTACCTATAATAATCACTGAATCTGTAAATATAGTACCTAAAACAGTGCCTTCTTACCAAGTCCATACCAATAAGCATTTCAATACTTAAGAATACATGGCTCAGTCAAATGCTTTCAAATGTAGATTGTTAACTCATTCTTCCATTTAAAAAATATTCTGCTAAAATTTTGTTTTCCCATATTCAAGTGCTCCAAAGAATTTGAGGAGAAAAATGTTTAGGTTACTGTAATAAGAAGTGGAGCAGGATTTTATTTTTTTCTCTCTCTGAGTTGTAAGTCCCAAATCTGTGGTGGAAAAGTGCTAGGTATCTAGAATTCTAAATGCAGTGAACTAACAGTTGCTAGGACCAAATAACTTTCTGCAGAAAGTAAGCCCTGCAAATACAGTCCTCTCCCTCCCAATCAATAGGATAGGACTTTGGGGGAGAGAAAAAGAGTTCCATTTTGGGGAGTTCATGTTACGGAATATGGCTACATGCCACATACATTTTGTTTTCCAGTTGGATATCTGCTTAGACAGTTGATTGCCACATGCCCCTGTACTACTGAAAAGGAAAAGGCAATTTAAGAGACAGGTGACAAACCTTCCAGGTAAAGGGATGGCTGGGGCTGAGGCACACACCCTAGTTGTTCCCAATCCAAATTTTCTTGGTTCCCAGAGTTGTCTGGAATAAGTAGATGAGATAAGGTGCTGTAGTCTTGCAAGACCTGCTGTGTCACAAGCAGTGAAAGCAATCTGTTGGGCAATCTGCCAGAATTGCCAATCTACCGATCATGGGCAATCTGTTGGGCATTTGCCAGAATTCACAGGGTTCTCATCCAAATCTCAAGGGTATGGACCCTGTCTGGGAAATCTGTTGGGGGCTCACTGCTCTTCTGCAGTGGGGCATGTTGGACCTGCCACACATTTTCACTGAACCACAGAAAACAAGCAAGAATGGTAGTCTTGGCCCAACTGGTAAGGAAAGGCAGCCTCCCCAGTCAGAAGACATGGCATTTCCCCTCTTCCAGATATGATATTCTCTCCTTTTACATGGCCACTATCCTAGCTTAATCTATCTTCATCTCTGTTACCATGCCAATAGATTTTTAACTGTTTTCTGTGTGTCTAGCCTGGTTTTCCCCCAGCCATTCTCCAAACAGCCACTAGAATGATCTTAAGGAGAGTGAATCTGGCCATCTCACTTCCCAGATTAAAACTCTTTGGTAGTTCTGCATGTTACCTTTAGGATAATTCAGACTCTTTAATTCTGTTTTCCTGGTCTTTCTAGCTTCATCTCTTGACCATAATGAGCTTCTTTCAATGCTTCTGCCTTGCCAAAGTGTTCTCTTTGATTTCTAAGATTTCATAGTATCTTCTACTCTGCTGGGAATGCTCTTTCCTCAGACACTGTCCCCTTTACCTCCTGCCTGCTTTGGACCTGCTAGTTCTCACTTGACCTTTATTTAGCAGATTAAATGTTGCTTCCCACGATACACCTGACCATTAGTTCCTGTAACATTTGCTGCTCCCTCCAGTGTAGGGGTGAAAACCTGCCTGTCTTACTCACGGCACTCTTCTGGCCCAGAGTACATACTTAATAGATATTTGCTGAAAGAATAAGAGTTAATTAGAGACCATTTAATCCTTGGGCACTAAAAAGATCAAATTAGTTACCTTAAAGAGATCAAAACTGGGCCCTCTGCCCACACCATATTAACTTCTGACTCAGACCAGATGCTAACATTACATCAAGGTATCAACTAGAGAATAGTGAATATAATCAATCATTTTTTAGACAACAAGCAGAGGCAAAAAAAAAAAAATTGCTGCTTACAGCAGAGTTTATTCTAATGACCATGAATCACACACTTTCTCCTAGTCTCAAACTGCCCAAACTATATATTGTTTATCCCAGCCTTTTCTTGGTCTGCTACCTGAAAAATCATCTTCTTGGTCTAATCAGTTTTGTGTGTGTGTGTGAACCCAAGGAAGGCTTAGGCAAAATTGTGAAGTATTCAGATATACTGATATGGATTAGCTGTGTTCCCACCTAAGTCTCACCTCAAATTGTAATCCCCATAAGCCCCATGTGTCAAGGGTGGGGCCAGGTGGAGGTAATTGGATCATGGGGGCAATTTCCCCCATGCTGTTCTCGTGATAGTGACTGAGTTCTCACGAGATCTGAAGGTTTTATAAGGATCTGGCATTTCCCCTGGTTGCACCTACTCCATCCTGCCATGCTGTGAAGAAGGTGCCTGCTTCTCCTTTGCCATCTACCGTGATTGTAATTTTCCTGAGGCCTCCCCAGCCATGTGGAACTGTGAGTCAATTAAGCTTCTTTCCTTGATAAATTACCCAGTCTCGGGTATTTCTTCATGGCAGTATGAGAACAGACTAATACTCTATATTGAGAAGCCAGCCTGTGAACTTTCTCTACAGATTTCCTTCTCTCCTCAGGCTGCTCAGACCTTTCTTACCACAATCACTTTATGAGAATTTGCTCCCTTAAACTCACCAAGAGTATCCACCCTTAAAAAAAACCCAGATTGGGTGTTTTGATTGCTGTGTTAATTAGCTAGGGCTATTGTAACAAAGCTTCACAAACTGCATGTTTTAAACAACAGAAATTTGTATCACAGTTCTGGAGGCTAGAAGTCCAAGATCAAGGTGTCAGCGGGGTTGGTTCCCATCTACGGGCTGTGAGGGAGAATCTGTTCCCTGCCCCTCTCCTAGCCTCTAGTGGTTTGCTGGCAGTCTTTGGCATTCGGTGGCTCGTAGGAGCATCACTTCAATCTCTGCCTTCATTTTCACATGCTGTTCTGTGTGTGTCTGTGCCCAAAATTCCTTTGATCATAAAGGTCCCAGACATATTGGATTACAGGCTCACTCTATTGTAGTATGACTTCCTCTTAACTTAAATTATAATATCTGCAACAATCCTATTTTCAAATAAGTCACATTCTGAGGTCTACAATATCAACATAAGAATTTAGGGGAAGGTCATAATTCAACCTATTATAGTTACAAATTGGAGAAACTTCAACATAAGTGAAAAATGGAATTCATTGAAAAGGTGCAAGGTAGTTTTTGAAAGATCCCAGTGATTAGAACTGCTCGAGAGTCCTTTCCAGGCACTGTGGCTGGGAAGAATGGACTCTATTTCTTTCATCCTTAAACAACTCAAGTTCAATAGCCAAGCTTGGGTCACATGCCTACTCTTTGGCTGCAAGGAATGATGGTATGATGGTGAGAGCAAGTTTTGGCAGGAGGACCCTCTTTTGTTTCCATAGTGGGTGAAAGGAATTCCCCAAAGAGATCTGGGATCTGGGAATGTTAGAGAAGGGAAATGGGTGGTTGTAGCCAAAATCCTTTATTTTATTTTTTTAAAGAGAAAGTTACCTCAAGAGGAATGGTTTCCTTCTGGTGTGAAGGTTACACCTTTCCTTAACCAAGTCTGGAAATATTTCTAGGCAGATATAAGTTGGAACTTTGGGAAGCCCTTTGATTATATTACAGAATGCCCTTCTACTTGCTTGATGTCCCTTTAAAATAGGTACTATCAACTTTGAAGGAGCTCAGTTTATGTACCTTTGTAGGGATGAGGATTTCCTGGAAGTATCAGAGGGGAGAAGCAGGCATTAAGATCTTCCAGTTCTTTGAATGTTTGCCCTTTCATACCAATCCTCAGACCTAGAGGGGCCTTCATGTGCTTGCACACAGAAAGCAGAACCAATTCTAGGTAAAAGGCAATCTGAGTGCTCCCTAAGCCCAACACCCAAGGTTTTTTACCTACTGTGCTGGCTAACTTACCTTCCATATTCTTCCTGAAACTGAAAGTTCTAGCTCATCTTCTTAAGTAGCAGTGCAATACAGTGGACAGGATATGGGCTTCAGAATCACTTGGATCTGTGAGGAAGATCTTTGGGGTGGACCAAATCAAATAAAATACTCCCTCTGAATATCCAGATTCTCCAGTGTGAAATAGCAACAGTATCTCCCAGGCAATAATATTTGCATAGGGTTTGTGTGAGATTAACAGCAGATACGTATGTCAAGTGCAACTTAAGCAACTCAAGAATGTATAGTCTTTGGTGACAAGTGAGGTCATATTAGCATTTATAACCAGATTTTACTGGCCAGCTACCTCCTTCTTTACAACTGCTATACCTCACATTTCACTTTCTCGCCTCCCATAATCCACCCAAGTATTTCTAAAATTCCTAGGGAGTCCTCTCAGAACTCAAAACAGCTTTGCCAGCCTCTTCTGCATGGACTACCTTGCTTCTGGCATTTGTCTGTTTCCGCAGGATGATGCCTCCCCCTCTGCCACTTTGGCTCTTGTCTGCTGTAGGAAGATGCTGTTTCTGCCTCTAGGTATACATTATCAGTTTGATCCTTGGGCTCTTTGGACTCTTGAATCTGGCTAAAAAAGTACTGAATATTCTACCAGGGATGTTAGATTTGGAAAATGAAATAAAACGAATGAGTTCCAGCCTCTCCTATCACCATGCTGACCTTGTAATGAACACTTGTGATTGCTTGAAAGATCACTGGAGCAGCACCATCAGCACCTGTAGCTTCCCAACATGTGTTGGCAAGATGGGAACATCTTATTGAAATAACTCAAGGTTCAGTAGGCTTGAAAATTTACTTAGAAGATTAAATTATCTTTTATTGTGACTGCTTCTACTTTTCCACCCAAATCTTCTCTAATAAAATTTCTACTGCAGCCAGTGAAAATAGAGAGGAAGATTACAGTTTCAAGAGTTTTTGAAATGTGTTCCTGCTGGAAATTCACTATACATACGACTACTCAAACTCTGTAAATAAATATGATGATTTCCTGAGACTCTGGACTTTCCCATCTGGAGAGGTGCACTGTCTCTCTTTGTGTGTGCTTTCCCCAGCGCCTGACATGCCTGCACTTGGCCTTTCTGACTCCTTGCCCTCATGCTGCCTGGCCCGCACAGCTTATTTAGGCTACTCTCCCTGTGTGCATTCCTCTGCCCCAACCCCCCTGAATCCCTTCTTTGTCTAAGTGTTCATCACTTTTTCTTAATCTTTGTTAGGAGATAAATGTTCCAGGATAACACTTGTGGCCTTCTGGAAGCTCTACTCATTCTTTCCCATTTTTATTTTAAAAATCAAACCTCCAGTTTCTCAAGCCTCATTCATTCACCTGCCACCTTCACAATTTTGTCATATCTTAGTAGTCCTGGCAGATTTTTCTTCGAACCAACTCTCATTTTAAACTTCAATCCTTATCCTAAGCAATAATATCTATGAAACAAGAACTTTGACCTGTAAATTACATAATACCTAATACATATTAAAGTAATATATAGCTATTAAAAAGTCCATGTAAATCATCTTAGATAGCATCAGTGGCACCCTCACTAGTCTATGTCAGTTGCCATGCAATAGAACTTTCTCTGATAATGGAAATGTTGCATATCTGTATTGTCCAATATGGCAGACAATAGCTGCAGGTGAGTATTGAGCACCTGAAATGTGGCTGGTGCATCTGAAAAACTGAATTTGAAATTTAATTAATTTAATCAATTTAAATGTAAATAGCCACATGTGGCTCATTTCTACTGGGAAACAAGGACCTACATTGTGAGGCAATTAAACTAAATTATCAAATTATTTCCCAGGTTTTTTTCCAGCTTTAAAATTTAAAAATGAAACCTGTAGGATTCCCACAGGTAGGAATGTCTGGGTAGACAGGAAAAGAGCAGAGTAGAAGAGCTAACAATTTTGAGCAAGAGGGACCTTTTCAATATGGCTAGTGGATAGCACAGTACTTGGTACCAAAAAAAAAAAAAATTCGAGGGGTGGTAGCTTTAATCGACCCTTGAGTCATATCACCAAGATGGTGGCCTTGGTGATAGAAAAATAAGATTTAAGTAACCTTCATTAGTTAAAGATGGAGGTTTTTTTTGTTACCTTATCCATTAACCTGTTACAACAATTAATTCAGGGTTCATTGTGTCCAGAGCAGTTTATTAGAAAGGGGTACAGACTCCAGAAGCATAACCCCTGGTATGTGGTCAGGGGACTGTTAGTCAGGGATACATTTTATGGAAGTTACAATTTATAGAGCTGGAAACTTTCAAGCACAGTTCTTTGTCCAACTTAGTTTCAACTTTAACAAACACAAGAGTACTTGTAGAGAGAAATTCTCCTCCAACGCATACTCTTCTGGTGATTACCAGCAGGTCCACTGGCAGCAGCTAGATTGAGTGTTTGAGTCAGCCTGGCTGATTACCTTAATCGCCTTAATCATAGAATCTACCCTCCCTGGAATGGCCTTAACATGGAGAGTGGCAGAATGGCAGAACAACCACTCTAAGCTGAAAATTTCTTGTTAGAACGTGTTCTGATGCCTTTAATGAAGAGCTTGCGATTTGTAGGAGGGACAAGATAATTTCAAGGCTTTGTCAATTCTTTGCTAGTTCTTTTCTTAGTAAAGAGTTTTCCAAGAACATCTTCGTTAGAATACACGGCACATCCTTGAGAGGTGCTGCTGACATCTAAGGTGAGCATCTTTTCCCGGACTGCTCGTTAACCCTTTAAAGTAGTATATGGCGACTTTTCCTTCTCTATGTCTTAATTCTGAAGCCCCATCAATCCACACATATTTGGGGATGGGGAGTGGAGCTTCCCATTCATCAGTTGCCAGAATAAGAAACAGGCCCTCAAATATTTTTCATCTTGAACACTCACTCAATAGACATTCAGTTTACTAGAGTCAGACTGCCTAAGTATTCAAGTCACTGAACCAAGTTTATTGTCTGTACTATACTTCAAATGTTACATCAGAATATAGGAGCAACAACAACAAACTTGCACACCTGCAGCAGCAACTCTATCATTGGATTTTTTATATCCTCTCATGATTTTATAGGTTTAAGCTTGTGAAACTAAGCCATGAGAGACTGTTTATTTTCTCCTGGCATTGCCTTTTGGTAAAAGTTGCCCTGGAAATAGTGGTGATAGGATTATGCAGTATTGTGTAAACAACTAGATTTTTCATAGGCATGACTCATATTCAGTGATTATAATAGATGACCTCTTTACTGAAATAACAAAGCATGAATATCAATTGATCTCTAATTACTAATATTCAGACAAAATTTTGAAGAATACACATTTTAGTTATAGCTAGGACTAGTGTAGTATACCTATCACAAATCTTAATTGCCCAGAATAGTTAGGAACATTAATCTTGGGGGCAGGAAGACCTGGGTTTGAATTCTGGCATTCTTCTTCCATTGTCTGTGACCTAGTTAGGCAGATTTCTAAACCTCTGTTTATCCAGTTTCCTTGTCTATAAAATGATGGTGATAAAATATAACTCAAAATTTTCTGTGAGAATTAAATGAACAAATGTCCATAAAATGTTTATGGTAGTCTCCAGCACAATGTAAAATCCACGTAAATGACAGTGGTACAAGTTTTAACCAATCCTTGAAAACCTCTATCTTCCAAAATTAGTTGTAACTTTAAAATGTTAGATCATTTAGTTTTTAGAGCATTCTAGAACACATTTATTTAGAACAAAATAATTATAGCGCACATTTGGTTATACAGTGTTATTTGGCAAGCACTGTTCTGTGTGCTTCACATAACTTACTCATGTAATTGTCACAACAACCCAATGATGTAGGTAATGTGATTATCCCTACTTTACAGATGAGAAAATTGAGGCACAGAGAGGATAAATAACTTGTTCAAGAAGTCACAATGGAGGCAGGATATGAACCAGCCCACTGGGCTTTAGAATGAGTGCTCTGACCATTAAGCTCTACTGCCTCTAGAATCAGAAACAAAGGTTGGTTTATGATTATAATTAATTTAATTACATTATAATTATAAATACAACAGATGTTAATCAAATTTTAAAAAAAGTATAAATAATTAAATCTTCAGTACTCCTTTGACGCAGATAACCACTGCATAATTTGCACCTCCCAGCCCCTTTTGATGAATATTTCTATTCAGAAGACCTTCTGCATTTGATTTAAGACTCAGGATTTCACTTTTCTGGAATAATTTAAAGTTTGCTGCATGTGAGAGAAGTTTTTTTCTATTTTTTTCTCCAAATTTCTTACTCTTATAAAGTAACAAGCACTTCAGTTTATTTGTAAAAGTCATCCTGAAAAGAAAACCAGCATCTGGTGCTAGGAAGATGAAGGGATTGAAGATATTGAAGGACTTCTCCTTAGTTCAGTTAAAGACGGGGTTCTTTGTCCCACACCGACGAAAATTCAGGCTCGCAGAGAATTTGAATGGTGAGTAAGACAGGGTTTTATTGGGTGAAAAGGAAGAAAAAGGGGAAACAGGGATTCTTGCTAGGCCAGAGTCCCTGGTAGAGTGCTTCCTGCCTGGCTGTTCGAATCCCAGGTCCACGTAGACAGAGGAGAGGCCTGACTCCTCCTGGCTGAAAATGGTGTGAACTTCCCGAGGCCTCACCCCAGTGCCCAGGCTGGTTGGAGGTTTTCTGAGACCCCCTCCCACCTGGCTGTCTCAAAGGGTATGATAAAGTAATGCTTGTTTATTTGAAAATCAAAGTTTTAGACCAATTAAAAATAGATTGGGGAATCTGGCAGTGACTTGGCCCTGTGATTAAATGAGTTAAAAAAATACAAAAACAAAGACACACATTATGCAGACATCAGCGTAATAAGTTCCAGGCACTGTAAAAACTGAATTTGGGGGAAAATTAAATGCCATTGAAATGTTCAAACACTTGGCAATTTCCAAAGTACATATTCACAAGGAAACCGACCCTGGTAAATACAGTTTAAAACACATAATTAGATTCATAACCATATGGGGGCATATATTTAAAATTGTATTTACTTATGTAAACAATATCATATGTATTTCCTCATTTTATTAAATCTTCTACAAACTCATTTTAAAAACTTTCCTCATGAAAAATAGATTATTTCTGTTTTTCATTATTACAAATAATTCTTTAATAACTACACTTGTGAGTGTATTATTTCATATCTGTTATTGTCCTTAATAATATTCCAGTAGTAGTTTAACTACTAAGCTGAAAGCTCTACATTTCAGGGCATATTACAAATAACTTTTCACAAAAGTTATACTTATTTAAACTTTTACTAGGTATGAAATAGAAAGCCTATCTCTGCACCTTGAATATTATGACCAGTCTTGAACATTATCACTAAAGAATTGTATTTCATTTTTTAATTTGCAAATTACTATGAGATTGAACAGGCCACTGGTAGTTTTCTTCTGAGTATTATCTGCTCATGTCTGTATTTTGACCAGAATCTTAATAACATTTCTTAGTAATTTGTGTCAACTCTTTCTATATTAAGGGTATCTGTATTTATTAATTTAAAATATATTTTTTGAAGTTTGTCACTTGCATTTTAATTTTGCTTGTGACATTTTTATGTTTCAAAATCAAGGTATATAGTGGCTTATTAAAATATAATCAAACATTACACTTGCTTTAATAGAGAATTATACTAGCAAAAGGAAAGGTTTGAGTAAAGTCAGTCTTCTAGGTTAGTATTTAGGATCTATTAGCGTCAAGGCATTGAAGAAAGAGGACATGGAATCCTTACAAGGGATCAGAAGTTATTGTGATAAATTAGCATATTATGCAAAAGACACATTTTTTTTTCTTCTTTCACCATTCTTGCTAATTCTATTGTTTCTTTCTCTTTCTGGTGTATCCATATTCAAACTGTCTTAACTGGACTGTAGTACTGAAACCCTGTCTTCTCTAGCATTTCTTTTTTTCTGTACTATTTGCTTTTTCTACCTATAAGTTTCCTTTGTCCTCTTTTCAGAATAATACTTTCAATAAAAGAAGAAAATATGTTAAAAAAACTTTATTTTCATTGCATTTGAAAAGCAAATTAAATATCCTAAAGGCTCTCTAGCTGTTGTTAGCCTAGGACATGTAGATCTGTACACGAGCCTTGCGTAAATAATTCCCCAAGTGCTTAGAGAATAAGAACTTTTGACACAAAAAGTTTTGCAGGCACTGGTTATTATTTTGGTTCTGTTTGAAAATTAGGTAAGGATTTTGACCAAAAGAAGACACTAGGTTGAAAAAAATAATCAGTTTCAGTAGGACATCTGGATTAGCTGAATAACAGTCTTGATAAAAAGGATCTGTGAACAGTCAGATGAGCACCAGGTCCTTCCAGAGCTTATCAGAAGGTAATAGATCCTGGTGACAGTTGTTATCTTGTTCTACTTCCACCCAAACTCCAAATCCCAAATAGAAATGGATGTTTTTTCCTACCCAGCCCTCTACTCAGTCACTAGTCGTACACCATAGGCAAGAGGAAACTGGGTGATGATAAGCCCTTTAGTGGAAAAGTTCAGATGACACTAGGTGGTCCCATTGTTTCATGCATGGCTCCATGTGATTCCTTCAGCTTTTCCTTCAAATTCCTTTGACTTGCTTCCACGAAGGTTCCAGATACATATTTTAGTGGCTCTTTTTCGTGGGGAAAATGTGGCTAGTTAAACCTGCAGGTTAAATCTTATTTCCTGAAGACATTTTGTTTCACGTTTGTTCAATTTTTAAAGGCATATTACTGTTGACTCACTTGGTCCACAGCTGTATAAACCTGGTAGAATCAGTATGGCATAATATTCATTTTCTCATTCAGATGTTTATCTACTATAGTCCTTCCATATTGGGATAGGGCCAAAGAGATATGGAAGTTCAGTTTTGAAAAAGCACTTGAGTGACTGTGTATCTAGAGCCTCATTTTCACGGTCAGCTTCTGGCTCATCCCCCAATGCGATTGTTTTGTGTAGTTTTCTCACATTTCCGAGGATTCCTTTTCTCCGATTACATTCATTTAACTAAGCCAGTGCTTGGCAGGAGCATACTTTAATCTGGTTTTTACCAGTTTTCCAGGCAACGTCATTCATTAGGCATTCACCATTAGCCTGATATGCTAGTGCCATCAGGAACCAAAATGGAGAGGAAAGTAGTTTAAAATCAACTCATTAAAAACTCATCTCGTTCATGAAGTCTCATGACATTGCCAGCTACTAACTGTCCCTTATAACTCATTGTCTAACTGTCAGATCATAGCTATCATTTGGGGTACTCTCCTGAAAAGACAAGTTGTTATACCCGTCCAGTGGACAATATTGTTTCAGTGAGTGTGAAATGGAACCTAGGAAGTTATGCTTAAAGGAAACCCCAGGCCGGGCGCGGGGGCTCATGCCTGTAATCTCAGCACTTTGTGAGGCTGAGGTGGGCGGATCATCTGAGGTCAGGAGTTCAAGACCAGCCTGACCAAGATATCGAAACCCCGACTCTACTAAAAATACAAAATTAGCTGGGCATGGTGGCACATGCCTGTAATCCCAGCTACTCGGGAGGCTGAGGCAGGAGAATCGCTTGAACCCAGGAGGCAGAGGTTGCAATGAGCTGAGATCATGCCTTTGCACTCCAGCCTGGACAACAAAGAGCAAAACTCTGTCTCAAAAAAAAAAAAAAATTAAACACATGTTTTAAACATCCCTACTTGGGTCTTATGATCAGGCAAACTTAGGAAACTCTTAATTATCGCTTCACATCTTCTGCCTGGAAGATCTGATGATTTAATTACATCTTAAATCTTATGGTTCAAGTGTACTTTCTGGAGAGATTTCAAAGAAATAAGAAGGACAGTTTGATTTTTTAAAAGGTGGTCATAGGGACTGTATTGTGAAAAGATAATTAAGGAGAGAGACAGGAGAAGTGCTTCACTGAAGAAAAAGGGACAGAGTGGGGATTAGTGCAGAGATGGAGCACTCTAACAGTCTAGGCAGCAGGATAATGACCTCCTTATTGGTCTTCCCGCCTCAGCCTCTGTAGCCTCAATTCTCTCACAGGTGTCACAATCATCTTCCTCAGGCCTCTCTTTGATTGCATTATTTCCCCTTTCTGAGTCCTGTGCCAATGCCCAATTACCTCTCAATCCAAATTAACACTCTTAATCACAGGCATCAAGGCCCTCCACCCACTAGTTTCCTGGAATGAATGGCCAGCCTCCTCCCAGCTCAGGCTCCTGCTCCGGCCCCCAAGCTCTGTTTGCCAGCACTTGAGTGAGACTTGTCAGCTTGCTCCTGGCAGAGCACCACCTCGGCCTCAGACAGCTTCCCCTTCCTTTAGAGGAATTTGTGTGCTTTTCTTTTATTAAAATATTGCTCAAAAGTAACTTTTTCAGTGCTAGAGTTTCCCTTTTCTTGTTTATCGACCAAGACAGCCTTAAAGTTCCCCTCAGCTTTGCTACATTTTAGACTTTCAAGAAGAGTTATTGTCTTCTTGACAATTGTCTCTGTCCCCTATTAAAATAGCTTGAATAAAGTCTTCCTTGCTCATTTAACTTTGTCCAGAGCAATTTTTTCTTGACATTACTTGGCATCCTAGAGATATAACTGGTTGTGTTAATATACTACCAACACATTTCAGAAAAGAGAATATATGTTTGAATATATTTTATTGTATCTTTAAAGTGTAAGACTCTTGAGGTTGGTAACCAGCTTGCTCAGTACTAAACTCTTCTGAACAGGAATTCTTGTTAAACCAGTTTAATGAAATCTCCATATGTGATTGAGCTGTCATTCCATGGAAATAAGTTTTCAAAAATTCTGAAGACATATTAGAACATTTTTTTCAATAATAATTTTTTTAAAAGCAGCTTTTTTTTTTAAAGCTCTGGGAAAGGATTCCTAGGTCAGAAAATGCAGCATTTTCTTCCAGATTTATACATTGCTGTGATTTAAAAGGTAGAATAATTTGTTCCATATGTGTTTTGGTGCAGAGCTGGTGCCCAATTAAATGGAACCCAGGTCCAAAGTTCCAGCTGAATGGAGCTCCAGTCCTGTTAATAGAATTTAAAAGAAATAGAACGAATTAAAAAAAAGACAAAGACAAGAAAAAAGCCTATAAAAATATGCATGAACCTTTTATATCCAACATATACATGTACATTATAATTGTTGGGTTATATTGTTTTTACTGATTTGTCAAAAGAAAAAAAAGTGCTTTGTTGTCACATAGTTTCTTCAAACAAACTTGGGGGAGTGTGATACATTGAGTGTGAAAATATACCTGCTAATAGGAGTTTGTATGTTTGGTAAGATTGTCTTAAGTTTAAACAATTTTTGTTTTATACCTTATCAACATAGTTTTTCTATTGTGTGTGGAAGAAGATCAATTGTTGAATAATTTAAATAAGAACAATGAAGATTTATAGCTTTTGTTTCTGATATTCAATTCCACCTATATTAGCCTTGTTTTCTCCCAGCCAAGGCAAAGTTGCTTATTTATTATTGAGTTGTGAATGAGGGCTCGTATGTTTGTGGGAGGCACAGGTTTTTCTTGGCAATACTGAGTTGCCTTGGGAATCACAACTGCTCTCTATAGCCAGAGGCTGGAAGAAATGTATTTGCTGAGGACTCCAAAGGAATCCCTGCCCTTTCTTGGGAATGTGGATTCAAACTCCATAAAAAGTACAATGAATTAATTTCCTTTTAACTTGAGAGCTTTTAAAAAGTATTGTTTAATTTTTGGACACACCACTTCTGGGTTTTCGTAGATATTATTTCAGACTAGGTATTGAATTGAAATGAAAAGATTGTCACTTGAGTGAAAGAGCTGTGAGATATTGATATAGAATTGGTTAGTTAATAGTTAGGATTTTGCTAAATCTTCAGACCCTGTTCTTAAGCTAAAGAAAAAATACTGTAGATTACAAAGAAGCTGTTGATGACCCTTAATATTTATTTGCATGTGGATATGAGAATATACATTTGAGAACCACTAAAACTAGAAAGTGCAGATGACAAATTTGAACCAATCTGCTAAATTGCTTGCATCAAGCCAACATTATATAATTTTCTGTTATGTAAAACCATCCCTTATAATTTATAGATACTGTTCTATGGCCATGTTTATTAGACCTTTTTAAAAATCAAATGATTTCTGGTTAAAACTATTTCTGTTCTTTCCATTTTCTACCTAGACATGCAGATGGAATATTGATTTTGTGGAGGCATTGGTTAAAATAAAAACTTTAGACAAATTGAATCTAACAGTTTAAGCAAGGAAAAGGAAACAGTTTATGATTTGGGCTGCCCTGAGAATTAAAACAGATTTGGAGAGACTCCAGGGCTGTGGCATGGTCAGATAAGATTTATGGACAGAAAAAGGAGAGTGATGTACAGAAAACAGAAGTGAGGTACAGAAACGCTGGATTGGTTACAGCTCTGGGTTTGCCTTATTTGAACAAGGTTTGCATGGTTGGCTGCCTGTGAGGGGTTCAATACAACTTCTGTGATTGGCTGAGACTCAGCTATTGTTACAAAAGCATACTCTGAAGTTAGGTTTCCAGTTCATCTATGTACTAACGTAGGTTGTAGTTCATATGTTAAGAACTCAAGTATGTGAGTATGGAGGCTTTCTCGGGCAAAATTTTAGTTTGATTTAACACATTTTATGTTTTAAAGTTTAGTAAGAATCATTCTAACAGTGACCTGAGCAATTCATGAATGAACTTAATGTCAAATATGGCAATAGATAACATTTGGACTTTTAAAGTTTCCCCCTCCTTTTAGGTTAAAAGACTATATGAGCAGTTAGACTTTTGCAGAGCCCACTTTTTAATTCAGATCTTTTAGGCGTGAAGAGTTGAGCTGTAGGAGTGATGTTCTAAGTTGTTAATGATCTAACCTGCCTCCTGCCGTCCACCCCTTCTCCTGCTGTGTCAACTCTCTTAATTCCTTTGTCTCTTTTCCCTTCTCTAACCATTCTCTATTGAGTCCACCCCAGCCTGACCACTTCAGGTGTGTTTCTGAGCAGTCTCTAAGTTGATCTTGTCTGTGAGATGAAGTGTCAGGGTTTAAACTGATTCTGTAAGAAAGGTAATATTTTAATTTTAATGGAAAAGACCAGGTTGTTCATATGGGGATGCAGTCATAAAACGAACCTTATCTCTGGGAATTAATGTGAGTCACACATGAATCCTATGCCCACTGCCCCCATTCCTTGCCCATTCTGTGCCTTCTATAGCATTCCAGTTCACTAAATAACTCATAAACCCATCTAGTAATTAACTTAAAGGAATATAATTTGAAGAAACTCTGAGAAAATGCTATATAGCAGGATCTCCAAAATGTGAATATTTTTTGTGGTGTTGTTTTCCTTGCAGGGAAGCTATTGATTTGAGGAATTTGAAGGTTTCTGGAGGAAGGACTTGGAAAATTTGAAGTGAACCTCTTTTGGGAATTAAAAGGTACCAACATGCCAAGTTCTTCTCCTAGAGATTAGCTATTTCGAGATACAAAAACCTGTTAGGGAAAAAATCCAGGTGGTCCTGAGTCCCAGAGACAGAGATGAGCAATTCCTATAGAGAGAAGTGGTGTATCTGTTTTCCATTGCTGCTGTAACAAAGTACCACACATTTAATGGCTTAAAAGTCCACAAAATTACTATCTTACAGCTCTGTAGGGCAGAAGTTCAATGTGGTTCTTACTAGGCTAAAATCAAGGCATAGGGCTGTGTTCCTTTCTGGAGATTTATCTGCCTTTTACAGATTCTCAAGGCCTCCTGCACTCCTTGAGGCAAAGCCCCCTACTTCCATCTTTAAAGCCTACAAAGGCAAATTGAGTTCTTCTATCTCTCTGGTTCTCTGCAGCTAGAAAGAGCGCTCTTCCTTAAAGGACTCATTTGATTAGATTGGGTCCACCTGAATACTCTAAGATAATCTCCCCATCTTAGGTCCTTCACGTTAATCACATCTACAGAGTCTTTTTTTTTTTTGTTACATAAAGTATTCAAATTCATAGGTTTTAATATTAGAGTGTGGATATCTTTGTGGGACCATTATTCTATCTACCATTGAATCAAGGGCTACAGTGGGTTATTAGGCAGAGATGCAAGCACTTGGTCTCTGAGACAACAATCTCCAGGGATAGGATTAGGTTGAGGTAAGTGAGGTATTTTTCCAAAGTGCAAAATCTAAGGGGACACCAAAACTCAGTAATCAAAATTAATAATATTTTAAAGCAATATTTAAAAAATCAAAATATATGTAGAAAATATATGGTGAACATATCAAACTTTTAACTAACGACAGCTGTTATTTGCTTGCTTTATGGCCTTACATTAATATGTGAAGGGGCCAGTCACTTCCATCAGCCCACAGCTGAGGGTTAACAATCGTGTGCCAATGGACTGGGCAATGTGGGGCTTTAGATATTCTTATATTTTTTTGATTGTACAAATTTTATTACTATGTTCCCCTTGGTTCAAAATATGAAAAGATATGCTGATACATGTCTATATAGGTGTACATTTTTTCTTTTGCCTCAGGGTACAAAAAGGCTTCATATGGCACTGCTACAAACACTGGCATTTGTGCTTCACCAGCTTTACGCTGTGGAGAGGTAGCTGTAGAATCAAATTAAAAGATGAAAACATTGGAGCCCAATTCAGTGAAGTGAGATCCCCTTTGATGAAATAGAGGGCACCATCCCAGCACTTTGGGAGGCCAAGGTAGGCGGATCATGAGGTCAGGAGTTTGAGACCAGCCTGGCCAACATAGTGAAACCCTGTCTCTACTAACAATACAAAAATTAGCCAGGTATGGTGGCATGCGCCTGTAGTCCCAGCTACTCAGGAGGCTGAGGCAGGAGAATCTCTTGAACCTGGGAGGCGGAGGTTGCAGTGAGCCGAGATCACGCCACTGCACTCCAGCCTGGGCAACAGAGGAAGACTCTGTCTAAAAAAAAATGAAAGAAAGAAAGAAATAGAGGGCACCAGGAAGAACTGCCGTACGTTGGTAGGACTCTGTATCAATGTCAGTATCATTAACTGCAGCAGTATTATCCCACCCCTAAGACCTGATTCACAAGGACAAGTTCCATCACTAGCAGCTATAATGGGTTTCCTTATTAGCACCACAAGGAATCTCTGGCCTCCTTTTTTCATACTATTTGGGAATCTCCTTCCAGCTCAAGGCAGTTAATCTGATGCATAGCTCCAGCCACAAGAAGGAAAACTACAAGAGTGGCCCTTTAAATTCCCAAATTCCTGTCCTTGAGAGTTTTTTGTTGTATTGTGACATGGTGATAGAGATTGAGGTTATTAAACTAGTTTGATATGCTCTGGGAATATTGGTGTAGAACATGATTTGCTCTTTGGGCTGGAATATTTAGACACTAGTTTCAAATGTGTAACACTCTGGTACCAAATTTCATAAAAACAGGAAGCAATTATGGGTGACCTCAGACTGTAAATCCAATCACCATAGGGGATTTTATGATTTTTTTCATGAGTGAGGATATGAAATGTATGTTAAGCCTAATGACAGTTTCTGGAATTCTGAGGCATCATTTCACTTTAGTCCCAGTCAATCTCACTTTTTCTCCCTAAGATACTCTTTCTCATCATTCTTTATCTGTATGTTAAATTCATTGTCTTTGTTCCTCAGTAGTTTGATATGCTTAGGAATGATTTTCTTTGTATTTATCCTGTGTAAGGGTTTTTTGAGCTCCCTGAAGCTGACATATTTCTCAAATTTGGGAAAATGTTTGCATTATTTCTTCAAATACTTTTTGTGCTGCTCTGTGTTCTCTCCTTCTGAGATTAGTTGATATGTACTGCAAATCACAGATAATTTTTTCCATCTTTTTTTCCATGTGTTCTACAGTCTGGAGAATTTTGTTGACCCAGCATCAAGTTCACTGATCTTTTTTGTTGTGTACAATCTGCTATTCAGCACATCCAGTAAGTCTTTTATTTCAGAAATTGTACATTTCAGGTCTAAAATGTCCTCTTCCTTTCTTCTGAGATTCTGTCTGCATTCTCATGTTCATCCCTCAAGTCCTCTAAACAGATTTATAATTTTTTTTTTAAAGTCTTTGCTATTTCTAACATCTGGATCATTTTTAGTTCTCTTTCTATTGACTGCTGTAAACTCTTATGTATTAAATTATCTGCTTCTTTACATATCTAGTAATTTTTATTATATGTTGGACACTGTAGATTTTATGTAGTAAAGAGTCTGGATAATGTTATTTTCCTTTAGAGATTATTGTTTTGTTGTGGCAGATAGTCAAATTACGGGTATATCTTATTAACACTCTCAGGCTTTGTTTTTATGCTTTATTAGGGTGGGTCTATTTCTGTTCTGCCCTTAGTGTCTGAGGATATGACTCTTCCTGTAGGGCACAGTCTTTCTGGGAGCCATGTGAATGCCTGAAATGCTGAATGAGGTCCATTTACTGTTGCAGGGCCAGAATTCCAGCAGCATCTAGAACTGCATAGCCTCCAATATTTTTGCCCAGCTTTCAGCCCCACAGCAGCCATTTTCTGCTTTGCTTCTTAGTAGTTCTCACTGTGCTAGACATCCTAGTTCTCAGCCATTAGCCTATGGAGAAACTCATGGAAACTTCTGCTGTTTCTGTCCTCTGTGCAGCTTCCTATTCTCTAATACTTTGCCTTGCAAATTAAATCCAACTCAGCAATCCTGAACTTTTATTTCTGTCTCCTTAGCTCCTGAGCAATGGAGACCAGTGCTCGTTAGCTGGGTTCTAGTACTCTTTACTGAGGCCAGGGGACTTCTCACAAGCAGGAAGGCCCAAGATCATCCCTTACATTGACTGTTATCTGATATCTGATAAAAGTGACTAGTTTTATAGTTGTTTGTGATGGGAGGGTAAGTCTAAAACCAATTACTCATGGCCAAAAGCAGATATCTCCCTGTTATATTTGAAAGTTATTACTTCAACATGCAAATTTCAGGAATCAGAAGCCTCCTCTCACATTTTGACTATGTACTTTATAGAAAATGTACAATCTGGGAGAGGCTGATGGTTACAAGAACTATCTTTGTAGATGGGAATGAGAAGTCAAAAAGAGATGTGAGAGTGTATAACAAAAACTTAATTCCTTTTGCTTGTAATCACTCTCATTTCTCTTCTTTCCCCTATAAAAAATTCTTTTTGATAGCATTCAGTTGGGTCTTCTGCTGATATCTCTTTTCTTCCACAATACCTTCCATAGAATATTATTTCATATACTGGTTTGGACTAATTTTATTTTTTGAACATTGACATCTTTGAATTTTTACTATTTTGGCATTTGATCTCTGGCCAATAAACCCCAAATTTTCTTGCATAATTAAGCTTAAACAATCCTTCAGACCCTAGTAATGCTGCACTGGGAGTGATTCTGTGCTCATGTATGTTCCCCTATACTCCTGATTCCTGACTTACCCACCCAGTGTTTGTCAATGTCATTTCTCTTCCTTGACTATACTTGTCTATGAGGTTGTACCACCTAAGATGATACTGCCCAATTTCTGAAATGCAGCTAAACTTGTTAATGTCACATGTGTTTTCTGGGGCAGTCTGTGTGGCTGGGTCAGTTTTTTTTCCCCCATGTCCCTGCTCTCTATTCCTCTTGCTGAATAGAGCGTAATTTGGTTTCTTCCAGCTCATTACTTGCTTGCTTGCTTCCCTACCTCTTGTTACTTTGCACTGTCCACTCAGATTACTTTGCAATAGAAGATTGTGGGAGGTTGTTAGCTGAGTACATACAATTGTGTTCACATAAGACAATTCTATAGATGTATGCTGAATTTGGGAAAAGTATGGTACTAAAGCCATCTCTAATTTCCAAAACTATTAGCACATACTTTGTTAATAGTTTCTCACTATTGGCTATAGCATGTAAAAGACAACCTGATAATGTTTTTAAGTGGTTAGCACTCCAGCTATAACTTAACGTATTTCTTTGGAATTTAGGGAAATATGCCATAATGTATATGACCGATGTGACATTATTGTAAGGAAATTCTTCAACTCATTGCTGTTTACATAAATGTCAATAGTAAAGTCATTGTTTTATTACTGGTAGCAAATTACGTATTTTATAAATATTGGCAGGCTGGCCTAGCCTGACTTCAAGGTCGAGGACTAGTTCTATAAAGAATCTCCATAATGAATCATACTGGTAGCATCTGTGGACACTGCAGTCTGTGATTCCTGCTTCTCACCTCCTCTCTGATAGTTATTGCAGCTTGCAACTGGTCCAGGGAGATGGAAAGAAGATCATGTCTTATCTACTTTGCCTATAGCAGTAGCTCTCAAACTTTTGGGTGTACTAGAGTCACATGAAGTGTTTGTCAAAACACAGTACAATTTTGAATTTCTGTTCCAGTTGGTCTGAGAGGAACCTGAGAATTTGCATTTCCATCAAGTACCCTGGTGACGGTTTTTGTGGAGAACTACCCTCCTAAGATATTTCAGAATCTTCTAAACCTGAAAATCCCCTAGAACTGATTCTCCTTTTAGATACTTCTGAGATATATTGTTACTGACTCAGCTTTAGTTGACCTTCTGTGGCATTACCAAAGTCACTTAATGCTTCTGTGTTTCTATATCACTGTCTGCAAGATGGAATATGTCATCTAAGGCTTAACGATGCTTAGGCTCACATGAATAGTGCTATGGATTTGCAAGTATTTATTTTAAGGTATTATTTTGCAGACTTGGAAAATTCCCCAGGGAAGTTATGGTTAAGGCTCCATATAGAAACTGAAATCCCTATTTGGCTTCAAAATTATTCACTCTTGAGCACTGGCTTACTCAGAAAAAAAAAATCATCTTTTTGTTATCTCAGTCTCTGTGAAGTTATAGTTAAAAATAATTTTTAAAGTTAAACTTTCATAAATCCTAACGCCTGTTGATGCATTTGGTTAAACTTCACAAAATTTGAGAAAAATGTAAATGCTAAGTTAGGAAACCTTTAGTTTTTAAGGCTTGTAGATATACAAATTTAAAAAAATATAAAATATTATTGTAATAAAGTTTGTTTCATACAAACAAAATATTGATATAATAAGAACGTCACGTTACATTGAAGGATTCTTTGGGTCAAAGCTCCAGGATAAATTTGTTTTATTTTGTCATCAAGGTTTCAGCTTTGACAAATGTTTACTTTTGGCATTCTGTATCTTTAGAGTAATAACTCACTTAAGACTCAGCTTTCGTATTTGATACTGATGATAATATTACACCATCCTTCATAAAGTTGTTTTGAATCCTTAAAAAGAGTATGTTGTGAAAATATTTGGGGGCAATATTGGTTACTAGGTAGTTGAACTCTCAACCATTTAAATGCGTTGATCCTGCAATAATTATACAAACAAAATTTTTAGTGGATTGCTGCTCTTCTCAAGGTGTAAGGGAAATCTCTATGGCAAATCAAAAAACTCGAAATGTCAATTAAAAATTAAAACAAAATATGAAACAGAAAAAAACCCAGAGGTAAAAGTTAGGATTGTTCCAGTCAAAAATCTCTTATCAGTTTTTGGAGTAGAGAATAAGCCCTGGGTTAGCAGAAAGGTGAAAGAGATGAACTTGAGATTCTCATATTAATTTAAGATGCTCAAAGTGGGATAAAGTATCCTAGCTCAGTGGTACCTTCTGGCTGTCATACCTATCCCTGGAGATCAGTATTCCTATTTTAGAATCTTAGGATTTCTATAGAGTAAGTTCAACAAAACAAGTTTGTAGTAAAAATGCCCAAGGAAACTAGCCACTGTGAGTGAAAGTTGAAAGGACAGCAAACAACAGATAACTGTCAACAAGGACTTCAAATATCAGAATTTGCATATGTGGAATATAAATACCTATATAAAAATTTTAAAAAGCAAATTTAAAATAAAATACTGAAACAAGAATATGTCAAAATGGCTAGGCATATTTGAAAATCATCCACATAGAATCTCTAAATTTAAAACAAGTCAAAATTAAAAGCATAATGGATATGTTAACCACAGAGTTAATGCCATAAAGAGAGAATGACCGAATTGAAATACAGACCTAAAGAAGCTCCACTAAAAGTAGCATAGAAGTAGAAGATAAAAAATATGAAAGAAAGTTTAAGAGTCATGGGAGACATTGTAGAATGAAAGAACTAATGTGCATTTATTTGAGGAAATACCTAAAGGCACAATGGCCAAAAAAAATTTCAGACTTGATAAAATACAGAAGTCCACCCATGTGGGAATCAGAATATATCTCAAGCAGAATAAAAAATAAATTCATGTTGTGCAAAGTTTTAGCAAACTTTTAGTGACAAAGAAAAGTTCTGGATAACAACCAGAGAGAGAGGGAATACATATTACCCATAAAGGAGTAGCAAATAGTCTAACAGCAGACTTTTCAACCTCAATAATAGATGTCAAAATACAGTAGAATAATATATTCAATATGTTGGGAAAAACTATATACTCTTCAAAATTAGATTTTAAGAACAAGAATGAAATAAAGATACTTAATGTAAATAAAAACTGGCAGAATTTATGATTACAAGACCTTCATTTATAAAGGCAACATATATATTTTTTAAAAAGTTGGAAGATCTGCAAGAAAAAGTGGCAAGCAAAGACAGCAGAGCTATTTTAAGATATCTAGACAAAAATAACCTGTATAAGATATTAATTTTAATAATACCCAATTTGGGAGTTAAACATATACAACTAACCTACTAGAAAAAAATAGTATGTATATTGGGAAGTAGTGATTGAAATGAAATTATTATGAAGCTCTTGTGTTTTTAGGAAAAAAGACTGACTTTAGGCTTTGTTTAATATGCCTGATAAAATTTTAAGGGTGTCTTTCAAAAATAGAAATAGAACTTACAATTTCTAAACAAACAGAAGGAAGAATTGCAATGAGACAAAAACAGATAAACTGACAGAGAATTCAATTATTTCTTCTTCCATAAGGGAAAAGGAAACAATAGTGAGACAGATAAGAAGCACACAAGTCAAAAGAGTAAAAACAAATAAACATATATGAATAAGAAAGTATCATTTAGTTATTGCCACAAAATTAGTAACAAATCATTCTACAACTCAGTGGATTAACACAATAAGCATCTGTGTTTATGAATCTTTAGGTTTGCTGAGGGCTCTGCTGAGCTAAGGTGGTTTGGATCTGCTCCACATATCTTTCATCCTCCTTGTAGGACCAGCTGGCTAACCTAGGGATATTTTTCTAATGGCTACAGCAGAGACACATAACAAGCATAATTCAGTCCTTATGCTGTGTTACATCTGCTAAAATATTATTTTCTAAAGCAAGTCCTATGGCCAGTCCTAAGACTGCTTCCATGATATGAGGTTAAAGACATAAATATTTATAAACAATAATCTTATGCAAAGAACAATAAATGTAATTAAATTCACCAGTTATTTATACCATAAATAAATATAGGTGTAATAAATCCCCTAATTATAGCAATTTAACTATAACTGCTAAAAGTTAAAGATAGAAATTGTCAGACTGGATTGAAGGGAAATATAGAAACTTAGGGGGACTGATCATAAAAGAATGGAAAAAGAGATAACCAGGAACATACAAAACAAAATAAAGAAGTTGTGAATGTTAACCCTCTGGAATGTATGGGGGTAGTGATGAGTAGGGAACACCAGGGGGTTCCTGGGGTGCTGGAAAGATTCCATTGCTCAGTTTGGTGAATTTAAACATAGAAAAAGCAGCAAGGCAAGCAAAGCAAGTGAGCAAGCAAGCAAGCTGTGGTAGCTGTATTAAATTGAATAAAATAAAACTTAAAACACAGAGCATTTTTAAAGATAAAATAAATATTTATAAACAGTGAGAGTTTCAATTCACCAGAAGAATAACAGTACTAAACCTGTATGGGTCTAGCTAAACACCAAAATATATGAAGCAAAATATGATAGAACTACAGGAGAAATTGGCTACTAGAAAAAATTAACAGATTCACAAACTCCCTATATTTTTATTTTTAGAACATCAGACAAACAATATAATAATATGAAGAATTTGAACAACCTATCAACAAGCTTGATTTCAGGGGCACACATAGAACTGTATTTCCAACAATCAGAGAATACACATTATTTTCTACTATATCTGAAGCTTTAAATACTAGAGTTTTATTTATTTCGAAGAATGTTATACAGATCTCAGTATTATTAAGATAGAAATAAATTAAGCAATGAATTTCACAGTCTTCATCCATTTGGTAATGGATAACAAATACTTAGAGCTGACTAATAATAAAATTAACATAAAACGAAGAATATTGAATCTTTTGAAGGGGTATGTGTGTGTCCTTTAATACTTACAATAGAATACAAAAAGTCTGAAAATTAATTTGCTGGTAATTCAACTTAAGATTTTACACAAAGAATCAGTAAAATAAATTCAAGGAAAATAGAATAAAAGATAATAAATAAGATAAATTAATGAAACAGAAAACATATAATGAAGAGAAGAAAGAAAGAAGAAAGTTATTTTAATAGACAAGTAATACATATAATCCTGTGGCAGAATTTACTAAGTCACAAAGACAAAGCCAAAGCAAAATAATATTATGCATGATTTTTTAAGAAAAAAATTGAAACATAAAATGTATAGATTTGTAGAAAAATTAAAACCTATTAAAACTGACTCAATAAGAAATGGAAATTCAGATTAGTAATTTTAAACCTCCCCATATTAAAAATAGTAAGCTCAATTTTATCAATGAATTCTTTAAATTTTTAAGCAAAACAGATCATTCTAACTTCATAAAAATTCTTTTAGGTAATGGACAAAGAGGAAATTCTACACAACTTATATTCTAATACCAAAACACAGTTAAGGACTATATGTGAAAAAAAATTATGGTCTGATTTTACTCACAGATGTCAATGCCAAAATGAAAAACACAGTACTAACAAACCAAATCTAGCAGTGTATAAAAATGATAATACATTATGATCAAGTTGCATTTATCCCAGAAATATAAAGGTATTTTAACATCATAAAATCAATGAATATGTTTCCCCACATTTATAAAGGAAAAATATCATTTGCTCATCTCACTGAAAGCAGAAAATCATTTCGTGTAATTAAACATCCATTCATGATTACTACCTTTCTAACTCAGCAATATAAGTATTTATCAAAACTTTACAGCAAACACCATTCTTAATGATAAATTTTGGAAATATTCCTTTTAAAATTAAGAATAAGACAATAATTCCTTCTATTGCTCTTCCTTTTCAATATTACACTGAAGTTTCTAGTCGATGAAATATAAGTAAAATAAATGAATATGTTTTTGAAGAGAAGAAACAAAACTGTTATCTACAAATAGTATTGTTTATATGGAAAATCCAAAGAATATAGAGATAGTTTCTTAGAATAAAAATAGGTTTATTAGGAAAGTGACTAGATATGAGATCAAAAACAAAAGTCAGTTGTATTTCTAAACACCAGCAATACATAGAAAGCGAAACTTTAAACCCACCATTTTCAGTATAAACAAAAATGATAATGTACTCAGGAATAAGTGTAACAAAATATGTGCAATGCCAGTATAGAGAAAATTATAAAATTTTATTGAAATACATTAAAAAAATAAATGCAGAGAGGTGCCCATATTCAGTTAGGAAAAATCAATATTGCTAAGATGTCAATTTTCTTTAAATTAAATGAGAGTTTCAGGGAAAATCCAATCCTACTCCCAAAAGTGGTTTTTGAGGAACCTGACTAGTTTATGATAATATTTGAATAGAAGATCAAGGGGTCAAGAAGAGCCAGGGCACTCCTGATGAATAAGAATAAGGTTAAGAGAATAGCTCTACCAACTACCAGGCCTGCTATCAAGCTAAGCTAATTAAAATAGTGTGGTCTTAGTGCAAAGGTAAAAATTTGTGCAACAGTAAGTCCAGAAGTAGACCTCTTCATGTACAGAAATAAGATATATAACTGAGGTGGAGTTTTATAAATTTTACAGTGATAGTTATTTATCCATAGAGGAGAAAAGAAAATAGAATTCATTCTTATATACAAAAAAGATTTCTGGATAAATTAAATATATTAGGAAAGATAAAACTTTACAAGTAAGAAAAAAATTTAAATGAATACCTTTATTATTTCAGAGTAGAAAGGTTTCTTAAACAAAATACATAAAGGATTAACTAAATGAGAAAAGTTTGATAAGTTAAACAGCAGATCTAAGCTCTTTAGCTGGAATTCCAAAATCCATAAGGCCATGAGATGTGAAAGTTTGTTTTTATATGCAACCTCGTTTGGTGGCAAAAACAGACAACATAAGGCTATTCATAGTGTTTATTTATAGCAGATGTAAATGTTCACCCATTGTGCCCTGGGATATATTGATGAGTTTGACTACTGAATTCTCTCTAGACTCTGTTGGGAATAATCATAATATATAAGATATGCCCTATATAATCTTTCTGAAATTGATAAAAACAATCTGAATCTGAAATACATCTGGTCCTGAGGTTTTTTAATAATGGATATGGACCTGAATATTAACATTAAGAATGAGAAACACATGCATTGTTATGTATATGTTAGCTGGATTTAGCCATTCTACAATGTACACATACTTCAAAACATTGTTTTGTATATGATAAATATAGAGAATTTTTATTTGTGAATTAAAAATAAATTTAAAAAGAGAAACATATTTCAGAATAATTGGTGATAAGGAGGTAAGAGAAGATATTAGAGGACTGCACAGGTACTTTGGTATATAGGGTAGGTAATATTTAGGTAAATGGGGTAGGGGGTCATGATTTTACTTTGTTTCAACACCTTCCATGTATGTTACATGTATGAAGTGTGTTATATATTACATAATACGTAAGTGCAATAACTCAGAAACAGTGAAATATCACATGTTCTCATAGTTGGGAGCTAAATATGTGTACACGTGGACAGGTTGTGGAGTAATAGACATTGGAGACTCTCAAGGGTGGGAGGAGGGAGGATCCTGAGGGAAGAAAAATTACCTAGTGGGTACAATGTACATTATCCAGGTGATGGTTACACTAAAAGCTCAGACTTCACTACTACACAATATATCCACGTAACTACACCAGAAAATTCAAATTATCTATAAATATCACATGAAGAAATGATTAAATATATTATGAAAATATGTCTGGAAGTTTTGTGTTACTTGAATAAAATGCTTCATTCAGAGAAATGATCTGACATTTCTGTGGTCACTACCAGCTCAAAAGAAAGTAATACTCTGTCGGTAGGTGTCTGAGTTTATTAAACCTATTTTGCCACTCAGTTGATATAAAGATATTTTTAGTAGATTGTAAACAAGAAAATCATGCATTGTTAGCTAAGTTGCCTCACATATTAATTTGCTCAAACTTTGATATTTGGTTTCATGCATTCTGTTTCTATGAACATCTTTTTGTTTTTATATTTTCAATAACTAAGGAATTTTAAGAGCATTATTTTAAATATATATACTTGTCACATTAAATATCTTGAGTTTTTATGTATATATACAAAGTTTTATTCCTTTTGTTCTAGTTGTTGGATGGAACACTAACTGTATTATTGTATCAAATAAATATCTCTTGTGGACCATAAAATAAAATGCAGATTGAGAATGTTTTAATTCTTTATTCTTTTTCATTTTTTAAAACAGATGATTTTTCTTCTCACAAAATTGATGTCATGGCTCTTGTCTTAAGCTACTTTTAAAAAAAATTGACCTGGTGCAATGTTCGTCCATGTGCACTAGAAATCCTAAACAAGAATATCAACTGTCCTTATTCTTAAACGTTAAAATGGTGGATGCTTAATGGATGGGTTGTCTTCGTATTATAAACAATGTGAATTGACCAGTTGAAAACAACTCGTCACTGCGAAGGTTTTGATTTATCTCTCCTCTTTTCAGATATGGGCTAATTATTCCATAGATAACCTCATCTCTTTCAAAGCAGGAGCCTGACTATTACGCCTCTTGTGTTGTGAATTTAATGCCATGGTAAAGAACACCCACTGCAAACCACAAAACAGCATTGAGTCGGAGAGAGAGAAAAGCTGCCAAAGCAGTTAATGTGATCTGGTTTGACAACCTTGGTTCCTGAATCAGGCATTCTTCCACAGGGTTTGGGCACTTAGGCTGTGAGCGGGAGGTGTTTAAACAGACAGCATCTGCCTCAGCAGCCAGCCTTCCTGCTGGCTCTCAACAGGAAGGGCATTCATCTCCTTCACATGTCTTGTGCATTAATTTAGCAAAACAGTCGTCCTGCTGGTAAGCCAAAGTAATCAGAACACACAGGAGATGAGACTTCAAAAAGAATCTGGAGCCATTTGAACAACTCTAGGACTGTCATTGGCATGCTTTGGGGCATATGTACTCAAAATGTGTAGACACCTCTTTGGAATCGGATTTTTGCCCAGATCATCAGGGATTACACTTATCTGAGGAATCTCCAGCCCCCTGGCTGAAATGCAGAGGAGAATTGCCCATAACGTGCCCTCAGGGCATAGGAGATTCCACAAGATGGGGATATTCTCAAAGGAAAGTAGAGTAGCCCTCCTAAAGGGACATTGATAAGCCTTTACCTTGCAGCGACTACTATCATTTTTTTTCTCCTTTCCTGCAAGAGAAGAGATCACACAGCAGATGATCTTGAACTTATTTACAGACTTATTGTAGAAAATAAAGCATTATTAAGATTAAATCTAACACTCTATGCAGGTTTTCTTCAAAAGGGTCAAAATATTCTCTATAATTTGCAATAGTCTGCTTTGTAAAAAAAAAAAGTACAGTTAAATATTTTGTTTCTTTTTAAAAATTAATAAACTGTTGAAAATTAGAAGTAAATACTAGTCACCATGAAAGAAGAACTAATATTTTTTTAACCTCCTAATCATCAGCTAGTATGTTCTCTAGACTCTAGAGATTTTAAGGAACTTAATTTATATCTACATGATTTTACATTATTACTTTATGTATGCTTCTATGGAGTTTTCTTTATTTATTAAAATATCATATAATCCTTGAAATATTTAAGGGCCACATCAGTAGAGCTCCAGACTCTCCAAGTTCAAATCCCAGAGGCTTTGCTTACTAAACTATATGACCTTGATCAAATTGCTTAAAGTTTTTTTGGTATTTTTCATCTTTAAAATAGTATATTATAAATAGCTATTTGATTTCATGTGATCGTCATGGGAATTAAATGGGCTAAACCATATAAAATGCTTAGAACTATTGAACTGGTACATAACTAGGTCCTCAGTATTCATTAGCTATTATTTTTATCTCCTCCTCAGTTCAGCACTTAAAAATTCTTACTCTCCTTTCACAATACCACACTTTTTTTTTAAATGAAATATGGCTCTGTAGAAAAGTTTTGCAATAGGAAACTTAAGCCAATTTTTAAAAAACCTAGCTTTAAAATAACCAGTGAAATGAAGCCGGTAAACAAATGATACTATTAAAATTTCCTTTTTATCACTTTAATTATCAGGAAAGGCTTCCATTTTTGCTTACATGGATTTTGAAAAACAACAAGTTTCTATGTAGAATCATAAGATATTAACCGAGTAACTTGTATTTTATTCTGATCTAGTGAGGTAGGTAAAGTTTTACTCCCTACCCAAGCCCACTTTAAATAGAGTAGCTTCAATTTTATGCATTTTTAATAGTTGAGCTCCTGTGAAATTTGCATTTGAATGAAAGGTATCTCATCAACTAGAATAACTAAAAATTTTGAAAACTTCATATTTAGTCCACACATCTCATTTAATAGATGAGAAAACTGAGGAGCTGAGAAATGATATAACTTGTTGACTGGATGGGATGTGCCCTCCCTAGAAGGCATGGGAAAAAGAATCAACTGAAAACAATTTGTAGATATTTTCTGTTCTTTATCTTGAATATGTAAAAAATTCCAAGCTATAAGCACTTTTATTATTATTATTATTTTACAATATCTCACTCGATAGCTACAAAACATAAATATGGAGAGTCAATGTGTTAAGTTAAACACGTAAATTATGAAACAGAATTTCTGTTCATTTTGTTAAACAATTGAGTACTTATAGAGTATAGGATTTTTACAATTATTATTATACTTTAAGTTCTAGGGTACATGTGCACAACGTGCAGGTTTGTTACATAGGTATATGTGTGCCATGTTGGTTTGGTGCACCCATCAACTCATCATTTACATTAGGTATTTCTCCTAATGCTATCCTTCCCCCAGCCCCCTACCCCCTGACAGGCCCAAGTGTGTGATGTTCCCTGCCCTGTGTCCATGTGTTCTCGTTTTTCAACTCCCAACTATGAGTGAGAACATGCGGTATTTGGTTTTCTGTCCTTGTGATAGTTTGCTTCGAATGGTTTCCAGCTTCATCCGTGTCGCTACAAAGGACATGAACTCATCCTTTTTATGGCTGCATAGTATTCCATGGTGTATATGTGCCACATTTTCTTAATCCAGTCTATCATTGATGGACATTTGGGTTGGTTCCAAGTCTTTGCTATTGTGAATAGTGCCACAATAAATATACGTGTGCATGTGACTTTATAGTAGCATGATTTATAATCCTTTGGGTATATACCCAGTAATAGGATTGCTGGGTCTAATGGTATTTCTAGTTCTAGATCCTTGAGGAATTGCCACCCTGTCTTCCACAATGGTTGAACGAATTTACACTCCCATCAACAGTGTAAAAGCATTTCTGTTTCTCCATGTCCTCTCTAGCATTTGTTGTTGCCTGACTTTTTGATGATTGCCGTTCTAACTAGCGTGAGATGGTATCTAATTGTGTTTTTGATTTGCATTTCTCTGATGACCAGTGATGATGAGCATTTTTTCATGTGTCTGTTGGCTGCATAATGTCTTCTTTTGAGAATGTCTGTTCATATCCTTCACCCACTATTTGATGGGGTTGTTTGTTTTTTTCTTGTAAATTTGTGTAAGTTCTTTGTAGATTGAGGATATTAGCCCTTTGTCAGATGGTAGATTGCAAAGATTTTCTCCCATTCTGTAGGTTGCCTGTTCACTCTGATGATAGTTTCTTTTACTGTACAAGCACTTTTAAAATATATTTCTACAAATTGTAGAGAAGCAAGAATGCATCAATTTTTAAATATTTTTCTCTGCATGACATATTTAATACATATCATGACATGTTATGTTTTTACGTGAATGATTTTGTTTAATATCTTTGAACAATATTCTATGCAGCTTTTTTTTTTTTAAATTCTTATTTTACAGATGAGGAATGTGAGGCCCAGGATCACGCAGTTAGGGGTGAAGCTATGATTCAAACCCAGCCTGACAGGCTGCAAAATACATGCTTTTAATCAGCCCTGTATTAAAAGGAAGACCACAGAAGTGTTAAGTCACCTATGTCTTCAGTAATGAATTTATAATTTGAATCTTCTGATGGCTTAATAATCATGATAAAAATTATTTGAAGTATAATGAAAACAAAAGCATGCAGTGGGAAACAAGTAATTGAAAACTAAATATAATGTAAGATAAAAACATTTTACTCACAGGAATGACTAGTGATGGGAATTTTAGATACCCTATTGTCCTAATGGGAAAAGCCATTTTTAATCCCTCTGTCTCCTATCAAATAAACTATTGCTTACTCCACCCAACTTCCTAGTGGAGGACCAGCCAGATACCTTCTAAACCAGGTATTTGCAGAAAATGCTCCTTTTTTATTTTATTTTATTATTATTATACTTTAAGTTTTAGGGTACATGTGCACAATGTGCAGGTTAGTTACATACGTATACATGTGCCATGCTGGTGTGCTGCACCCATTAACTCATCATTTAGCATTAGGTATATCTCCTAATGCTATCCCTCCCCCCTCCCCCCACCACACAACAGTCCCCAGTGTGTGATGTTCCCCTTCCTGTGTCCATGTGTTCTCATTGTTCAGTTCCCACCTGTGAGTGACAATATGTGGTGTTTCGTTTTTTGTTCTTGCAATAGTTTACTGAGAATGATGATTTCCAATTTCATCCATGTCCCTACAAAGGACATGAACTCATCATTTTTTATGGCTGCATAGTATTCCATGGTATATATGTGCCACATTTTCTTAATCCAGTCTATCAGTGTTGGACATTTGGGTTGGTTCCAAGTCTTTGCTATTGTGAATAGTGCCGCAATAAACATACGTGTGCATGTGTCTTTATAGCAGCATGATTTATAGTCCTTTCGGTATATACCCAGTAATGGGATGGCTGAGTCAAATGGTATTTCTAGTTCTAGATCCCTGAGGAATTGCCACACTGAATTCCACAATGGTTGAACTAGTTTACAGTCCCACCAACAGTGTAAAAGTGTTCCTATTTCTCCACATCCTCTCCAGCACTTGTCGTTTCCTGACTTTTTAATGATTGCCATTCTAACTGGTGTGAGATGGT
This sequence comes from Homo sapiens, assembly GCF_000001405.40. NCBI lineage: Eukaryota > Metazoa > Chordata > Mammalia > Primates > Hominidae > Homo > Homo sapiens. Next base: position 94,219,647 of record NC_000007.14, on the reverse strand, counting down.
ATCTCATTGTGGTTTTGATTTGCATTTCTCTGATGGCCAGTGATGGTGAGCATTTTTTCATGTGTTTTTTGGCTGCATAAATGTCTTCTTTTGAGAAGTGTCTGTTCATGTCCTTTGCCCAATTTTGATGGGGTTGTTTGTTTTTTTCTTGTAAATTTGTTTGAGTTCATTGTAGATTCTGGATATTAGCCCTTTGTCAGATGAGTAGGTTGCAAAAATTTTCTCCCATTTTGTAGGTTGCCTGTTCACTCTGATGGTAGTTTCTTTTGCTGTGAAGAAGCCCTTTAGTTTAATTAGATCCCATTTGTCAATTTTGGCTTTTGTTGCCATTGCTTTTGGTGTTTTGGACATGAAGTCCTTGCCCATGCCTATGTCCTGAATGGTAATGCCTAGGTTTTCTTCTAGGGTTTTTATGGTTTTAGGTCTAACGTTTAAGTCTTTAATCCATCTTGAAATAATTTTTGTATAAGGTGTAAGGAAGGGATCCAGTTTCAGCTTTCTACATATGGCTAGCCAGTTTTCCCAGCACCATTTATTAAATAGGGAATCCTTTCCCCATTGCTTGTTTTTCTAAAGTTTCTAACACTTGTCATCCCATTAATGATGTTCTTGTCTCCTGACCACAAGTAGGATTAAAAAATACGATCTCCAGCTATGGCCCTAGAGTTAGTCATATGAAGTTTATTGTGATATTTCTCAGAAGACACATTTTACGTCTTATAACCAATGAACAATTTAATTCTTAAAATTTTCCAGTGAGAAGTTTTTCTTTTAAGTGTGGCTTGCTGTTTAGTGTTTTTTAGTGAAAAGAGGGATTTAATTATTGCATCCATCCTGTAAAAGATAGTAGGATTTTGAGGTTAACAGAGCAATTCATTTCTGACCTAGGAAAGATTGTAAAATTGGGTGATAACCCCCACCCCTTGAAGAAGTCAGTAGGGGTAGGTAAAACTCAGTGTCTACAACCACCCCCACCAAAAAAGGAGGGGAGTTAAGATCTACTCAAGCTTTTATTATCTTGAGCAAATAGTGATTACGAAAAGCCTTTAACTCTTTCCCTCATCACCCCATCATGACAATCACTCCTCCCACCCACAGCAGGTAGAATATACCTTCTCCTACTGTATAAATATCTCCACAATTTTTAAAACTTAGACTATCCACTGAAGCTAATATGGTCCCTGTTATATTCTGGTAGCACTTTCATTTTAAAAATAGGGAGGGAGAGTTGTTTCATTACAGACTGGTCATAAATGCTCAATTGCCTATAGAAAGAATCAAGAGTCAAAATGATCTACTAATCAGCAGCTGTACATCCAGATTTAGAAGGCAATCCAGACTTGAAGCTTTGGAACAGTCACTGTTTTGTGTTGCACTTTCCAAGGAAGGAACTAAGAACTCAGTATAGATCATGCCGAAAGTTGGAGATGGGCTTATAGAATATAAAGAACTCAGAGTGACATCTCTTCCCAAATTGTGTCTCAGAATTTCCTTCAATTCCTTGAAATCTCTGACTCTCCTGTGTGTCTAAAATACTAGAGTCCATGGACTACCCCCATGGCACACATTTCATTTGAAATGGCAAAAGTTCCTCTCTTATTAGGACTAGGTTGTAGTCAGTGAAATTACTATTCCCTATAGCTAACAGCACTGCTGTGGTGTGCTTAGTAAGTAATTAACCTGCCAGTTATATAAGTATTTAGACTTTGGTACGAGAGCAAACTCAACAGGTGATGGCAATTTTCATTAATAACTTTTCATGCTCTATAGGAAATGGTTAATTTTTCTTTTATTCCCCAGCTTTATTGATGCGTAATTGACAAAAATTATATATAAAGTGTACAATGTGATTATTTGATATACATATATATTGTAAAATGATTTCCACAATCAACCTATTTAAAATATCCATCACCTCACATAGTTACTGTGTGTGTGTGTGTGTGTGTGTGTGTGTGTGTGTGTGTGTGTGTGTGGTGTGAGAATACTTAAGATGTACCTGCTTAGAAATTTTTTCTAGGAAAAATGTGGTTATTAACTTTAATATTCTTTATGTTTGGAAAGATAAATATATTTTCAATTTCCAAAGTTCAGTTAGAAAGAGCACTTTCTAGGGATTTTAAAAAGTTGTCAAGCTCAATTTCCTCTAGGGAACCCTGCCATAACTTCATCCAGCATTTAAACAGTAAGCAGATTAAAAAAGAAAAAAAAACAGTAGATAGATTTTAAAACCCTTTTGTTATAGCATGCAATTGCTGCTATATTTGGCACACCCAGCAGGGACTTGCTATTCAGTAACAAAGAAGGGCAGTTTATCTGGTTTGCTCATTTTAGGCACTAGAATCGTAACTACAGTGACGATTGAAATCAGGTGCTTGAATTCCATCTATAATAAGATCCAAGAGTTCTTCTATTATGAAATTCATCATGATAACTAAATGAGATTGGCTGAAATAGCACTGAACAATGGACTCTATACAAGTGATACACATTTAGTGGACAGCATGACTAAAAATAATAAACAGTGGAACTCTGATAGCGACTTCCAGTCATTTCTCAATAAGAATTCATGAAGACATAACTAGATAAGGCCAAAGAACATATTGTCCTCATTCCTGTCTTCTTTCTAATTTATCTACTGTTTTTCTCCCTAACTCATCTGTTTCACCATCTTCTATCAGGCAGTGGAATTGTACTTCCATGGATATGCACCAGTTTGTTTAGTTTGAGCAGCTAGCACAATCTTTGGCACTTGTTAAGTTTTCAATAAACAAGTCTAGTGAGTGAGCACAGTTCTTTACTAGATTCACGGTCCTTATTGTCTTTCTGGTGTCGTCCCCATTGCTAAAGCCTTGGGCTTTGTCTTGGACTACATGTTATTTCTCAGCTAATTCTGAGATATTGGAATGGTGGAAATATTTTTTTTTCAAATTTAATTTGTTTTGCTTATTTAAAAAGTAATACTATTGGACAGTAATACTGTTTGTGGAAGTAAGTATAACTGTTTATTGTATTTTGAAAATATACTCAAGCATATTGAAGAAAAGAAGCATGATCCGTGATGTCACTGCTCACAAATAAATGCTTATTATTTTGAGAATTTTCATTTCTGTTATCTTATGTGCTTATGGACTATATGATATATTTAATTGAGCTAAAACTAGAATTATAATTTTATAGCTTGATTTTTTTGATTTAATATCATAGAATATTTCCCTAGGTTGTTAATTATTCTTCAAATCATTGGGTTTTAAATAAGTGGCTCTGGTATTTTATATTTACTTTATCATAGGAATTTTCATATTTTTTTAACCATTCTCTATTTGTTCCAATTATTTTCTTTGCTGTTGAAAATTATGTTTTAACCAGACTTTCTGAACTTAGACCCCTATATTTCTCCTACAATGCTTCCTTAGGATTAAATTCCTAGAAATGGAAATTTTGAGTTACAGAAAAAGAATATTTTAAGGAAGATGCAAACTGCTGAATTTATTCGGAGGGAGATTGTACCAATTTACATTGACTGGGCATTTTTCTTTCATGTAAAGATTAGCTGGTAGCTAGGATTCAAAATGAAAAAGGAACCACCATGGCACAGAAGCATAAAACCTAGACTGCTACATGCTGCCCTGTCTTACACATCACCTCAATTTGTAGCAGCCTGGGGTTAGGCTAGTTCATCATTTCATACCCATTGTTACTTAGGCTTTAACTGTTTATTAATGTTATTTTATTTTTTTACAAGGTGGGGTCTCAGTATGTTGTCCAGGCTAAGCTCAAACTCTTAGACTCAAGCGATCCTCTTGCCTTGGTCTCCCAAAGTGCCGGGATTACAGACATGAGCCATTGCACCTGCCCCCGCCTTTTTTTTTTTTTGAGAAGGCTCTGTTGCCCAGGCTGGAGTACAGTGGTGTGATCTTGGCTCACGGCAACCTCTGCCTCCTAGGTTCAAGTGATTCTACTGCCTCAGCCTCCTGAGTAGCTGGGATTATAGGAGCCTGCTACCATGCCCAGCTAATTTTTTGTATTTTTAGTAGAGATGGGGTTTCTCCATGTTTTCCAGGCTAGTCTCGATCTCCCGAGGTCAGATGATCTGCCCGTCACCTCAGCCTCCCAAAGTGCTGGGATTACAGGCGTGACCCACTGTGCCTGGCCTCCTATGAAATTTTTTCTAGAAATCACTGTTTCCAAGACTGGAGTGTTATCGTTTTCACAGTTTGCCTTTTTTTCGCTGCTTAGTGCCAAAGTGCACAAAGGCTGTATAATCAAATTCACAGATAGGGTCATGGTTCAATTACTATAGTCAACATTTGTGCCTAGAAAGCTACTGGGACTGTAATCTATTGTGTGTGCTTAGAGAAAGTGCACATTTACTCCTTTGAAATGTCATCAAATATAATGCGTTTAATAGACTAAAGCAGACCATACCTGTCAATAATCAAGTGGAGTAGGAGCGATGATTGGCAAAGTTTAAATTCACACAATGTGAGTTTGCAAATATGTTGGATAAACAGTTAAAGCTGAGAGTCCCACACCATATCATACGAACAAACAGTACTCAAGTTGTTTCAAGTTATTGTTTCCTAGAATAATAGATGAAGCTATGCCATGCATGGATATTCATGAAATTGTTGCCCACGACTGAGGAAGAACTTGTCTATAGCCCAATTTAGATCCACAGCTTCTAGCGTCCCTTGTTATGCCTCAGAATACAGTTTGAGTAGATGGCATTGAGTTAGGTACACAACAAAATTTAACTTTTTATTTTTAACAGAACAGTCAAGGGCATGTCTTCTATTGCTCTTTTCCTTCCTTATTATCTAACTTATCGACAATATGTCTCAGATGCACAAGTGTAGAGAGGGGAAATGCATGCTTCTAAGGAGGAATAGGCTCATATGGCATAGAATCGTAGGATGAAGGACTGACTCTGGGAGCCATCTAAAATAATTCTCTGTGATAAAACAATGCTGTACCAGAGTTAGGATAATTTCCGTTTTCTTCAGGCAATTCACAGATTCTACCAATGTTTACTGACTGATTGCTATTTACCTAAAAATTCTTCTAGGTGCAGTGATAAAACTGTGAGAGAAAACAGATCTGTCTTTTCCCTTATGTCCTTGTGATCTAGCATGGAGGGGGAGACACTCATCACATCATTGCACAAACAAATGTATAAATGCAACTGTGGAGAGGGCCAAGACAGATAATGAAGGGATTTAAACTGCTGAGAAGATTAGGGAAAGATTCCCTGAGAACATGTCACTTGAGTTGAGAACAGAAAGAAAGATATATAGGTGTCTCAGTCCACTTGGACTGCTATAACAAAATACCTTAGACTGAATGACTTATAAACAACAACAAAAAGTTATTTCTCATGGCTCTGGAGGCTGAAAAGTCTTAGATCAAGGCACCCACAGATTCAGATTCAGTGTCTGACATGAGCTTGCTCTTTGCTTCAAGATTGTGTCTTCTTGCTGTGTCTTGTGGTGAAAGGGGCCAAGGTGCCCACTGGAGCTTCCTTCATAAGAGACTCTAATCCCATTCATCATGATGGAACCCTCATGACTTAGTTACTTCCCAATGACCCCATTTCTTAATGCTATCATATTGGGTACTAGGTTTAAACAGGTGAATTTTGGGGGGACAGTAACATTCAGACCACAGCAATAGACATTAACTAGGTAAGGAGAGGATAGATTTCTCCATGTGTTAAAGGCTTAGCTGAATGTGAAATATAACCAGAGAAGTAAGAGGCAGGCCATGCGAGGCCTCCTAGGTCAAGTCACATATTTTCATCTTGATTTTCAGAGTAAATGGGGAGACATTGAGAAATTCAAGTAGAATGCATGGAAAGGGGGTAATATTATCAACTCTATAATTTGAAAAGATCACTCTAGTTTTAGCATGAAGAACAGATTAGAGTCAGGGTAAATGGAGTTCAATAGGTAGAAGACCACTGTACTAATCCAAAAGAGTTTTCGGTAGCTTAGACTAGAGTGGTGATGGTGTAGACTAGGAAAAGTGGACAATGCTGAGGGATGTTTAGGACATGAGATGAACAGAACTTGATAGGAATTTGGAATGAAGGTGGAAGGAAAGTGATATGTCAATAAGAACACATAGGCCTCTGGTTTAAGGAGCTGCATGGACAGTGGTACCATGTCTTGAATTTAAAAATAATGGAAAATCACCATGTTTGGGGGAATATTTTGTGTTTGGTTTTGAACATGTATTGAAAGGTCTTTGAAATATCCTGGAGGAGATGTGTAGGTAGTCGAATATGGTACTCTGAGCTCAGAGGAAACATGGGCTTGAGGTACAAGTTTGAGTCAAGTGAGTATTAGATATTGAGGCTGTGGATGCAGCTGAATTTACCAGGATGTGAGTTTAAGTGGGTGAAAAGACAATAAGGTCTAGGATTAATCAGCTGTATTCAAAAGGCAATCTTTGTCATCTGGGCTATTAGATAATGAAGCTTCTTGAGTTTTATTCTTAGGCCTTCTCTTTTCATCGATCAAGAGATCATAGTATTTCATGAAGGAAACAGTGGTCAGTGGTGTCAGATCTTGTTGAGAAATCAAATGAGATGAGAACTGGGAAATGGTAGTTGAGTTAAGTGTTATTTTGGACATCTGTTGCTTTCTTGAGAATTGTTTCAGGGTAGTCATGTGGCCATATGTTAGATTGGATTAAGCTGTGAAGCAGTGAATGAGCAGTGAATAACTAAAACAAAGTTCAGACAACTTGAGAAGTCTGGCCATGAAGGAAAGAAGAGACTGGGGCAGTAGTTGGAGAAGAATAAATAATTGATGAGGATTTTTTGATTTTCATATCAAGAACTTAGGTTGTATAAAACGAATAACAAAGTCCAACTGAGGGAGAGAGATGTATATATGGAAGAGAGGAAAACTAGTCAGCAGTACAAGGTTCTTAACCATTTGGGAAAACATTGAGCCAGAGCACAAGTAATGGAGAATGTATATTTAGCTAGGAAAAGAAACAGCTTTTTTATTTTTCTCAGTGGTGAGAGAAACTAAGATAACTGAAAATGTAGATGTGTGTTGGTTTGATATCAAGGACGTGATGTAAATTCCATCTGATGGTTTCTATTTTCCTTGTAAAATTCCTATATCTTTACGAAAAGGAGATTTGCTGTGTTTGAGAGATGAAGAGAGTGGTTTGAAGAGAGTGGAAAACTTTTAACATAGTCATTGAGGTGAGTGTGAGAGTGAATGAGCCAGAGAAAGCTGATGAGATTATTAGGCAATGCTGAAGGCACCACTTGAGGCTGGTGATTATGGGTTTACAATGGAGCCAATTTGGCCTATTGTGTGATTTTGCCTGGCTGCACTCAGCTGCTGAGAGGCAGGCATCAAAAAAGCAGATAGTCACACACATTCAGTTTTGAGGTTTCCTTAGAAGGCAGTAATGGATAAATCAGAAAGGCAATGAAATTTATAGCATTGTCAAGAATATTATTGAAACAATGGAACATGTACTCTAAATGATCTCAGAAGCAAAATGAAGAAAGAGGGAGATAAATTGGGAGGAAATACAGGGAACATTAGCCTGGAGACAATGACAAAGTCAAAGACTTGTTATAACAGAAGCAATTAAAAATACCAAGCTGTAAGGAGGAGAGCTAGTGGTCAAAGTTTATGAATAAATACATTTCAATTATTGCTTTGGACATAAAGAAGTCTGAAGCAAGATTGTGCTCATTGGAGATGCAGAGACTGAGAACCTAAGAGGTCAAAACATTGGGCCAGGTAATTGGAGAGGACTTGGATGACACACAGGGATGGTATCTTGGAAGTGGTGGAGACAATTACAAGCCAGGACTCAATTCCCCTAGTGACCTACAGACAGTGATCCTGACTTTGGAAGATGGAGATATTTAAGAGATGGAGAGTTTGATGCGATTGAATGGTGTAAGCCTCAAAGGAGTATTTTTTCTTTTCTCATTTTATTCTTTCCTTTCCTTTTCCTCATAAAAAAATAAGGTAATAACAATCTGAAAGTAGCAATGGAGAAAAAGAATGTCAATCCTAGTTCCTAGATTAAGAGTATGTGTGATATGAGAAGATCATTTGCAGTTAGTTATCCCTTGAGAACTTGAGAGCCTTCTAAGCTGAGAGCCAGGTTCTAAATACAGCAGAAGGTAGACGGAGCATTCAGAAAGAAGGTCAAAGATATAGAAGAATTAGGTAATTCTGGAATAATAATTAGAGAAGGTCTAATGGGAGAGTATGAAGGATGGGATAAAGCAAGAGGGGCTGGATCAGGGACAAGAAAGTGCACAGTATTATGGTATGTGGAGGATTGAGACTGGAGGTCTTCTATTTTGAAAGTTTAAAAGGCTTTAATCTCAAAAGAACCCGTGATAAGGGTGAACCCTAGGCCCAGTGGCTGGGGTTGGGGATGGGGGTAGTTTTCTCACAGTGGAAAGTTCATGGTGGGACCAGAAACTACAAATTCTACATGCTTTTCCTGACTGTTGACAGACTCAGAACTTCAGATTTCAAACGCAGCACAGGATCTGAAAGGCCTCTTTCATTCCTTTTTAAAAATACTTCCGGCCGGGCGCGGTGGCTCACGCCTGTAATCCCAGCACTTTGGGAGGCCGAGGCGGGCGGATCACGAGGTCAGGAGATCGAGACCATCCTGGCTAACACGGTGAAACCCCGTCTCTACTAAAAATACAAAAAATTAGCCGGGCGTGGTAGCGGGCGCCTGTAGTCCCAGCTACTCGGGAGGCTGAGGCAGGAGAATGGAGTGAACCCGGGAGGCGGAGCTTGCAGTGAGCCGAGATCGCGCCACTGCACTCCAGCCTGGGCGACAGAGCGAGACTCCGTCTCAAAAAAAAAAAAAAAAAAAAAACTTCCTATTGGTTGGGCATGGTGGCTCATGCCTATAATCCCAGCGCTTTGGGAGGCCGAGGTGGGTGGATCCTCTGAGGTCAGGAGTTTGAGACCAGTCTGGCCAACATGGTGAAACACCATCTCTACTAAAAATACAAAAATTAGCCAGGCATGGTGGCGCGCGCCTGTGGTCCTAGCTACTCACGAGGCTGAGGCAGGAGAATCACTTGAACCTGGGAAGCAGAGGTTGCAGTGAGCCAAGATCACACCATTGCACCCCAGCCTGCACGACAAGAGTGAGACTCTGTCTCAAATCAAAACAACACACACACACACAAACCTTCCTATTAATTGTGGTGAATATTTACATGTGATGTTGTTAAATAAAAACTTCTAATTTTTATTGACTTTGGCGTAATATTTATTTGAGCTTGTTCATTGTGTATATGTGTATATGTCTTCTTTTTCCTCTGACTCCACTGTTGTCTTTATTGGCTATTTAGTATGACTGGGTTAATTGGTTGTGTTTTCATTAGCTCTTCCTCTGGTGGAGACTTTAAAATATGTTATGGTACCCACTCATTTGGGCTGAATTTATGATTATCTGTTGTGTGTGCAAAACCAAAACCGAAGTTAAAGACCATGTGGTTATCAATAGAAGTTACAATGTAAGTGTCCATCAGTGAATGAATGGATTAAAACAAATGGTACCTATACACAATGGAACACTATTCAGCCATAAAAAAGGAAAAAAATTCTGTCATTTGCAAAAGTATGGATGAACCTGGAGGACATTATGTTAAGTGAAATTAGCCAGGCACAGAAAGACAAATACAGCATGATCTCACACATATATGGAATCTAAAAATATTGATCTCATAGAAGTTCAAAATAGAATAGTGGTACTAGAGGCTGGGGAGAGCAGCAGGTAGTGGGGATGAGGAGACATTGATCAATGACTACAAAGTTACCATTAGATAGGAGGAATAAGTTCTGGTGTTCTATTGCACAGTAGACTGTCTATAGTCAACAATAATGTACGTATACTTTTAAATAGCTAGAAGAGGGGATTTTGAATATTCTTTCCATAAAGAAATAACAAATGTTTGGGGTGATAAATATGCTGATTACTCCGATTTGATTATTACACAATGTGTATATGTATCAAAAGATCATAATACCCATACAATTATTACATGTTAATTTAAAATGACACTTGTTAAGTACATACATAAATAAATGCTGGGGATGGGTGATTAAATCAAAGCAGGAATGATGAAGAGGCCAGATGAATCAAATGGAGTTTAGAGTTGAGCAGGGCAATCCTGCATCTGTTTTCCTTTTCTTGAGGCCTCCACAGCCAAGGCATGAACAACTATGACCTGACAGAATCTTGGCTTGGCTTTCCAGATAGCTCAATGCCCACATTTTCTGCCATGGAAAGGTCTGGGATTACCCTGTAGTTCCGATGTCCTCTTATTTCAGTGTATTATATCATTGTTATTTCTTCTGAAGATCTAAATATAGTCAAAAGAATATTATGCCACTATTATATATGTAAACATTATATCTATGATATAGATGGAAATATATCTATAATATATTGTTAAATGAAAAAAGTGGATTATCAAATTAATGTTATGCCACTTAAGTAAAACTATTTGTGATTTGTGTCTGTGTGTCTGTTATAGGCTTAGAGGGAGGAGTCTAGAAATGTTTGAAGTGTTTATAGTGATTATTACAAAAAGTGGGGATATGGCATTTACTTTTCTGCTTGTTTTTTGCATCAACCAAATAATTGTATATAAAAAATATTTCCAAATATTACATATTTATATACATATTTATGTTAAAATAAATTAATCTTATTATATTCTTGTCCCCCTTTAAAATGATGAGCCCATATTTGAGATTGGAATCACTGATTCAGACTTCATGATTTGGTGTTATAATTTTGAAAAAGGGACAAATTTTTTGTTATGCATTTATAGGTGACATGCATTCACACACACACACACTCACGTTTCCATATCTTTAAGGTCTCTTCTTCTTCGACATCTTGCAGCAAAAACAATGTTTTGGGTCTGAAATACATATTGATTCATGTGTTTCTTCACACGGAAGTATGTGATATCTCATATTAGTTTGTAAACTCTGAGCCAGTTTAAAAGATAAATTGTAAGAATGAAGTGCTTAAAAACTGGGACAAACAATGAGAAATATGAAACTTTGATAATTCTTCAGAAGGGAAGCAGAAAGAGTTCTGGAAATATAAGTTAAAGTAATTAAGATTTTTTCCATGTTTATGAATTAAGTAGGCACCTTGAAAACTGCATCTGGGAGGCAGTTTTCCCTAGCATACTATGTGTTTAGCAAGAAGGAGCAAAGGAGAGGTGGCTTTGCCTAAATTTAGGGAACAGTGGTGGATTACAAAAGACATTGAGGAGAAGGGGACTCTTGAGGTGAGCTTCGATAGGTAGGAGTTAGCCAGGCAAAAGATTACTATATGAATAAATGGCACAAATGGGGTTGGTAGGGAAGTATCACACCAATTAGGAAATTTACTTTCTGGAAAGAATAATAAATGGTGTTAAAATAAACAGAGATAAGTCCTGAAAGGGGTTAGAGTTCTCAGTTGATACCACTGATACTAATCACCAAAGCTTTTGGTGTGAGGTTTTGTTTATGGTTGGTACACTATTGAATCCCTGCCTTAAATTAAGATAAAGATACGTTTCATCTTCCTTTTATTGCATGTCTACCTAAAATTGCAACTGCTGGCATTTATATTTTCTGTCTGGTGGTTCTACTCAACAGGGAGTCCTCAACAGCAAAAATTGGATTATGCGTATTCCCTGAGTGGAGCTTAGTGCCTGGTATATTGTATGTGGACTCTAGAGATACATGGAAGTGAATGAATTTGTTGGCAATTGTGTGTGTGTGTGTGTGTAGAGGTGTTTAGGGGCAACTTTCAACTCTTTTTGAGAAATGTGGACACATGGGGTAACCAGCAAATAGAACCCCATACCCTGATGCTTCCATGCTTCCAACAGAAACATGGAGAAAAAGATGACAAATATTCTAGGATAGACCATTGCCAAAGAAAGAAACTGTGAGATTGGGTTTTCTGAGAACTTAGGTAGGTAACAGAATTGAAATGGGTGTTAAGCTAGAGATTTGAAGGAGAGCAAAATCCTGACATTCTTTAAACTATTGAATTGTAAGTTCCCCAAATTTAAAATTCTCATTACATACAGTAAATTCCATATTTCTGCAATTCACTGGAAACTTAGGAGATATGAAATACCATTGATTGAGTTCTGGGACTGAAGGAGAAAGAATGCCTTCCTGTGGTCTTCTGGTTCTCAGTAGTAGTAAACATTAGGGACCAGAAATTCTGAGGCTTGAGAATAGAATATAAACCCCATGGATCGTAGCAAGGATCAAAATTGCCAGGATAGCTTTTCAAAATAGGTATAACTGAGCCCACCTTCAACACTTAAACTGAATCCAAGCATGTGCATTTATGAAGATATTTCACAATGGATGTTTATGTATAGCCCTGGATGAGGACTATTGATAAAGCATATACAAATAACAACACAGTGGCAACAATAACAACAGCTGCTGTACAGCTTATAAAACATTTTAAACTACATTATTTTACCTAATCTTCATAATAACCCTGTGAGATAAGTAGTGCTAACCCATTTTACAAAAAGAGAAGCTGATATTTGGAGAGGTCCAATAAATTTCCCATCTCTGTAGAACAGCAGAGGTACTCTCAATCCCAAGTATTCTGACTTTTCTAGTATCAAATTCTTCTTGGCACAAAGTATTTTACATCATACTGATCACATTTGAAATATTCCTTTTTCCCATCTCATTCACCATAATTCCTTCCTTATATGTATCCTACTCAGTGGAATCCCACTTTGGAAAGCTGTTTTCACACAGATATATTGGCAGGATTCTAGAAAGTTTAGTTTGGTAACTCCACTTTGGAATGAGCAACATTGACAATGATATCACTTTGATAACTCCATAGTAATATTAGCAAAATGATATTAAATATTTTAATTGCAAGAAATATACAGGGGTTTCCAATTTTAAATTGGAAATTTAAAATTTAAAATATCCAACTTTAAGAGAATTCCAGTTGCCAGATTAATGTTATACTAGTATCGGAGGAAAGTAATTAGCATTAAAGGCTAATTCTTTCCTTGCCTCACAGTTACACAATATGGTGACTAGATATTAACTTTTGAAATCAAAGCTTCAAGAATGGATATACAAATGTTCTTATTGAGCAATTTCAATCCCTGGAGAAATTTCTCAGAAAAAAAAATTGCCTTCCTGAATTAGGAGCTTTCAAATATCAGTCAAGAATTGGAGTATGTTTCCATTTATATTCTAAAAGTGTTTACAGTAATTCCTTGTTGGAGAAGTCCTTCAGTCCTTTGCCTTTTGTCTTCCCTCGCAGTGCAAGCTTTCCTTTCCACAGAGGATTTTCTATACTCACATTTTTTCTTTTGCATTTACTACATTTAATATTTCTTTCTATAATCTTGCTTTTCCTCTGTGTATTTACAGCTCATTACTTTTCTTTCCATGGAATTAATCTACATAGAGTAATGTCCCTTGATGATTAATTATTTAATAATAAATTATTATTAATGTAATCTTGATTTTAACAAAAATCTTTTTAGACAATTCCCAAAGTTTCTAGAGGTCAAAGAGAACAAATTCACAATTTAATCACAGTGCACAAAAATCATGGAGGCAGCACATTTGAATGAGACATACCCTAAAGGATTGACCACAAGATATTTAGGCATTATTCAGTGGCAGCTTTAACTTAGAGCTAAACTAATACAGCTCTCAAGTGAAGTCTCAGATTAGTCCGATTTGTTTTGAGTTAATCCATCTAAAAAATAGAAGAGTTGAGTCTATTTATCAGCTCTCAAGTCCTCTTTGTATATCTTTCCAGCCTATCATTCAAGGTTGCTAAACTCAGCCCTGTCGCCACCTGACTTCAGCACTGAGAGGTGAATTGTGTAATGATACCATTTAGCTCACATTGTTGATGTGCCTGTGGGAAATAAAAGCCTGGTAAAGCAAAAAGGGAGCCAGCTCTGATATCTATGTATCTCAGGGCCCTTTCTGATATCTATTTATATGGATGCATAGCCTAAAGAATGACTTGTATTAGAAATGTCTTTTCTAAGTCATAGAATAAATGTGAGAGAAGATGGTATATGTCTACTTTGTCAAATGAACACTTTCTCAAAGACTGCTTACTTAATCAACTTATTTTTGATTAAAAAGCTGACATTTAAATCTCAAATTCTGCCATATTCCATTCTCCTTCTGCCTTTGGGAGCTTTGAGGACAATTGCTGATGCTGCTTAAGGGATTATAGCCCTACTGTCCGACAACACATATTCTTATTGAAAGTTAGATTCTGACTGAGAATTGAGCCAGGAAATTAGCAGTATGATTAGAAGGTGAGAGGTGTGTACAGAAATCAAAAGCTGTATGAGTATTGAGCCAGAGCATCACTTCTGCTCAGTAAGTAAACAGTAACTGGATCTGCTGAAGGAAATTTCTTAAGATAAATGATATTAGGAGCCATATTCATCATATTGCAGATGCCTGATAAAAAATATTTGTCCACGTAGCAACCTCACAGAATATATCCCTTTTTAATATAACCCTTATATCTAGGTAGGGGCAGACCCATGATGATTATTATTCATTTCAAGACAATCATAACCACCTGGGAATAATGAGAAACTTGAATGTTTCTTGTGAGCAAAAAAGTCTTTATTTTAAGAATGGAAAAAAAAATAAAATGGCAAAAGATATCCAAATGTTCTTGAATGGTCATTTGCTGTCATATATAAGATCTTAAAAGAAAAATTCCAGTGCATCGTTCAAAAAACTATAATAATAATAGAATAAGCATACAATTCAGGCCTTTGATTATGGTCAGTGGAAGACAGAAACAGGGAGAGTTAAACAATGAAAAGTTTACTGTGAAGAAGGATATTTCCAGTATAGAAAGTTTAGAGATTGTTTTTAGCTCAATAAAAAGTAACTACAAATAGAGCTAAAATCTATTTAAATATCTTCCAAAATTGCTTAGGTAGGGATAAAAAACAACAATGACAACATAGCAATTATGTGATAAAAGATAAGAACACAAAGAAAATAATCTAATAAAAAACTAAAAATTTATGAGATGACAAAAGTATAACCAAACATATTTGTCATAACAACAAATAAAAATGGGATAACTCTTTAATTAAAAGAAGGACACTGGGAGTTTGGGTTTAAGAAAACAAACTGCCGGGCGCGGTGGCTCACGCCTGTAATCCCAGAACTTTGGGAGGCCGAGGCGGGTGGATCATGAGGTCAGGAGATCGAGACCATCCTGGCTAACAAGGTGAAACCCCGTCTCTACTAAAAATACAAAAAATTAGCCGGGCGCGGTGGCGGGCGCCTGTAGTCCCAGCGACTCGGGAGGCTGAGGCAGGAGAATGGCGTGAACCCGGGAAGCGGAGCTTGCAGTGAGCCGAGATTGCGCCACTGCAGTCCGCAGTCCAGCCTGGGCGACAGAGCGAGACTCCGTCTCAAAAAAAAAAAAAAAAAAGAAAAAAGAAAACAAACTATGTAGTCTACAAGAAACCCGCCTGAAACAGTGATCTTAAAAATCTAAAAGTAAAAAAGACTGGAAAATATATACCATGCAAATTCAATATACTAGAAAGGAAATATAAGTGCTAATATACTAAAAACATTGAATTTGAGGCATAAGGAAAATGACATGTGTCTAAAAGCATTAGTTTATTGTAGTGAATAATTCTAGATACATTAAAGGTAAATAGAAAAAAAATTCAAAAAACAAAAAACCAAATCAAATAAAAAATGGTTAGAGAAAGCCAAGAGCTTACTACTTAGGGAAAAAATCCAGTATAATACAATATATAACTCTCAAGCTAACTTAATGTTATGGGCTGAATTGCATTTCCCTAAAATTCATATGTTGAAGTCGTAACTCCCACTATCTCAAAATGTGACTGTTTTTGGAGATAGGGTCTTTAATCAGGTAACTTGATTACATTAAGTCATGATCCACTATGACTAGTGTCTTTTTAAGAGGAACTTAGGACATAGGCATATACAGAAGGCCATGTGAATACACAAGGAGAAGATGGGCATCTATAAGACAAAGAGAGAGGTCTCAGAAAAACCCAACCCTGCCAACACCTTGATTTCAGATTTCTAATCCCCAGAATTGTGAGAAAATATATTTCTGTTGTTTAAGCCTGTAGTAGGCTTAAACTACAGGCAAAATACTACAGTCAGTCTGTAGTATTTTGTTATAACAGCCCTAGCAAACTAAAACAATTAATTTTATAAAAAAGAACCATATATAACATTAGTATCAACCAGGAAGACAATCTATAAAACAAAATAAAAACAAAAATAAATTCTATTATTCTATGGTAATAAACACCAAAACATGGAAATCATAAGTAATTTTCTAGGTATATAATTGTCAAAATTATTACAGAACTAGAAAAAGATATAAAGAGATACTTTTATAATCTTGACATGGTAAAGACCTTTCTTAGCCTGAAATAAAAGCCAGAAAGATAAATAAGTAAATATTTTTAATGTCGACTACATAAAAGTTGGAAACTTTTACACTTCAAAAAACACCATACATGAGGCTAATAAAAATTAAATACCTGCAATTAATGATAGAGCTTGTGTTTGTAGTATATAAAGAATTATTAAAATTATAAAGAAAAATAGATTATTACTGAAAAAATAGACAAAAGGATATCAAATCCATTAACCAAAGAAGAAAAATAAATGGTCAGCAAATTATATATATATATATGACACCTGTTTCTAATTTGCGTTCTGGAAAAAAGTGTCAGTTTATACTCCCTCCAACAATACATAAGAAAGCCAGTTTCCATTCACTTGCCAATCTGAGTTTGATGAGTATGTGTATGTGTATGTGTGTGTATATATATATATATATAATTTATTATATATATTTATATATTATTTTATATTATATATTATATAATAAAATATATTATATTATATATTATATAATATATAATATATAAAATATATTATATAATATATAATATATAATATATAAAATATATTATATAATATATAATATATAATATATAAAATATATTATATAATATATTTTATATATAACATATAATATAATAAAATATATATTATATAATATATAATATAATAAAATATATATTATATAATATATAATATAATAAAATATATTATATTATATATTATATAATATATAAATAAAATATATTATATTATATATTATATAATATATAATATAATAAAATATATTATATTTATATATTATATATATAATTTGCTGACCATTTATTTTTGTATTTACAGTATATGGGTATGTACATTTGAGTATGTAAATACATCTATCTATCTATTTACGTTTCAGCCTTATTAGTAATCTAACAAATTCAAGCAAACATGAAATAAGACATTGCTGCCTTTCTGGTTGGCAAATTTAAAAACTCATCAAACTCAGATTGGCAAGCGAATGGAAACTGGCTTTCTTATGTATTGTTGGAGGGAGTATAAACTGACACGTTTTTCCAGAATGCAAATTAGAAACAGATGTCAAAACTTGAAATATGCAATTACACGTCTAAGCAATTATCCTAAGTGAATAAATATACACAATCACAACAATTTATGGACAATAATGTTTACTGTTGCTGTATTTCTTCTTTTAATTTTAATTTATTACAAAAATTTTAAACAAACAAGAGTAGAGAGAGAATTCATGAACCATTAGCAGAATCACCCAGTTTCAACAAACTAACATTTTGTTAATTTTGTTTAATCTGTCTCACCCTGTGCTTTTATTTGGGGGACTTTGCACTTTTATTTGGGTGTGGGGTATGTTGAAACAAACCCAAAACAATACAGACACTTCACAAATACTTTGGAATTTATGTATCCTCAACAAATACTTAAATATAACATAACTAGAATAAGCTATTAATATTATTTAATAACCAGACTGTTTAAATTTTCTAAATTTTCTCAAAAATGTCTGTTTAGATTTGATCTGTTTGAATCAAGATCTAAGTTCAATATATTACATTGGTTCATTATGTTATTTAGTTTCCTCCTCTTCTTCTTCTTCTCATCTTCATCTTTGTCTTAAATGAAGTAAGTCTTCCAAAATTGTATACTCAATTGCCAGTTCAGGCAAAATCAGGACACAGTTCTTCTAATTTCTAATTAATTGCTGTTTTCCAAGCATATAATAATGCCAACAATAACAAATTCAGTTGCTGCTATGGAGTATATATTATGATTTTAATACTATTGTCAGTAATTTTACTATATAATTTCACTTAATCTTCATAGCAACTTGAAGAACATACTATTCCTGTTTTAAAAAATAAGAAAACTGAGGCTTAAAGAGGTTTAAAACCTCACACAAAGTGATATAGCTACTAAACAGCAGAGGCATATACTTATGTAAGTGGAATCAGAGTAAACTTTTGTATATAAAATGGTTGACAGTATATTTGTGTATGAAACAGAAAATTCTACGGATACTTTGAATGCTCAATGCATTCGAAAGAGGACATAGTAATTCTAAACATTCACGCACCTAGTAACAGAGCTTCAAAAATCTACGAAAGAGAAACTGATAGATCTGCAAAGAGAAATAGAAAAATCTGCAATCATAGTTGGATAATTTAATACATTTTTCTCAACAAGCAATAGAACAAGTAGACAGAAAATCAGTAAGGATATAGAAAATTTAGACAACGCCATCCACCAACTTGCCCTAATTGACATTTATAGAAAACATCATTCAATAATAACAGAATACACATTTTCAAAGGTACACAAAATAATTACCAACTTATACTGTATTCGAAGTCATCAAATAAGTCTTAATGGATTTAAAATTTTCAAGTAACCTTACTCTCAATAGTGGATAGATCATCCAGACAGGAAAAACAACAAGGAAAGGGCACATTGGAATAACACCATAGACTAAATGGACCTAACAGACATATACATAACATTCCATCCAACAGCAGCAGAATACACAATCTTCCCACGTGCAGGTGGAACATTCTCCAGTATACATCATGTATTAAGTTATGAAACAAGTCTTAACAAATTCAAAAAGATTGAATTATATCAAGTATCCTTTCTACCACAGTGCTATGAAACTAGAAAACAATAATAGAAGGAAAATTGGAAAATCCACCAATACATGAAAATTAAATAACACATACCCGAAAAACTAAAGTTAAAGAAGAAATCAAAAAGGAAATCCTAAAATACCTTGAAACAAGCAAAAATAAAAACACAACATACAAAAAATTATGGATTTTTAAAATCAATCTGAAATTGAAGACATAAAATATTTAGTGGGCTTTTGCTTTTTTGCTTTTTAAATGTTTACTATTAAAAATAAAGGGATCTATTAAAAATAAACAATCATACATTGCTGCTGATGATGCATAATTATATGACCCCTATGAAAAGGAATTTGGCATATCTATGAAAATTATAAATCCATTTTATCCTTATCTCAGGATTCCCATTTTTAGAAATATATCTAAAAGATACACTAGAAAAATACAAAAGGGCATATCGATAAGGCTATTTATCATGGCATTATTTTTTGAACAACAAGGGATCAGTTAAATGAAATATGGGACATTCATATAAAAATATACTATGCAGCCATAAACATAAATGAGAAAATTACAGCTTATTTATATAAAATGACATTTAGGATATACCATTAAGTGAAAAGTAAATGGTTCAAAATAGTGTATAGAGTATGCTGTCTTCTGTATGGAGGACACACACACACACACACACACACATTATTGATATTTTCAAAGTAAAGCAATTAATAGATCAAACCAAAACCTAACATAAATGATTACCTATAGATAGATGTACGAAAAAACAGCATTGAGAAGATAAAATGGAATCTAGAGTTTTTTTTCCCAATATACCTGGCTTTATAGTTTGGCTTTCTAACCAGGTAAATGTTTTGTATTAAAACAAATTATAATTTTAAAAATCAGAAGAAATTTAACAAATAAATGTAACTCTATGCCAAAGTATTTGCATAACCATATAGAGAAGAATTATTTCAAGTAACTTCAATACATAGAACTTTGACAGCAAGTCCTTAGTAGGATAGAGCCTAAGGACAAAATGAATTGTAAAATAAACTACATTGTCAGTTGTAATGGTAGTTTTGTTATTTTGAACGTGTTTTAGTTGAAGCATATTATAGAACCAAGCAAACAAGTAATTGTGTTAATATCATTAGGAACGATTATTCTCAGTGAAAAAGAAATACAAGTCTGAAATCAAAGAAGTTGTAAAGCCCTATAATCTTAGCTCAAATGGAAAATGTCAACATTTTCTTTATTCTTTCCAAAAATGCATAGCTCCTTAGCTGTGTCCCCTAAAAAGCCCTAACAGCAATGACAATTCAGGAAGATTGAGTATCTTCAGTGGCCGGATTCTGATCTTTAAATGATATTTCACACACACACACCCAAAGCTCCTTGAAAATAATGGGTGAATCTAGGTTAGAGGTAAGAAATGTACAGAGCTTGCCTAGGATCTTTAGATGAGCAGTAAGATGAGACACTTCTCAAAAACGATTGGGTTCATATATGAAAAAGACAGAGTCAATTTGAAGAGGCTTACACTAGGCCAAGATAGGTAGTTTGTGTACAAAATAATGACTGCAATACATTGAAACACATTAAATATATGGAAATCCACAGCTTCAGAATGATATAGAAACCACACACCCTCAATGTTCACCATTAGAGTCTTGTTGGAAACTGACTCATTATTCTCAAAAAGTGACAAAAGGAAATAATGAAGCCAGCCTTTCCTTTAAAAAATTTGTTTCAGTGTAACCAATCAAATGCTCTTCTACTTGGAATGGGATTATGTCCCAATAAACCCATGTGAGTTGAAAATGTCATAAGTCAAAAATGCATTTAGTACACCTAGCATACTAAAGAAGCATCATAGTTTAAGCTAGCCTATCTTAAACATACTTGAAACACGCTAGCCTACAATTGGGCTAAATCATCTAACACAAAGACTATTTTGTAATAAAGTATTGAATATATCATTTAATTTATTGACTAATGAAAGTTAAAGAACAGAACGTGTATAGATACTTAAACTGCAGTTTCTACTGAATGTGTATCACTTTAGACTATGGTAAAGTTGAAAAACCTTAAATTGAACCATGATTAAGTCAGGGATGAGGGAAAGTTCTTTTAAAAATTCAGCTAATAACCACAAAGGAAATAATAGAATTAGAAAATCACAGTGTATTATTCTGTTCTCATGAAGAAATACCCAAGACTGGGTAATTTATAAAGAAAAGAGGTTTAATTGACTTGCAGTTAGTTCCACATGTCTAGGGAGGCCTCAGGAAACTTGTAATCATGGCAGAAGTTACCTCTTCACAGGGCAGCAGGAGAAAGAATGAGTGCAGGGAGGAAGCCCCTTATAAAACCATCAAATCTCGTGAGAACTCACTATCATGAGAACAGTGTGGGGAAGCTGCCCCCAAGATTTAATTATTTTCACCTGGTTCTGCCCCTGACATGTGAGGATTATTACAATTCAAGGTGAGATTTGGGTGGGGACAGAGAGCCAAACTATATAATTTCTTAATTTTTATCTTAATTGATAAAACAAAAGAATTTGATCACTTTTTCCTTTTTAGAACACGTGCCCTAAATTTAATTCCCAATATTTCATCCACAAAACAAGCTCCATTTGAATTCTTCCCCTTCTTAGTTAATGATTACTCTTTCAGTTACTCAAGCCAAAAACCTTGGTGTCATCCTTAATTTATCTTTCTTTTGCATAAGCCAGATCTAGTCTGATAGCAAATCTTGTCATCTCTACCTTCAAAACATACTCATAATGCCACTACTTTTTACCATCCCAAATACCATTAGCTTGACTTAAGCCACTGTTTTACACCTAGATCATGGTAGTAGACACTAAACTGTTTCCCTGCTCCTGACCTTGGCTCACTGCAATCTGTTCTCAACATAGAAGCAGGATATATAGTTAGAATCGAAGCCAGGTTATATCTCTTCTTTCTCTGCTTAGTGCCCTCTGCTCTTCTCTGCTCTCTCTTTTTCTCTGCTTAGAGATGGGAAGAGATGCTTCCCATCTCACTCAAAATAATGGTCAAAATACCTGCTATGAGTTACAAGACCATTCATGTTTACCTCTCTGTCCTTATGTACCATTGCCTTTCTTACTATCTTGTCCATTCTATCCTCTTATTCCTCAATGCCTTTGCACTTGTTGTTCTTGCCTGGAATGCTCTTTCTCCAGTATCTGCATGGCTACCTTCCTCACTTCCTTCATATCCTTACTTTTCTGTTTACCCTGTTTAAAACTTCTAACTTGGCATTGTCTTAGTCAGCCCAGGCTACCATATTAAAATACTGTAGACTGAGTGGCTTAAACAACAGGAATTAACTTGTCACCCTTCTAGAGACTGGAAGTTCAAGATCCAGGTGCCCGGAGCATCAGTGTCTGGTGAAGGCTCACATCCTGGCTTGCCTTCCTGCTAGGAGTTCCCATGGTCCTTCCTTGGTGTGTGCACATGAAGGGAGAGCTTCTGCATGTCTCTTACTCTTCTTATAAAGGTGCTATTCCCATCATGAGGTCACTACTTTCATGACCTCATGTAAACCTAATTACCTCCCAAAGGCCCCACCTTCAAATACCATCACATTTGGGGTCAGGGTTTTAGCATATAAATTTGGGGGAAACACATTTAGTCCATAACAGCCACCTTCACTGATAATTCATATTCCTTATCTTAGTTTTATTCCTAACACTTGCCACTTTCTAAAATACAATATATTTTACTTATCTTGTGAATTATTTGTATTTCTCCATTAGAATTATAGCTTCATGGAAGCAAGGATTTTCATCCTTCTTGACTGATTCTCCAGTGCCTCAAATAATGTATGACCCATAGTAGATGCTCAGCAAATTATGCTTAGTGTTAAATAAGTGTCCAAAATGTCTTCAGGGTTCAAGTAGGCCATGAAGATTAAGGAAATATAGGCCTTGTGGAAATAACCTGCTGAACTTTGCAATGCACAATGTGCTATAGGAAGTTATTGAACTATGTTCACATGCATAATTATGAACATTTTAATACTCATTCAGTGAATTTATAAATTAAAATACCTCTTTGGAAACGTATCTAATTAAGTTGCAATAAATACATTAGGCTATCTGAAAAAGGAGATACAAAATAATATAAATTCTAAGACTGATATGGGCATTTGTTTATTACAAAACAAGGACTTTTTTTCTTCCTTCACTTTAAACAACTGTGAGAAATTGGCTTAATGTTTCCTTTAGATATACTCAGAGTATATTTTAAGCAATATAACAGGCTTACATTACCCATCATGTTTTCAATATCCATATGGTGAGTATTATGTAAATGTTCCTTAAAATAAACAATGCTGTTTAGTATACAATGTATGTTGTTTGCCACTAAAAACCATGATTATGTGAAAGAAAAAGTCATTGATTCATCCTAAAAAATAACTACATTCTAGGAGAATTACAAATAGGAAATAGCTGAAATGATTAAACTAATGTCAGGAACACTTAACTTTATAAAGATGACATAACTTGGAAGAGATTTTGTGATGATAAAACACATTTACTAAGTTTTTCAAGGAATGGAGTGTATAGGACTAGACTCTGAAAACTAGCTCTTAGAAAAACTGAAACGATATATAGGAAAATTATGACTGGGAAAGGTGATAACTCAATGTGGTACTTTGTTTCTCAAAAAGCCAAATGAGTGTAATGAGGAGAGGAGCCTTTGTAATTATTAAAGGCTATTTTATACACTTCAGAAAATGCAACAAAGAAATGAAATTTAGTAACAATTTTACATGTTTCACTGTTCTCCAAATTATGTTTTCTTTTGTGGATTTCAAATTATAAGAATTCTGGATAATATACGTAGCCTATTGAATTGGAAGACTGAAAATACACGACACTTAAGTTTAGGGGCTGTGTAAGAGATAAATTTGTATCTCAGGTAGATTCCTCTAAGAGACCATTCAAATGCAGTGCTATAGTCCAGTTCAAAGTCCCCTGTGAAATTCAGTTATGGACACATAGAATCTAAACTAAGCATTTAACTCTTGTTACACAAAAGTGTGGATCATGCAGACATAAGGAGCTTTCTCATGATCATGTAAGCCAGGTGTTACGAAACTATTATGTTTACCAATCTTCTTGCTGTCATTGGGATTCCAAATCTTTCTTGTTACTAGATGCTATTGGCTAAATTAAACACACACACACATACACACACACACACACACACACAGATTGACGATACATATCTTCTTAATTGTATTTATGCAGCTTAATGCTGTTTACAATGAGGACAGATGAGGTTCATAAGTGCAGGAAAAAGCCAGTGAAAATGGCACATGAGTTATGTGGTTGATTGATTGATTGATTGTAGCTGGCATCTAGGAAAGATCAGAAGCATATAGTGACTCTGGATCCAAGCACAAGTACCTAAAATTGCCCTATAAATCTAGAAAACAAGAAATAGGCTGTGAAAAAATAGTGTATTTGCAGCCTTATTATTTTATTAGATAAAAACAGTTATCAATGTGAGAGGTCTGACATAATATAGTCTTTATTTTTTTTTTAATTATACTTTAAGTCCTAGGGTACAAGTGCACAAAGTGCAGGTTTGTTACATATGTATACATGTGCCATGTTGGTGTGCTGCACCCATTAAGTCATTATTTACATTAGGTATTTCTCCTAATGCTATCCCTCTCCCTTCCCTCCACCCCACCACAGGCCCCGGTGTGTGATGTTCCCCACCCTGTGTCCAAGTGTTCTCATTGTTCAGTTCCCACCTATGAGTGAGAACATGCAGTGTTTGGTTTTCTGTCCTCGTGATAGTTTGCTCAGAATGATGGTTTCCAGCTACATCCATGTCGCTACAAAGGACATGAACTCATCCTTTTTTATGGCTGCATAGTATTCCATGGTGCATATGTGCCACATTTTCTTAATCCAGTCTATCATTGATGGACATTTGGGTTGGTTTCAAGTCTTTGCTATTGTGAATAGTGCCACAATAAACATATGTGTGCATGTGTCTTTATAGCAGTGTATATACTATATATAGTGTATATATATCATATATATCATGTATATATTGTATATATAGTGTATATATACTATATATACTGTATATATAGTATATATAGTGTATATATACTATATATACTGTATATATATCATATATACTATATATACTGTATACACTATATATACATATACACTATATATACATATGGTATATATATACTATATGTACATATATACTATATATACACATATAGTATATATATACTATATATACATATATACACATATATACTGTGTATATATATACTATATATACTATATGTGTATATATACATATAGTATATGTATATACATATAGTATATATACTGTATATATATACTGTATATATATACAGTATATATAGTATATATGTATATATAGTATATATGTATATATAGTATATATATACAGTATATATATAGTATGTATATATAGTATATATATACAGTATATATATAGTATATATAGTATATATATAGTATATATATAGTATATATATAGTATATATAGTATATATATAGTATATATATAGTATATATATACAGTATATATATAGTATATATATACAGTATATATATAGTATATATATACAGTATATATATAGTATATATATACAGTATATATAGTATATATATACAGTATATATATACTGTATGTATATATATATATACACTGTATGTGTGTGTATATATATATACACACACATAGTATATATAGTATATACCTTTGAGTATATACCCAGTAATGGGATGGCTGGGTCAAATGGTATTTCTAGTTCTAGATCCTTGAGGAATCGCCACATTGTCTTCCACAATGGTTGAACTAGTTTACAGTCCCACCAACAGTGTAAAAGTGTTCCGATTTCTCCACATCCTCTTCAGCATCTGTTGTTTCCTGACTTTTTAATGATTGCCATTCTAACTGGTGTGAGATGGTATCTCATTGTGGTTTTGATTTGCATTTCTCTGATGGCCAGTGATGATGAGCATTTTTTCATGTGTTTTTTGGCTGCATAAATGTCTTCTTTTGAGAAGTGTCTGTTCATATCCTTCACCCACTTTTTGATGGGGTTGTTTGTTTTTTTCTTGTAAATTTGTTTGAGTTCATTGTAGATTCTGGATATTAGCCGTTCATCAGATGGGTAGATTGTAAAAATTTTCTCCCATTCTGTAGGTTGTCTGTTCACTCTGATGATAGTTTCTTTTGCTGTTCAGAAGCTTTTTAGTTTAATTAGATCCCATTTGTCAATTTTGGCTTTTGTTACTATTGCTTTTGGTGTTTTAGTCATGAAGTCCTTGTCCATGCCTATGTCCTGAATGGTATTGCCTAGGTTTTCTTTTAAGGTTTTTATGGTTTTAGGTCTAACATTTAATTCTTTAATCCATCTTAAATTAATTTTTGTATAATGTCTAAGGAAGGGATCCAGTTTCAGCCCTCTACATATGGCTAGCCAGTTTTCCCAGCACCATTTATTAAATAGGGAATCCTTTCCCCATTGCTTGTTTTTGTCAGATTTGTCAAAGATCAGATGGTTGTAGATGTATGGTATTATTTCTGAGGGCTCTGTTCTGTTCCATTGGTCTATATCTCTGTTGTGGTACCAGTACCATGCTGTTTTGGTTACTGTAGCCTTGCAGTATAGTTTGAAGTCAGGTAGCGTGATGCCTCCAGCTTTGTTCTTTTGGCTTAGGATTGTCTTGGCAATGCAGTCTCTTTTTTGGTTCCATATGAAGTTTAAAGTAGTTTTTTCCAATTGTGTGAAGAAAGTAATTGGTAGCTTGATGGGGATGGCATTGAATCTATAAATTACCTTGGGCAGTAAGGCCGTTTTCACGATATTGATTCTTCCTATCCATGAGCGTGGAATGTTCTTCCATTTGTTTGTGTCCTCTTTTATTTCGTTCAGCAGTGATTTGTAGTTCTCCTTGAAGAGGTCCTTCACATCCCTTGTAAGTTGGATTCCTAGGTATTTTATTCTCTTTGAAGCAATTGTGAATGGGAATTCACTCATGATTTGGCTCTCTGTTTGTCTGTTATTGGTGTATAGGAATGCTTGTGATTTTTGCACATTGATTTTGTATCCTGAGACTTTGCTGAAGTTGCTTACCAGTTTAAGGAGATATTAGGCTGAGACGATGGGGTTTTCTAAATATACAATCATGTCATCTGCAAACAGGGACAATTTGACTTCCTCTTTTCCTAATTGAATACCCTTTATTTCTTTCTCCTGACTGATTATCCTGGCCAGAAATTCCAACACTATTTTGAATAGGAGTGGTGAGAGAGGGCATCCCTGTCTTGTGCCAGTTTTCAAAGGGAATGCTTCCCGTTTTTGCCCATTCAGTATGATATTGGCCGTGGGTTCATCATAAACAGCTCTTAGTATTTTTGAGATACATCTCATTAATACCTAGTTTATTGAGAGTTTTCAGCATGAAGAGTTGTTGAATTTTGTCAAAGGCCTTTTCTGCATCTATTGAGATAATCATGTGGTTTTTGTCTTTGGTTCTGTTTATATGATGGATTACATTTATTGATTTGCATATGTTGAACCAGCCTTGCATCCCAGGGATGAAGCCCACTTGATCGTGGTGGATAAGCTTTTTGATGTGCTGCTGGATTCTGTTCGCCAGTATTTTATTAAGGATTTTTTCACTGATGTTCATCAGGGATATTGGTCTAAAATCTCTTTTTTTGTGGTGTCTCTGCCTGGCTTTGGTATCAGGATGATGCTGACCTCATAAAATGAGTTAGGGAGGATTCCCTCTTTTTCTATTAATTGGAATAGTTTCAGAAGGAATGGTACCAGCTCCTCTTTGTACCTCTGGTAGAATTCAGCTGTGAATCCATCTGGTCCTGGACTTTTTGTGGTTGGTAGGCTAATTAATTATTGCCTTAATTTAAGAGCCTGTCATTGGTCTATTCAGGGATTCAACTTCTTCCTAGTTTAGTCTTGGGAGGGTGTATGTGTCCAGGAATTTATCCATTTCTTCTAGATTTTCTAGTTTATTTGCATAGAGGTGTTTATAGTATTCTCTGATGGTAGTTTGTATTTCTGTGGGATTGGTGGTGATATCCCCTTGCTCATTTTTTATTGCATCTATTTGATTCTTCTCTCTTTTCTTCCTTATTAGTCTTGCTAGCAGTCTCTCAATTTTGTTGATCTTTTCAAAAAACCAGCTCCTGGATTCATTGATTTTTTTGAAGGGTTTTTTGTGTCTCTATCTCCTTCAGTTCTGCTCTGATCTTAGTTATTTCTTGCCTTCTGCAAGAACAAAAAATTGAAATTATGTTGAGGCACATGTTTAAAAATAAATGCTTTTTGAAATATGGGAAGATCCTACTGGAAAGGTCGAGGAAACCACAAGGACTTTCAAAATGTTAGAGTGAAATACTGTGGAGTTTGCCCAGGAATTCTTGGTTATAGTGGATATGCTGGATTGACTTTTTAAACATCTGTTTTAATCTCCTTCCAAGGCAGAGGATGAAAAAAAAATTCCAGATGGGTTTCATCCTAGGATTCTAGATGTGATTTATGTCTTGCCCATCAGAAATTCTCAAATGACACTTGCATTCAGAACTGAGTTAACTGAGGAGTGAGCTGAGCCACAGGGTGTAAGACATTCATTTTTCATGTGCAAATCTGGGAGAATTTGCATGACTCTGCAGCCCATAGTGGCAGCGGTGGGCTTCTGGTCTGAAATCACAGCAAAGGCAAGGGTGATCCTTGAGTCAGGAGTTGGCTAAATTCCCAGAAGTCACTTTCCCTTGGCAGGCCAGTTCAGCTGTGTGGTTGTTATAGTCATTCCTGGAGGCCCAGCCCAGAGCCTGCTCCTATAGTTCTTGTAGCAATTTTCTAAACACCTAATTTCCTGTACTAATTTATTTTTGAATTTTCTATATTAGGTTGCCTGTATTAAATTCTTTTCTACTTATGGCAGCTTAAGTGTTTTCTGTTCCCTGCCATGGAAATTTTACACAATAGTAGAATACCATTATCATATATCTATCCTTATTATATACTTCCAGTGTAGTTCCTCCAGAAGGCCTTAGGAGAGGAAAAGACGAAATGTATTAAAAGGCTACCCCCACCCTCCCACAAATATAATTGTATTTTCCCTATTTTGTTTCCTCTGAAATTAGAACCAGACCACCTTTGATCTTTGACAAGTTACCTGACCCCTGAGAATAATAATAAATGTCTACCTTATACTGTTATGAGACTTAAATTATAAAATGTATAAGGCACTTAGCACAATTCCTGGTGCATAGTAAATGATCAATAAATGATATCCCCTCTTAGCATTATTACCTCTGTATAGACACCTGTCACTTATAATGATGGATTCATGATAAATGGTTTGGATACTCTTGAGGAAAAGAACTAGAATTCATTTATTTTTCTGCCTCAAGATCTTATACAAAATTTGACACTTAGTAGGTATTTAATGCTTCTTGAAAGACTTTTTCTAAATGAAAAGTCTGTGACTCAAAAGGATTCTCAAAGTTCTCAAAGAACTTTTATTTTATTTGGGAAATTAGAATATGCCTTAATGCTTCATAGAGCTTTCCTTGTAAGGAATAGGTAGAAGAGAATAAAAGATCTAAATGAAGTTTCTTATCCAATTCAGATCCAGTACTTCATGTGTGATGAAATTAGGACCCAGAGTGACTGCTCTGTGCTCACACTCACAAACCTACCATTCTTTATAATCCCCCATTAGATTTTTTTTCTATGGTAACACATTGAGTAGGAAATGGCCATTAAGGTCTCATCCAATCCTGGTAGTCTGTGGAGGCTATGTTATCAATGCCAGCTGCTGTTGTGAAAACCTGCATGGAGGCCAGCACCCTGGCACCTGCTAGCACCCTACCACAGCTGATGAGCATGCACCTTGCCATGCTGCAGTTGCTCTTGGCATGTGCAAGCAAGGATGTACCCCACTGTCATCACCCTATGATGTACTTTGTCTGGCATCACCCTTCAGAGTGTTTTGACCAGCAGTCTGGGAGCACCTCGGTCCTTCTAGCATAGCAGGTTCCTAACCTTAAGGAGCCAGAGAGCAAAACAGGGGCCCAATATCAGTCCCCTAGAGTTAGAGCATGCAATCCAGGAGACCTGAGCTGAGCCTTGGCCCCCTAAAATCCTTGAGAAATGAAGGAGAAATGAAGCCAGTCAACTAAACCCAACTCGTACCACAATCAAACTTCCAAGGTCATCAAATAGAATAAAAGAAAAAAAAAACTCATCCAAAGGACAGCAATTTAAGACTGAAGGAACGTTAGCCCACAAAGATGAGGAAAGAAGCAGTGCCAGTGCAACATCTCTGACAACTCAAAAGCCCAGAATGTCTTCTTTCCTCCAAATGACAGCACTAGTTCTCCAGCAAGAGTTCTTAACCAGGCTGAGATGGTTGGAATGACAGAAATAAAATCCAGAACATGGATAAGAACAAAGATCATTGAGATCCAGGAGAATGTTGAAAATAAATCTAAGAAAGCTAAGAATCACAATAAAAAGATACAGGAACTGACAGTATAGAAAAGAATGTAACTGACTTGATGGAGCTGACAGTATAGAAGAGAATGTAACTGACTTGATAGAGCTGAAAAATACACTACAATAATTTCATAATGCGATCACAAGCATTAACAACAGAGTAGACCAAGCTGAGGAAAGAACCTCAGAGCCTGAAGACTAACTTTCTGAAATACAACAGTCAGAAAAGAATAAAGAAAAAAGAATAAAAAGGAAAGAAAACCTCTATGAAATATGGGATTATGTAAAAAGACTTAATCTATGACTCATTGGCATCCCTAAAAGAGATGGGGAGAATGAAAGAAACTTGGAAAATACATTTCAAAATATCATCCATGAGAACTTCTCTGACGTAACAAGAGAGGTCAACATTCAAATTCAGGAAACGCAGAGAATCCTTGCAAAATGCTTCACAAGAAGATCATCCCCAAGACACATAATCATCAGATTCTCCCAGGATGAAATGAAAGAGAAATTGTTAAAGGCAGCTACAGAGAAAGGACAGGTCACCTACAAAGGGAAGCTCATCAGACTAACAGCAGATGGCTCAGCAGAAACTATACAAGCCAGAAGAGATTGGGGGCCTATATTCAACATTATTAAAGAAAAGAAATTCCACCCAAGAATTTCATGTCCGTCCAAACTAAGCTTCATAAGTGATAAAGAAAAAAGATCCTTTTTAGACAAAAATATGCTGAGAGAATTCATTACCACCAGACCTGCCATCTAAGAGCTCCTGAAAGAAGCCCTAAATATGAAAAGGAAAGACCATTACCAGCCACTACAAAAACAAACTTAAATACACGGACCAGTGACACTATAAAGCAACCACACGAACAAGCCTGCATAAGAACCAGCTAACAACACCATGACAGGATCATATTCACACACATCAATACTAACCTTGAATACAGGATAAATGCCCTAATTAAAAGGCACAGAGTGACAAGCTGGATAAAGTAGCAAGAACTAATGGTATACTGCCTTCAAGAGACCCATCTTACATGCAGTGACGCCCATAGGCTCAAAATAAATGAATGGAGAAAAAGCAAATGGAAAACAGAAAAAAAGCATGTGTTGCAATCCTAATTTCAGATAAAATAGATTTCAAACTAACAAAGATAAAAAAAGACAAAGAAGGGCCTACATAATGGTAAAGGACTCAATTCAACAAGAATACCTAACTATCCTGAATATATATGCACCCAACACAGGAATACCCAGATTCATAAAGCAAGTTTTTAGAGACCTTCAAAGAGACTTAGACTCCCACACAATAATAGTGGGAGACTTTAACACCTTATTGACAATACTAGACAGATCACTGAAGCAGAATATTAACAAAGATATTCAGGACCCAAACTCAGCACTGAACCAAATGGACCTGATAGACATCTACAAAACTTTCCACCCAAAAACAACAGAATATACGTTCTTCTCATTACCACATGACACATACTCTAAAATCGACCACACAGCTGGACATAAAATAATCTCAGCAAATGTAGAAAACCTGAAATCATTACAATCACTCTCTCAGATGATAGCACAATAAAACTGGAAATCAAGATTAAGAAAATTGCCCCAAACCATGCAATTAAATGGAAATTAAACAACCTGCTCCTGAATGGCTTTTGGGTAAGTAATGAAATTAAGGCAGAAATCACAAAGTTCTTTGAAACTAATGAGAACAAAGACACAACATACCAGAATCTCTGGGACACAGCTAAGACAGTGTTAAGAGGGAAATTTATAGCACTAAATGCCCACGTCAAAAAGTTAGAAAGATATCAATTTAACAACCTAACATCACAACTAAAAGAACTACAGAATCAAGAACAAATCAACCCCAAAGCTAACAGAAGACAAAAAAATAACCAAAATCAGTTGAACTGAAGGAGACCGAGACATGAAGAACCATTCAAAAGATCAACAAATCCAAGAGTTGGGTTTTTGAAAAAAAAAGAAAAAGAAAAGAGAAAGGATAAAAATAAACACAATTAGAAATGACAAAGGGGATATTACCACTGACCCCACAGAAATACAAGTAACCATCAGAGAATATAATGAACACTTCTATGCACACAAACCAGAAAATCTAGAAGAAATGAACAAGCTCCTGGAAACATACACTCTCCCAAGACTGAACCAGGGAGCAATTGAATCCCTGAGCAGACCAATAATGAGTTCTGAAATAGAATCAGTAATAAATAGTCTACCAACAAAAAAGGCCCAGGACCAGAAGGATTCACAGTCAAATTCTACCAGATGTACAAAAAAGAGCTCGTACCATTTCTACTGAAACTATCACAAAAAATTAAGGAGGGAGTCCTCCACAACTAAATGTATGAGGCTAGCATCATCATGTTACCAAAACCTGGCAGAGACACAACGAAAAATGAAAACTTCAGATTAGTATCCTTGGTAAACATTGATGCAAAAATTATCAACAAAATACTAGCAAACTAAATCCAGCAGCACATCAAAAGTGAATCTATCATGATCAAATAGGCTTTACCTCTGGGATGCAAGGCTGGTTCAACATATACAAATCAATAAACATGATTCATCATCTAAACAAAACTAAAGACAAAAACCACATGATCATCTCAATAGATGCTGGAAAGGGTTTTGATAAAATTCAACATCTCTCCATGTTAAAAACTCTCAACAAACTAGGTACAGAAGGAACATATCTCAAAATAATAAGAGCTGTCTGTGACAAAACCACAGCTAACATCACACTGAATGGGCTAAAGCTGGAAGCATTCTCCTTGAAAATTGGCACAAGACAAGGATGCCCTCCCTCACCATTCCTATTCAACATAGTATTGGAAGTCCTGGCCAGAGCAATCAGGCAAGACAAGGAAAGCCCATCCATATAGGAAGAGAGGAAGTCAAACTATCCCTGTTTGCAGACGATATGAGCCTGTATGTAGAATACCCCATAATCTCTGCCCAAAAGCTCCTTGAGTTTATAAACAACTTCAGCAAAGTTTTGGGATGCAAAATCAATGTAAAAAAATCACTAGCATTCCTACACACTAACAGTTAAGCAGAGAGCCAAATCAGGAATGCAATCCCATTCCCAACTGCCAATACCTAGGAATACAGTTAACCAGGAAGGTGAAAGATCTCTAAAATAAGAATTACAAAACACTGATCAAATAAATCAGAGATGACACAAACAAATAGAAAAACATTTCATGCTTATGGATCAGAAGAATCAATATCATTAAAATGGCCATACTATCCAAAGCAACTTACAGGTTCAGTGGTACTCTTATCAAACTACCAATGACATTCTTCACAGAACTAGAAAAAATATTTTTAAATTCATATAGAACCAAAAAAAGAGCCAGAATAGCCAAGGCAAATGTCCAGAATGGCAACTAATAAAAAAGAACAAATCAGAGGCATCACGCTACCTGACTTCAATCTGTACTACAGGGCTACGGTAACTAAAGCTGCATGGTACAGGTACAAACACAGACACACAGACCAATGGAACAGAATAGAAAGCATAGAAATAAGTCGGCAATGGACATAGATTTCATGACAAAGACGCCAAAACAATTGCAACAAAAGCAAAAATTGATAAATGGGATCTAGTTAAACTAAAGAGCTTCTGCACAGCAAAAGAAACTATCAACTGAGTAAACAGTCAATCTACAGAGTGGAAGAAAATATCTGCAAACTACGCATCTGACAAGTCTAATGTCCAGCATCAATAGGGAAATTAAATTTACAAGAAAAAAATCAACCCCATTAGAAAGCGGGCAAAGAACAAGAACAGACACTTTTCAAAAGAAGACACAGAAGGCTAACAAGCATATGAAAAAAGCTCAATATCACTGATCATTAGAGAAATGCAAATCAAAACAACGATGAGATAGAATCTCACACCAGTCAGAATGGCTATTATCAAAAATAAAAAATAACAGATGCTGGAGAGGTTGTCGAGAAAAGGGAATGCTTATACACTGTTGGTGGGAGTGTAAATTAGTTCAACCATTATGGAAAGCAGTTGGCAATTCCTTGAAAAGCTGAAAACAGAACTACCAATTGATCCAGCTATCCCATTACTGGGAATATATCCAAAGGAATAGAAATCATTCTGTCATAAAGATCCACATGCATAAGTATGTTCATTGCAGCACTATTCACAATAGCAAAGACATGGAATCAACCTAAATGCCCATCACTGGTAGACTGGATAAAGAAAATGTTGTACATATACACCATGGAATACTCTGAAGCCATAAAAATGAAGGAGATCATGTCCTCTGCAGGGACATAAATGGAGCTGGAAGCCATTATCCTTAGCAAACTAATGTGGGAACAAAAACCAAATATCACATGTTCTCACTTATAAGTGGCAGCTAAATGATGAGAACCCATGGACACAAAGAATGGAACAAGAGACACTGGGACATACCAGAGGGTGCAGGATCAGAGGAGTGAGATGAACAGAAAAAAGATTACTATTGGGTAGTAGGCTTAGTACCTGGGTAATGAAATAATCTGTACAACAAACTCCCATGGCACAATTTTCCCCATATAACAAACCTGCACATGGACTCTGAACCTAAAATAAAAGCGTTTAAAAATTTTAAAAAAGGAAATAATATAGTCAGAAAAGACCATGTATTATACTAGTCTATTTATGTGAAACGTCCAGAGGGGCAACTTTTTAGAGACAGAAAGTAGATGAGTGATTGTTTACAGTGGAGGCAGGGGAGGTTGTTGATTGTTGTGAGGCAATTGTGGAGTGATAGCTAAAGGGTACAAGGTTTTCTTTTCGGGTAATTAGAATTTGCTGAAACTGATTGTGGTAACAGTTGCACAATTCTGTGAATATACTAAAACAATTGAATTGTACACATTAAATGGCTACATTTTATGGTATATGAACTTTATCACAATAAAACTGTTACGAAAAAAGTTTCCAATGTAACAAAATGATAATCAGCCTTCAGCTGAAATTCTATCAACTTCAAACAATATTTTATTCAACAAACTTAGATTTAGACAGTTTTAAAAAATACCTTGTACAAAGATTGTGTGTGCAAATAGTAGTTTGGTGAGAACAAATGCTATTCTCAAATTGCCTATTTAGGTGCCAGGGAATTTGACCAAAAAAATCACAACTCCAGAATTACACTGATAAACAGCAGACTTTCACATGAATGCCTTCTGCCCCTTCTAAGTTTTTTTTTTTGTTTCATTGTGAAAGGCCTAACTGTCTGGAATTTCACTTATGGTGTGACGCAAATAGGATTTCTTAAAGACAGGAAGGTTCAATAGCAGAAAGATGATTAGTCAGTGGAGAGGAATTTCTAACATCCTGGTTGACTTTTAGCAGAGTCTACTCACTTTCTTTTCTCTTTCAGTGTTACTATGGGGATCATGGAACTATAACCACATGTGATTTAGACAGGAAGTGTCTTAAACTTTATTAGAAACAAAAGAGCAGAGGGCAGCAGCACCAAGTGGTGAGCAGGACTGGACCCCAGAGCCGGAGGTCCATTCTTGGCCCTGTCAAGGGTCACTGGGTGAGGCTGGTGACTTGTTTATGTCTCTCAGGCTGACTTTCCTGTTTGTTATACATTTTCAGAGCAGATCCTGGGAAAATATGTATCAGCTTATTGACTTTAAGTGTTTTTAGAAAACTCTCTACAATAGAGTTCTCACTTTAATTAAAAAAATTAAAAACAACACTATAGTATGACACTCCATTATCAAGTAAGTTTAAATAGGGGAGATAGAAAAACATTGTTACTGGCTACATCTGAACGGTCTAGAGGTAAATAGTTATTCTAAAAATAAATGTATTTTAGGTGTAATCTTTTATGTTGTTTAAGGAGATTATACTAGGGACTGATGAGAAAATTTCTGAATAGTTACCTGTAGATCCCACTTCATGTGAAATTGAATACTTTGGTCCATATGACAAACTAATGGCTGAGGGAAATGCCATTACGAAAAACCGTGTATGTGCACATTCACATGTGTGTATGCATGTTTGTAATGTGCTCATAACTTAGACATAGTATTTGTAAGAATTCAGCTATTGCAACAGGACAAGAGACACAATTAGCAACATTATCCAGTAGTCTAAGTGTCTTTTGTATAAGCTATTCAGAATTTTAAATGTTAAGGTAATTTAAAAAATAAGATGTCTAGTTTGCTAGTAAACTTAGCATTCATGTTGGCCATTTGTGAAACATTATTTTAAGTGATTATTTAAATCCTTTAAATTGTAATGTATGATTGTCTAGACTTCACCCTTGTAAGACCGGGTATGACGCTGTTAGACAGTGGCATTCTGAGATATTCCTTCTGAGTACAGAGTGAATACTTTCTGACAAAATGGATTTAAAATATTCCTTACACTGGTACAACTCAAAGAAGAGCTCAGATTCAACAAGAAGCAGGAAACCTTGGTTCCTCATTCCCACTCCATCTGTCTTCCTCACATCCAGTCATTTTTCCTCATACAGGAAAAATGTGTGTGACACAGATTCCATGTGTGTATTTTGTGAATATATACAGAGCATTAATGATGGAGAGTAAGAGAGCTGCAGCATCATACTGACTGTTCTTGGGTTAGGGGAAAAGAAGCTGAACTCATGTTACAGGTTGGTCATAGGATCCGAGTCCAGCTCAGCTCAACTGTGACTCACAGAGAGGAGTCTGTTCCATCAGCTCCATGCTGAAAGAGGCAGTCACAGTCAGTGGTAAGCTGGTTCAGCAGAGCCAATGTCCCTTATGGTTCATTGTCTATAAAGTCCCTGTTAGAGGATTCCTATTCTAGCAAGTGGAGTTAGCAATATCACAGCAAATTCTTACCCTGCCTTCAAAAATTCTAAGTCTGTGAGCACAGATGTTGTGTAGAACTTTTATCGAATTAGGAATTGTAGCATTTATTATTATATATATTTTTGAGACAGAGTCTCACTCTGTCACCCAGGCTGGAGTGCAACTGCACGATCTCAGGTTACTGCAACCTCCGCCTCCTGGATTCAAGTGATGCTCTTTCCTCAGCCTCCCCAGTAGCTGGGGTTACAGGCATAAGCCACTATGCCTGGCTCATTTTTCTATTTTTAGTAGAGACGGGGTTTCACCACATTGGCCAGGCTGGTTTGGAACTCCTGACCTCAAGTGATCTGCCTGCCTCAGCCTCCCAAAGTGCTGGGATTACAGGCATGAGCTACCATGCCTGGCCTGTAGAATATATCATAAAATGTTAAATGAGGAGGGGTGGAAGGTGTATTCTGAAAAGTCTGACATTTCCTAGGAAAATATGTATTTTTCATGTTAAATCCCATATTACTCCATACTATCTGGACTAATTATATCAGGAATGCTCTATTTGTTTAGGTAAATTCAAGACAGAATGGTTGAT
Source organism: Homo sapiens (assembly GCF_000001405.40). Lineage (NCBI taxonomy): Eukaryota > Metazoa > Chordata > Mammalia > Primates > Hominidae > Homo > Homo sapiens. The sequence continues at coordinate 94,181,500 of NC_000007.14, read as the reverse complement.
TAATTCCAAGGGCTAAGTAGCATAAATAAACCAATTTAGGAGCCAACTGGAAATGATGTTGGGGCAAGAACTATACCTGCATTTAAGGTGAACTAATGTAAATTGATGTGCTTTGGAACTTGTAGCACATTTGCTTAAGGTAACATATTATTATAATAATTGAAGAATATTATGGTTTTTAACATTACTAACTCTGCATGATTTAATTTTAGATGCATGCCAGTAAGAATTATGATTAAACACCTGTTTTCATGACATGCAGCCTTTCCTAAAAATTATGCACATTTGTTTTGCCAGGGAACTTTCTTTAAGTGTATAGAAAAACTTTTTTTCTTTTTGGTATCCTCTCAAATGTCAATAAAGATGCCCAAATAAATAAGTCCTGAGTCAATGTAATCAATTAACAATTTTTATAGTTTATTGCCTATGAACCAGGGATTTAAATCCTGCTCTCTCTTTTCCATCACTAAAATTCTGGGAAACAAATACTACAGAAACATCTTTTATTGATTGATTGATTGATTGTCCTTGGACAGGTCTGAAACCAATAACAAACCTACACAAATGGGGCAGTCCAGAAAGGGATAAGGCAGTATGCTAATCACTTTGCATCCACTATCTCACTGGATCTCTACAAGACCCTGAAAGATAAATAGCAACGACTATTAACTGGTGAGAAAGATTAGCTCTCTAAATGATCTGCCCTGGTTTCAAGTAGCTACTCGCAACTCTACCTGCCTCCAACTGAATGACATCCTTTCTTTTCTCTGGGTTTCTGCCTCTATAAGAATACTCTTGGCTAAAATATCACCTTACAGTCTTACATGAGAGGAGGAGGGATGGGAAGGGGAGAGTAGAGATGCTCTGGCTTCAAGCTTCTGCTCCAAGAATTCTCCCTTTTGGAGACAGCCTCATATTGCCTTTGCTCCTTCTCGAATGATGGGCCTTATTCTTCATGTGTGAGTCCTAAACGAGAGTGTGGTAAGCAGAATAATAGCCTCCAAAGATGTTTGTGACTTAATTCCCAGAAGCTCTACCTATGTTAGCTTGTATGGCAAAGGAGATTTAAGGTTGCAGATGGAATTAAAGTTGCTAATCAGCTGGCCTTTAAAGAGATTATTCTGGATTATCCTGGTGGTCCAATGTTATCACAAGAGTTCTTAGAAGTGGAGGAAAGAGGCAGAGACTCCAGAAAGGAACCTGGCCCTGCCACCATGTTGATTTTAGTCCAATGAGATTCTTGTTGGACTTCTAACCTAGAGAACTGTCAGATAATTTGTATTCTTTTAAGATTCGACATTTGTGTAATTTATTACAGTAGCAAATATTAAACTAATGCATAAAGCCAACCCAGTGTTCTTCTGAGTATGGGAAAGATAGAACAGCTTTCAGTCTCTCCCTACCCCTGCCCACTTGTGTATTTTCATACAGATGGGTCACTTAGTTGGACCAAAGAGAAGTGAGGGCCCGTGGCAGTGTTTTATGGTTTTCTAGAACCAAGATGCCTTGACACTGGAAGGTCAACCTTCAACATGTAAGGTCAGAGGCACTTTACTGTGAAGGTTATTAGGAGACCAACACCAGGATATAGTTGGATTTCTAATAACCATTTTAACAAATAATCTGGAGAAGAAAAATATGTGAAAGTTATGATAACATTCCATCCTCAAGAATAAAAACTGTCAGATAAATTTAGATAATGCTTATCAGGTAAATGAAGCTCATATAGCTTGGCAGGTCTTCAATCTGTACTTTGGACCAAAATAGCAAAACTGTTATGAAATTGGCTTTGGGGCCTGGCAGACCTGATATCAAGGCCTTGCTCTGCACTCTAGTTGGGTGATTTTAGGCATCTACGTAGGCTTGAGAGAGCCAAAGCACAGAGCTGTAGCCCAAAAGCTTCCACTTAGTACCTCAACCCATGAGTCATGAATTACAGAGCAGGGATACACATTGTAAGAACTTTGTGAGATACCTTAAAATGTGTCACCCCCTGATTAATTATGTTGATCACCTCCTGTTTATTTGCCTCTTAATGTTAAGCAGTACGACACTTAAATGTAAGTATATCTGGTGTGAGTCTTTAGTGGTAGCAAAGAAAGGATGAGGAAAGTGGGTAGAAGGGATGAAGGTGGGAAGAGTTGAAAAGAATGTGACCTGTTTTATATCCAGTTATGAGGGGGATGGCCCAGAAATCCAAGTCATAGAGAGGGTACTGGTCCCCCAGAAAGGAGAGGGAAGTGGGCTAAGTTCCTGGGCCTGTGGTGGTGAACCAATGTCTGGATGCACCTGAGAAGGAACCCTGGGCCCTTTGAATGTCTGGATCGGGAGATTACTCCTTGCACAGGTCACAGTCTCCTTATAAACCTACCTTATTTCATCCATTCTTAAGAATTTCTCGAAAACCTTATCTTGAATTTAATTAGTTAGGTACTACTGACATTGGAAACTTGAAAAAACAAACAAAAAAAAGAGAGAGAGAGAGAGACTTAGAGAAAGACTCTTCCTTAATCTTCCCTGGTTGAAGTTGGTTGGATGGGGTGTAGTGGGAGCATGAGAAAGTTATTGTGGAAAGGAGGCAGAAGAGCTGGTGGCAGAGCTTTTGCTGAAAACTAAAATGATTTGAAAGCAGCAAAAGACATGAAAATTACTTTCCCATAATTATGGCTAGAAATGATTTTTTGATGCCTTCATGTTGATTTCTTGTATCACCTTCTGGAGGCCTGGAACTTCATATTCAAGATACCAGGTTATAACATTTAAATTAAAATGACCTTAAAGTTTTTTTTTTTAATTCCGTGCTTTGAATCCGGGTAATGTTAACCTTGATTTTGTTTGACCCACTGGAAATGTTTCCACTTGGCTCATTTCTGTGGGCAGCAATGGATTAATTCTTTCAGTGCCCAGCATTCTGCCCATTGCTGATTTTGGCTCTGGGCAACAACAGCTCATCTCTGGACTCACCTCTATTCCCCGGTAGGAAAAAAGGAACTCTCAGTGATGAGGGACTAACCTTGTGGGTAGCAGGCAGTTTTTGTGGTCAGATGGGTAAAACCAAGGCAGGCAAGGACTGACAGTCACAAATGCAGTTTAATAATTTCTCTCTTTTTCTTCCATTCTCACTTTTCAGTTTCCGTTCTCATTCTCATGACTACTCAACATATTCATGACTTCTCTTAAACTTCTGAACTACTCTTAAGCCCTTCGTTTATCAGGAAACCTCATCTCCCATCCTGTGGAAAAGGGAGAACCCCCATAACCTCCCTTAATTTTCCATGAATGCCAAGCTGTGTGGACCCCTCCATAGCTCCTTCTTTTCTGTCCTCCCCTGATCTAATATTTCTTCCTCTCTATTGGTTCGTTCTCTTCTGCTATATACGTGCTCAAAAGTCTCATTTTCTACAACCTAACATTTCTTACACAATATTGTCTGCTCCAGAAGCTCCCAAGCTCTCTCCTGTCCTTCATCAATGTAGTTTTTAAGTGGAAAGTATCCACTTGCTGTTTTATTTTTCCATTCCATTTTTATTGCTCACCACACAGAAATTAAGCTTCTGCCCCTTCCTTTCTAACGAGGCTGTTCCTATGGTGGTCATTACCATATACTTACTTCCTAATTGCCAAATCTAGTTTTGTCATTTCAATTATTATTGTATTTTATTTTGAAACGATTATTCGTAACCATTTTGTTCCTGCCATTGTTTTAAGCATTTTCCATATATTATCCAATCTAGTTCTCAACATATTCCTGTGTATTAAGTGTTATATTTCACATTTTATAAAGAAGGAAGCAGCTTTGCTTGACACTATTAACAACTTCCTCCATCTGGCACATTTTCTCCTCTTGGTTTCTGTAAGACGACTGTAGTCATCTTTATTTTTTTCTGACACCCATTCTTTCTCAGTGACCTAAATCAATCCCACATTCATATCTGTGTGCCTGTCTCAATATCCTTTCCCCTTGTGTTCCTGATTCATGTTTTTAACTACATAATTAGTATCTCTCCATTCATGCTCAAGAAAACAAGCCTAACTCATTATCCTACCATTCATGTTTTTGGTATACATTTATAGAATCTGTAGACTCTATATCACATGCCTGGAATTGTTTGCTGTGCTGAGGGCATTAAGATGTGCAAAGCACAGCCCTGTCCTTGAGGACCAGGAGATGAACTTGCAAACAATTATAATACAAAGTACAGGTACTACCACAGGAGTATGAGAAGCAGCAGGTCAAGAAGCAACAGAAGGGAATCTGTAGCTGCTGGATGGTTCAAAAAAGTTTCCTAAAAGAGATGAAAACTTCCGACATCACTATGAAAAAGATTTCTAAGGAGAAAAGGAGAGAGAAAAGTAATACGTACTACAAAAGGGCCCAGCAAATACAAACGTGTGGAGGTTCTAGAGAGAGACTGGTATCTGAAGGACAGCCATGGTTTACTAGCTTAGATGCTGAGGGGTCAGCATTCTCTACACGGTTGACAACATCACTATTGAATTATTTATCTAGGAAACATCTGGCTTTCCCATCCTCTGATAAATCCTCCACAATTATTTATGATAAGAACCTTAACAAGGGCAGTGACCACAGGAAGAAAGAGAAGATATGACAGGCAAAATAAGTCCTATGGAAAATGGAGTCAACAATTTTTACAGTTGCAATCAGTATTGTTGACTCCATTTTCCATAGGACTTTTTTTGCCTGTCATATCTTCTCTTTCTTCCTGTGGTCACTGCCCTTGTTAAGGTTCTTATCATAAATTATTGTGAAGGATTTATTGCTTAAGATTTGAGAAAGGAACTCTGCCTTCTCTGTTATCAAGCCCTTAACCCTTTTCAAAAATAAATATGCCTACATATCCAGATGCCCTATTCAGCTAACTTAAAATTATGCTGGTTTTGAATTTTGAAATAGAACTAAGCAATTTTGAAAACATCAGAATAACTTTTCTCAATGTGAAATCAGTTAACAGTGAACCCCATTTTTTTTTAATTTATGGAAGGTATTCTTGTCATTTTACTTATCAGAGTGCAGTGATCAGCATCAGAGACCAGGAAGACATGGTTATATCAAGTGCAAGAAAACTTAAGGGATAAACAAGGGTGTCTCTGAAAAGAATGTTAGGAGAAGAATGTGTCAGTGTGTCAGTAAAAGGACTTGGAATATGATGATTACCAAAGAAGCTATGGAAGAAGCCAGAAAAGCCAGCTATATTTTGTTAAGAGATAAAGGAAGAAAAAGAAATGGTAATGGGTGATATATTTATGCAGTCATGTTCCCAGCTGCACCACACCATGGGCTGAGATGGCTTTGAGTGAATCTTAATCCTCACCCTAACAAATGGTTTATGTGTGAAAATAATACTTTGTTTCTTTTCTCTTAATTCTTTTTCAAATAGTTTTGTAGATTTTGTTTTATCCTCACCCTAACTTTACGGATAGGAATTATTATTGTTCATTTCACAAAGGAAAGAAACTGAGGCAGAGTGGTTAAGAGGTTTGCCTAAGATTTTCAAAAAGCTAGTAATGAACAGAGCTATAATCAGTTCAGTCATACAAGAACTCTTGCTATTACATGAGCCTAAGAGTCAAGTATTGAGAGGACTGAAATTATGTACCAAAATACAGAATTCTTGAATGCTGATTCTGAAAATTTTGTAAATCAATATAAAATTTGCAGACATGCTAAATACATTTTCTAGAAAATATCTGAAAGTTACTTGCTCTAAGCTTGGATGATAAAGTTTTGTTCTTTGTTAATATTATTTGCTCAGGCATGTTCCAAATTTCATATAGCCATCTTATTATCTCCATATTTGCAAATATAGCTATCATACTGGACACTGTAATTTGGGCCTTACTAAATTAGTCATCATATAATTTGGTATTTGGTAAATTTGGTTATCATATAAATAACCACAACAGGTGTTAAAAAAACTATATTGTATTGCTTACTTCCTGCCAATATGTCTCTTTTCCTCTTCTAACTATGTAAAAAAATTACTTTTTGTTTTTCCCTTTTTAAAAATCAGCTACAGTATTAAAAGGAGGAAATGTGTTTCTCACAGTGCTAGGTCCGTTCTCATGGGATCGAATAACAGAGTCCTGGCTAAGGGCTCAAATGCCCTGCTCAAATCCTCAGACAATTCCAACATCCCCAAAAACTCTGAAAGGAATAAGTAAAATTAACTTCAGTTGTTTCCTTAAATATATCTTGTAGAATTTTATAAATGTACATATTAGTTTGTTGTCACACTGCTATAAATACCCAAGACTGAGCAATTTATAAAGGAAAGAGGTTTAAATGACTCACAGTTCCATATGGCTGGGAGGCCTCAGGAAATTTACAATCATGGCAGAAGGAGAAGCAGGCATGTATTACATGGCAGCAGGTGAGAGAGAGTGTGTATAGGAAAAACTGTCAAACACTTATAAAACCATCAGATCTCGTGAGAACTCACTATCACGAGAACAGCATGGGGGAAACTGCTCCCATGATCCAATCACCTCCCACAAGGTCCTGCCCTCAGCACCTGGGGATTATGGGATTATAATTCAACATGACATTTGGGTGGGAACACAGAGCCAAACCATATCAATGTACTTATTGCAATCTGCTATGGCTGTATTTTCAAGACTAGGGACAATTGTGACAGAACCTGACAGTCATGAGACAAGCTTATTAACCTCATTCTTTTACCTGTGGTAGAGGCATGTGAGTGGGCCCCCGCACTGTTGATGACTTCTTCCCAAATGTCAAGTCTTTCTTAAGTCTTTAAGGGATGAAATACTATCCAAGGTCAAAAAGAGCCCTTTTTAGTCTCCCCTTCAGGTTCTGTGAATTTGCTCTCTCCAGGGATGGATGGCGGAACTGCTATAGTACCCGACAAACAGGAAATCTCCAGAGCAATTCTGTATGTACAGCCTGCTTTTCCTTGCTTTCATCAAGTTTAATCTATTTCCTTTAACAGTGCGTAATTTCAGACAATACATGCATGTTCTCTAGAGCTTTCCTGTGGGTTGTATTTGGGGAGAGATTATTTTTACTATGTTTTGTCAGTTTGCCTTACTTGAAAGTCATGTATTTGGAGAGATTGCGACTCCTCTCTCTCTCCCTTGGATTCTTGTAAGCTCTGTCTTAACTTCATATTTTAGGATGATCTGGAAACTGAGAAAAGGGAGGAGCTATGCTAAATATTAAGATGTTGCTTACCTCTCTCTACTACTATGCTAGTGAATAACATAAGGAGACAAGATTCCACAAATTAGTAATTTTTTACTAATATTTCTGTGGTTCATTAACAAATTCACCTATCACATTTGAAGTTTAATAAATCACATAGGAGACAATGTTTTAAAACCATAATTGCTTTAATCAGGTAAAAGGATACCACGGGGTCTGACTTTACGATGGGGTGAGGGATTGCTATTTACGTAACTGCAAAGGTACTTTTTTAGTTTAAGCAGCTCATAAAATTGGAAGGAAGACTAAGAATACTTCTGTCCAAAAGCAACATAATGCAAGCCACATATGTAATTTTTAATTTTCTAGTAGCCTCTCCTGGGAGATAATTATCCATGATATCTCATGTTTCTTACGGGCAAGGCAGTAATTGTCCTTTTGTTCTTGTCTGTCTTTGAAGGATGTTTGTATAAAAAAGAACTTTGGAAGATAGAGATAGTGTGTCACTCTGGAAGAAAGGGTAGATGTTTGTTGTCTGGTATAATAATGTCTCTCTCCAATGCAGAAGTCAGGTAGGTTTGCTTCTAGTTCATCATAAAAGATTTTAATTCCCTCAGCTGTTAAATGAACAAACTGCACATACACAGCCCACTTGGGCTACTCTGCATTGCTCCCAAAGGACTTGGAGGAACAATGGGAACTGATTGTTTCCAAATACGAAGCTCATGTGGTTGGCGGTAGCATGGGTAATATATTCCTTTATTTCTGACTCAGGAGAATCATGTCTTCTGTCAGCATCCATGAAAATGTGGCAGGTTAACTTGTTAGCCTGAAAGTAGGATTAAAAACTCAGACTTTCACAGTTCTAAAGAGTCACATTGAAAAAAGTAAAGGGATAAAATTAATTAAAATAATGTACTTTATGTAACCCAACATATCCAAAATATCATTTCAACATGTAATCAATATAAAAATTAATCAGATGTTTCAAATTTTTAATACTAAGAATGTCTTCAGATAATAGAGAAATGGATGAACTCATATTTGGTGTGTATTATACATAAATCATGGGAAAATGCAGGCAATGTAACAGGGGTCAAAAGACCATATTCATGAACTCATGAATATGGTTGAAACACTAGGAAAAGACTTAGCTAAAACAGAATCTATGAAAAACCATCTTATACTCTGTAAGTAGAAGATGCATAAGAAGTTAAAAATGAGATAGAGACATTAATGCTCATCAAATATTTCACTTGTTCCTTTACGCTTCCTGGCTCTCTCACAACATGACACTTTTCTAAGTGAGACTTTGAAAGCCCATGTGCAATTTCCAGTCTTTTATCCTCTGAATAAGACATTTTTATTTACAACATCTGATCCCACATATTCATGCAGATTGTGCATCTACAAAGTGGTGAAGCTTCCACCAGCCTCCACTATGTGTAAAATTGGCACTAATATTTGTTATATTAAACCACTGACATTATGAGGATGTTTGTTAGCACAAAAAAACCTAGAAAGCGCTGACTAATACATACATTAGAATTCTTTTTACTTTCTGCAGCTCTGAGAAGCTACAATTATTTCTTCTTTTAGCATTATAATCATTTATTGATGTCAAATATAATATAATTTAGCTGAAAATTAAAAAAAAATCTAAAACCAAGACCTTCTAAGGGTTTTTATTTTTCAGTAGAATGTATTGATGGATATATTGTGTTGTGGTAATAAGTAGGGATACAAGTTGTTGGTAAAATATGGATTCTATGTCAAGAAACTTGAGTTTTAATTCTGGTTTATCATTGGTGCATAACCTTTGCTGAGTTACTTCACCTCTCTGAGCCTCCTCCTTTACTTACAAATGATAAATAATATCAAATACACCTTTACATTGAGATTTTATTATTATTTCACTGTAAAAAGACAGAATAAATTAAGACAACATTCATCTCTCATAGCTACTGTATAGTTCTACTTTCAGAGAAGAATTATATTAATACTTCAAAAATGTACTTTAAATATTTTCATTCTTAATTCCAAATCAAAAATTTTGGTTAGTGTTTATTGTTTTGAAACTGGTTATCTTGATTTCTTGAGAAAAAATAATATTTTCTAAAATGATGGTAGTTGATTGTGGTAAAATTGTATTTAGTGATAGAGCAATCTTGTATGAGCTACAATTAGTTTATGAGTTCATCTCTAATTCCTGGTAAGTGAAGAGAGGTATATCAAAGCCCAACAAGCCACTCAGATGCACTGGCATTTATTGAAAGGATTCAGAGATTGTTTTTTATGTATAATGATTGCATTTTTCTTCTGGATTTGGCCCCACAAACATAACATATCCCCTCACTACCACAAAAATACACATGCATACTCTGGCTTAATTTTTGTTGCTGTTGTTGAGCCAGTGACTTTTTAAATTGTGCTGATGAGTTGGAGAAAGAAATATTTAAAAATCTCAGTCCAGACACTCAGAGCCACTCCAAAAACCTTGCGCCCTCCTCCTGCTCCCCAAGGTTGTGTCGACACTTAATTCTTTAAGTATTCATTCTATGAAAATATATAATATGGTGATGATCACTTAAAACATGATTCTTCCACAATATTTTAGAAGCAATAGATACTACTGTCAGGTAGATTGGAGAAAGGGCATTGGATGGAAAATATAAAAATTAAATCACTTTTTAAGAAAGTAAAACTTGAGAATAATTCAGTCATCCCTTTGGGTTTGGAAATTGAGCAGGAGCTCTTTTGACCAACTTTGAATTAGCCACCTTGCCAGATTAACTCTCACTTTCCATTCTCTCTGTAATCATACTGATGGATGTCCGTGGTGTACTTGGTGCTCATGGCTAAGTGGCTACTCTTTGGCCAGCCCACATTCTTCTGTGGCTTCCAGTTGGGTTGTAGGCTTACTAAAAAAGAGTTAGTTGTGCTTGTTGCCAAACCTGTTAGTGCCAACTGTACTAATTGCATATAATATGTACATAATTATGTAATTGCACAAAATTTCAACTAATATTGAAATTATGGTATTTAATTAGATATAAACAAACCAATAAAATACAAGTTTAAAGAGCTCTTGTTTCTATGGACTCTAAGTGGCATACTTTGGAAATACCAAAAAGAAATGGGTTGTTTAAAATAGTTCTTGTCATATTAGCTTGGGATAAGAACACTGTAAAAGATGGTGTGTTCTTAGGGGAATTTCCTTATTCAGGTTGCTTCACAAGTGTCATTACATTTTTGCTCCACATTAAAGAAAGTGAAACTGGAAACTGAAGATGACACATTACAGGTTTTGTTCAAGAAAGATGATGTAGAACTCTGATCATGTGATCTTCACTTAATAAAAAGACCTTAGCTCCCCAATAAAAGATGAACATATGTAGTGGCAAATAAACATACATTCATAGTTTTAAGTTAAAATGTTTAGGATGTATGTCCTAACTATAAACTGGGTTTTTGATTAACTGAACAACTACTGGTCCAAGTCATGTTAGAGAAGTAAGCACCTACAAACATGGATTCAAATTAATTTTCCTTAAGTGCAACTTTGGAATTTACAACACTTCCTCAGTTTTGTATGGTTGTCTAAGAGAGTTTGGAAAAGAGATTAGGAATCTCAGGGGACAAAAAGCTAATAATGTTGCTGCCACCCCAACACAAAGAGAATGATTGTTTTCAGAATTTAATAAGCTGGAGCAAGAAGAGAACCTCAATCAAAGTGACTGTGGTAAATGCTGAGACTCCATTTAAAAGCTGATATAGGGGAGAATAAACTGTCTTCTCTGAAACACAAGGCACACGACTATAGAAAAAGAGAGGATTAGAAAGAGAGGGACAGATTCAAGATGGGGAGAGAGAGAAAAAAAAACAAGAGAATAGCATTAGAGAGGGAGGAGGAAGGTGGAAGTGAGAGGGGAGAACAAGAGAGATAAGGCAAGAAAATGCATATTCATGTATTCTTAAGGATCCCACTTTGTCCCAAATTTTTCTGTGTTTGTTTTTTATGTTAGAAATCCATCAATATTCAAGACAGCGTAGGAACTATTGACCTTTTCAGTTAAATCACTGTTCACATTTTTAAATGCAGCTCTGAGCATTCAAATTTTGATCATCTTACAATATAAGAAAATTTATGATTGTATGAGCCATTCCTTGTTTTCTTATCAATTTAAATGACCAAAAGAGGCTATCTTTGCCGCAGGCTAGATTTTCTGAGAAACAGTCGCTGAGATGGAAATTAGCATACAGACAGTTTATTAGGGAATGTTCTCTGGATTAGCCATCATGGAAGGGAAGCAGAAGTAGGCAGAGGGAATAGTTGGGCTGTAGTCTGCCAATGGGTCCAGAACTTTACGCAACCTCAATAAATTCCTCAGTGAGTAGAGGCAGCCTAGCAAAGCAGTCCTCTCCAGCCAAGGGCAGTGACTGAGGGTTGAGAGCTGTCAGCGGGCCACGCTCAGTCCTGAGGGCAGTATAGCATCTATGACAATCTTTGTGTTCTATTTTGGGACCAGTGTGGCTTAGTGGGGAAATTGTAGCCATTGGAGATAGGCATTCAGTTCCAATACTAACTTTATCATGAGCTGTGAAAATTGGACAAGCTATTTAACTTCTCATGTTTCTCTCTGTGTCCTCATCTATCTATTACTTTGATTTCCATGGGAGGATAAAAGGAGTTAATGTTTATAAGAGACGGGCAAATAGTAGGTGCTCAATTAATATTGGAATATTGGCTCCCTCCCACTGTTTTACAATTGATTAAAGGGATCTATATAGCCTTTTTAAAAACCTGGACACTTTTCTCTTTATATCCTCCTTATTCTACTTGCCATTTAGAGAAGAAAATTAATAATATTTCTCAAGCTATGTAGTTTAACATGCTACTGTTCATGCTTCCAAAGAAAAATTGTATATAAAAATTTTCCAACTAAACTAGAATTCATGTATTTTAAGGAAGAAAAAAGCTAAATCAAAGAAATAGCCTTTGTATGTTCTTCTACTTAACTGGAACCAGAGATAGAGTATTCCCGTTAACACCTAAGATGTTTTATAATCTTCTCCCCTGATCCTAAGGTTCTAGGGCTTCTGGCATATTCTCACACTCACCCAATACTTTTTCCTCAAAGGAACTCAGGACTATAGTAGCTACTGGTCCTTCTTCTAGACCAATGGGGCTAAGTCCCATTGAGCCTGAGACATGATAGAGTACTGGTAGAGTGATTCATAAAGTGTAGTCTCTGAGAATTAAATGGAAAATTGTTACAGGCATAAGTTCTCAGGTCCCAATCCAGACCTATTGAATCAGAAACTACAGAGGTGTTATTCAGCAGTCTCTGCTTTAACAAGTCTGCCAGGTGACTTTAATACACACTAAAGTTTGAGGATCACTAGAGTCGTATATCAGTCAGTGTCCCAACAGGAAACAGAAGCCATATGCAAATTAGAATAACTCAAGAAAGCCTAATAAACTATAAAGTTATCGAGGGTGTAAGGGAAGCTCCATCACCCTAGAGTTTGAAATGACAAAATCATTACCATCCCTAGGCCTGAAGGAATGAGGGGAGTAAGAGGTTACTGGAACCCAAAATGAGAGGGTCCTGTGGAGGATGCCTTGAGAGGAGTGGCACCTCTAGAACACAGGCCGGGTCTTAGTTTCCCGCAAGAGGTAGTTTTCTTCTTCCTATTTTCTGTTGGAGCTCTCCAGTAGTTGAATCCAATCAGAAGCCAGAGGCAATGGGTCCTGTGGATGTCTTATTAATATATGATAGGGAAGCATAAGTTGGGTCTAAATGGGCAAATGAAAGATACTCAGTGTAAGTAGTAAAACTTAAATGTCAGTGTTGTTATTCATTTAAAAGGTCTGTCTCCCTTAATTTTAGTCTTTCCAGGCAGCTAATTATTTCTGCTTTACTTTAGAAGCGACTGCTTTGCACTCTGAAGGAGTATCCCTTGTTTTTATCATTTAAGGTTATTATTGGCAAGAATCTGAAAAATAGGTGAAACTCTTAAGGCTAGAGATAAACTTGAGTTCAGAGAATTACATCATTTTTGTCTTTTTCTAGTATTTACCATCATAGGCATTGCTACATTTAAAGCTAAAAATATGCCTGCATAACTGGCCAAAAAATGAAGAAATGAAAGTATTAGTGAGGATGAAAAGCCATGGTAATTGTCTACATTGCTAATGGCAATTGGTACAAAAATCTTTGGGAAAAAGTTTGACAATACCTAAAAATATAGAACAGGTACCCTATCACTCAGCAATTCCAATCTCAGATTTATCCTAGATTAACTCATACTCATAAAATTAATAAGGTTGTTTTGCTTGTAATAACTAGAAAATAAGCATGACTCCAAAATTCATCAAAAGTAGATTATTGATAAATAATCAACAACAATACCGTGTTGATATTGTTACACCAAAGAATACCAACAAAAATAAATGAACTGCAGGTAAGTACATCAACATGAATGAATCTCTCAATTTTTTTTTAAATAAAATAAACAGGTCAACAAAGTGTACATATAATATTATTCCATTTACATAAAGTTCAGAAGTAAACAAAACTAAGTAATATGTCATTTAGGGATGTATCTATATATGGTAACACTACTAAGAAACAAGGCACTTATTACAAAAGTCAGGATTGTGGTTATACATGGTTATGTAAGTGTTTATATACATATACAATATATATGTGGTTACACATTGTGAAGTGGTTGAAATACAAATATCCATTGAAATTCAGGTTGGCACAGTGGATCAGTTGTACCTTTGGCTATTTTATTTTGCTGCAGATTGTCTGCTTGAAAGTTGTCTGATGTGTTAACTTCAGATATTTCTGGTTCTTTTGCCACACCTGAACCTGGTATTGGAATAATACCTGGTGTGACCCTTTGCTTGACAACTATATTTCTGTCCCACTTAAAGAGTCACTCTGTTTTCCTATGGGTGGTAAAATTAATTGGCTCAAATATAAGCTTCTTTTTATTCAAACAATAGTTACCATAACAAAATGTGTATTATGTAAACTTTAAAGCATACATAAACATTGAGAGAATATATAATGAATACGCATTTGTTCCCCACCCAGCTTCAACAATTATTAATGCTTTTCAAAATGGTTTCTTATAACCAAATTTAGATTTTAAAAAGTGGCATTGGCTTTTTTGAGTGCTGCATGTGCATAGAAGTAGAATGAACATATTTTGGAATTTAATAAATTTGAAATATATTTCAGTTCATTGCTTACACCACTTCTATGATTTAGAGCATTTTTAGTTATTTTTTATGTAGTAGAATAAATTACATTTTTAATAGCATCTCATATGGTTGCCTGAGGTAATACAGTCTCATTCTGAATTACAATTCAGTAAAACAAAATGTATTATTTGTTTCCTAAATTAAGCACCAGCATTGTTGAAGGAATTAGGATTTAAGGTTAAGAATTTGAAGTTATTATCTGGCTGATGTCCAGTGTTTTCTACTGAACAATAGTTAAGGTATATTATAACCATTATCAGAGGAAACTTAGATTTAATTTTAAATGTATAGACACTTTCACTTGTAAGTCATGTTAATTTTATACCTTTGGATTATTCTAAGAATCTGATATTGATAACAGATATTATATTCCCATAATAATATTTACAGATCTGTTATTCCTTCAAGTCTAAATAATTGTAACCAGTTTTAGAAGTAAGGGAAAGAGAAATACTCCACTCTTCCATGCATATGGCTTGCCTACAGAAGAATTAGGGAGGACCAAAGGTGAATCTTTCAAAGAATTTTAAGGTTTTAATTACAGCAGTGGATTAGTCACTGTAGTTTTGAATTGAGCCTATATTTTACATGAAGGTGCTCAGAAAAATGGTAGGACATTCCCTAAATTTCATCCAGGGGCAGAGGACTGCCGAGACCAGCCTAGTCAGGGAGACCCTAACCCAGTGGCGCTAGAGGAATTAAAGATGCACACACAGAAATATAGAGGTATGAAGTGGGAAATCAGGGGTCTCACAGCCTTCAGAGCTGACAGCCCTGAAAAGAGATTTACCCACATATTCATTAACAGCAAGCCAGTCATTAGCATTGTTTCTATAGATATTCGATTAACTAAAAGTATCCCTTATGGGAAACGAAGGGATGGGCCGAATTAAAGGAATAGGTTGGGCTAGTTAACTGCAGCAGGAGCATGTCCTTAAGGCACAGATTGCTCATGCTATTGTTTGTGGCTTAAGAATGCCTTTAAGCGGTTTTCCACCCTGGAAGGGCCAGGTGTCCCTTGCCCTCATTCCCGTAAACCCACAACCCTTCCAGCTTGGGCGTTAGACCATTCTGAACATGTTATAGTGCTGCAGAGATTTTGTTTATGGCCAGTTTTGGGGCCAGTTTATGGCCAGATTTTGGGGGGCCTGCTCCCAACAGAGGACAAAGAAGACTCATGGCATGCTTTTAAAAGTTCAGTGAAAATAAAAGTAAAGTTTCCTTTTGCATATCATCCAATAAGTTCTGCCTACTATCTTTGTATATTTCATCCAATAAGTTTATAGTGATTGCACATATAAATAATCAGAGAAGTCTGGGATTCTGTTTATACACGGCAAGTAGTCCTACTCACATGCTTTATCAACTATCAAAGGCATGTGAGAAGAACATCAATAATGGATACATCTAGTGATCATGGCCTCCCTATATCCTCCTTTCATTCCTGTGAAGATAAAACCAGGGTTGTCGACATGGTTCACGCTCTGCTCAGGGACAGGAATATTCCTAGTCTAAGGGACTAGGGCAGAGCCAGACATTAAGCTTCACACCTCCTGAAAGGGCCACACTAACACCCGTTTTATCATGATTCCACGGAAGACATTCTATTTCTTAGCAAAATCATAACTCAAGCTGTCCATGTACCTTCAAGTCCTGAAATTGTGTGGAACCATTCTAATGCAAAGTCCTCTTTTTTGGTGCATAAGCTGGGGTTATACTTTAGACATTGGTTAAATTAATACCACCTGCGGTCAAAAACTCTAACTCTTTCTGTCCTTGTAACTCAAGAAAGACAGAAATTTAGTCATTGCAACTTCCAAAATTGTTGTTCCTAATTGGTAGACAAATTTCTCTCATGTGGTGAATCAAGCAAGGTTTTAGGCTTGTTCTATTCTATGGCTCTGTCATCTTCAGCACATGGGTTTCAAGGCCACCATGCCTGTTGTATCAAGCTGGCCAAAGAGGAAAGGGCTTGGAGGAGTTTTTGTGAAACAGGCCTGAAATTGGTGCCTATCATTTCTGTTTCTATATTCTATTGATTAGAATTAAGTCATGTAGCCACCTGCAGCATTAGTGAGTAACATAGAAGGTAGAGGAAATGAGCTCTGTGATGGCTGGCCATTCTCAGCCACATTACACATTTCCTTCTTTGTGTCTGTAGGGTCCAGGTGTCTTACACTTATGTTTACTTAGGGGCTTTTTATAAACAAGGCTGGCAATGGCCTGCCACACAAGAAAGTTAAGATATTCATTCAAGTTTATGTAATTAGTTCCCTATGGCTTTTGATTTCAAGGACTAATAATATCTAATTATTCTGGCAGAAATGGTTACATTTAAGGAAGCAATATAAAGGGCACTAATTTTGGGAAACTAATGTAGCAGCTTAATATTTGCTCATTAGAGTCCATCATTGCCAACAGATTCTGTTCTTTGAAATAATTTTCATAATAACTCGACTAAGTTTCTTCATGAAAGTAAATGGTGAAGATTAACTAAAATTTTGCTTTAGGATGTAGATAATTAGTGAGTCTGTGTTTTCTAAATGTCTCTGTCATGAGGGCAGAGACGAGAATTCTAAATTCCTTCCTTGCAAAAGGGCAGCACTAAACTATACACAGAGAATTGTGAAACTTGAATGTGACTCTGACATTCAATTTCTATGGGATTTTAGAACCATAATTTCATTATTCTCTGTATCAGTAACCTCATATACAAAATATCTCTTACAGATGTTTTTAAGACAACATTTAGATGATAAGTATCAAAATATGTTTTAAAAATTTAAAGTTGCTATAAGAGTGCTAGGCAGTATTTCTTCAAATTTTGAATTACTGTTAAAGATTGATTAAAAAAAAAAAAAAAGAAGAAGAAGAAAAATGATGCCCTGGTTAAACAGAGGCCACTCAGTCAGCCTCTGGCGGACCTTATTTTTATGATGGAGATTGGTTATTTCTGGCTGACTTCTGACTGCTGATTGGCAAAGCCTTGAAGTTGGCTCTGTATTACACAGAAAGTATTAAGGATGGTTTTGTTGCCTTTGTGCAGCCCTCTGGACTTGACCCCTTCTGGAAGTTTGGGTTTGTTATTCTTGCAGGGGCAGAGAAATTTGCTCTCCTGAATGAATATTCTAGGGCTCCTTTGTGAACGTGCACAGAAACCTAGACTCTGTTTTGTGCTTTGAGAGACAGTGAGGTGAGCATTTCAACAGAAAGGTGAGCATTTTAACTTAGACCTGGAGATACAGATACATTCAAAAATTAAAATTATTTCTCTGGAACTACTAATAAGAAATAAGATTACTTCATTCATTATTGTGCAGAGACCTGTCTACTTACAGAATAATTTAATGATTTTCTTTCTGAGAATCACTTTTCTATTGATCCTTTACATAAACAAATATATGTATATGTTGCCTCAGGGAAAATCAGGTCAGAGAAATAAAGTGTCTTAATGGACTGATATTTGAAAAATAAACAAAAAATTATGTTAGAGTATAACAATTCCTTTTTATGGTTCATAAAATCCGTAAGTATTCTTAAAAGTATCTCTAGTTAATACCTTTAAAATTCCCAAGTTTACATTGTTAGCTTTGTTAGGTGAAAAACCATTAATAAGATTTAGAGAAATTTTTGCTTTTAAAAAAAATAAAATTGAATTTTCTCAGGGAATTAATAACTGGCTTGGCTTAGGGATTTTAGAACTTGTTCAGAGCAGCATTATAAGCAGAAACTGTGAAAGAAACTGGAGAACCAAAAAATTAATGCAATAAGAGGACTATTCTGTTTGATTTTACTTTTGGCCTTTTCTTCCTAATAGATGCATTGCTAACAATCAACTCTCAACTGAGATAAAACTCCTGCTCCAACTACTATAACTCATTCAGCATCTGCTTCTTGAGTACATACTGTGTGCTGGACACTGTGTATAAGTCACCAAGGACATGGCACTGAAGCCACCTGCAGCGACCAGTCTAATTTGAAGTTTGCAAATCCTTTTACAATACCCTCAGGGGGCAATCCTTGAAGGTGTTTCATCTTGAAAAAAGAAAAGAATACTTCTAAGTGAGAGAAAATGAGACAACACCAAACTGTTGCTGCAATTTTTTCTTTTAAAAAATGAAAAGACTGCAGAAACTGCCATGAGGATTCTGTCCTTCACCCAATGATATTTTTGAAGCCAGTATTATTAGCCATCAACATCATCATCTAAATAGCTTTCATAAAAGTTAATAGTTTAGAAATAATAGCTGACAGTTAAATGTCACCATGTGCATTATAGAAGCAGTGTGGACTTCTGGATCTTCTCTTTCTCAAGCTAGGTGAAATGTTCCTGGTGAAAGGAAAAGAAAAAAAGATACGCTTTCAGCAGGTACCTGTTTTCCCCTTAGGCAAAATGTCTCATAAATTGATATTTATTGAAGTATATATCCAGATTCTGGTGTCTCTATGAACTATAAAGGCCTAAGATTATTGCCTCAAAAAGAAAAAATTAGTTAATTCTGACCTTTTTAGCTGTGACTTCAATTTTATTTGATTACTGATTTCATGATGGAGGATTATATTGAAAATCATCCTAATATCAATTACATATTTCAATAATCAAAATTTATTTCTACTTTGGATCAGTTGCTAATTTGCTTGTCTTCTTGACATCCCTATTCAGTGGCCTTATAAGACTCTACCAGCAATACTGACAATAAATCAAGATCATATATTATCAATCTTTGTCCCTGTAACCCAGTCCTGACTGAGACAAAAAATTCTTAGCAGACTTGAGCTGAAACACCTTTCCTTTCTGTAACTTTTGCTTTCCTTCCCATATTGGTTGTCCATTGGATTTAGCCTCCTGCTTGTGACAGTAATTGAGTTTTAGCTTCTGTCACTCATTATTCAGAAGATTATCTATCTGATTAAGGTATTTCCAGTTTTCTCACCATTCCATATACTTCCCATCAAAACTGAGCCCTTGGTCAAACAGCAGAATATTGCTATATGCAAGAGGATACTTTAAAAATTAAGGGTATGGTGGCTCATGCCTGTAATCCCAGCACTTTGGGAGGCCTAGGTGGGTGGCTCACAAGGTCAGAATTTTGAGACAAGCCTGGCCAATATGGTGAAACCCCATCTCTACTAAAAATACAAAAATTAGCCAGGCATGGTGGTGGGTGCCTGTAGTCCCAGCTACTCGGGAGGCTGAAGCAGGAGAATCGCTTGAACTTGGGAGGCAGAGGTTGCAGTGAGCTGAGACCACGTTACTGCACTCCAGCCTAGGAGACAGAGCGAGACTGTCTCAAAAAAAAAAAAAAAAAAAGATATGAAAGCTTTGTAATCGCCACATCAATCAGTGTTCTGCAAGGTTACACAAGGAGGACAAATTCCATTGTTGACCACGAGGCTTTCCTATTGTATCCTAAGCCTTCCATGTTTTTGACTGTTTTTACTGCCTCATAGAATGAGCATATTGGTTTTCCAAGCAGGGCTGTAATTGATATTTACATAAAACTAGTAATATCTTGCATTATGTATTTGGAAAGACTAATTTACATGGGTCAAATAATGTTTTGACAAGAAAAACATGAATGATTTCAATAACTGGACCCCAAAGAAAAAAATTATAACAAGGAAAAAAGGAATCTGACATAATAGCTGGATTCTGAAAGTTGGAGGGGAAAAGAAATCAAAGCACCTGGACCAAGCCCCTCTGACAGTGTAATAATCTCAGGGAGAAAACATGCTGTCATTCTAAAGTGGGAGCTACATCTTCAGGGCCAAAACTTAAAGCTGGGAGTGAGTGTTTCCCTTTCTCCTTTTGAAGGGGACTACAGTTGCCACCCATGCTAATGATTAAGATCTTGTTCTTGTTCTTATCAATAACTGCTGTCTTATAATACACTATGAATCCTGGCTTTTATTTAAAGCTAATTCCTCCACGTGGACCATGCTTGAGAGCTCTGCCCTTAAAATGGCTATCCCTTTCTCTGCACAATCAACTTTTCTCTCCCAATGCAGCATACACAAATGCTGTAACGGCTCCACTTAAAAACAAAATAAAAAACCAAAACCAAAACCAAAACAAAAAAACACTTCTGTTTTTTGACAGTAGATTTGCCTTCAGCTGCCACCACATTTCTCTGTTCCTCTTTATGACAAAAAACTTCAAAGAGCAATGTTTCTGCCTATATCCATTTTCGTATTTAACATTCTCTATTCTACTACAGTCCTCATCATTCCATTAAAACTGCTCTTTCAAGTCACCAGTGACCTCTGTGTTATCAAACATTGTGGTCAATTTTCAGTCCTCATTTAATTTGGCTCTTCACTGTCACTTGACACTATTGATCTTTGCCTCCTTTTTGAAACAACTTTGCACTGATCCTGCAGGGCATCACCATCTTTTTTATTCTTACTTTAATTGCTGCTTCTTATCAGTCTCCTATTTTGATTTTTCTCCTATTCCCGGTCCTTAATGCTAGAGAACCATAGGGCTCAATTGTCTTTTTTTTTTTTATTATTATTATACTTTAAGTTTTAGGGTACATGTGCACATTGTGCAGGTTAGTTACATATGTATACATGTGCCATGCTGGTGTGTTGCACCCACTAACTCGTCATCTAGCATTAGGTATATCTCCCAATGCTATCCCTCCCCCCTCCCCCCACCCCACAACAGTCCCCAGTGTGTGATATTCCCCTTCCTGTGTCCATGTGATCTCATTGTTCAATTCCCACCTATGAGTGAGAATATGCGGTGTTTGGTTTTTTGTTCTTGCGATAGTTTACTGAGAATGATGATTTCCAATTTCATCCATGTCCCTACAAAGGACATGAACTCATCATTTTTTATGGCTGCATAGTATTCCATGGTGTATATGTGCCACATTTTCTTAATCCAGTCTATCATTGTTGGACATTTGGGTTGGTTCCAAGTCTTTGCTATCGTGAATAATGCCGCAATAAACATACGTGTGCATGTGTCTTTATAGCAGCATGATTTATAGTCCTTTGGGTATATACCCAGTAATGGGATGGCTGGGTCAAATGGTATTTCCAGTTCTAGATCCCTGAGGAATTGCCACACTGACTTCCACAATGGTTGAACTAGTTTACAGTCCCACCAACAGTGTAAAAGTGTTCCTATTTCTCCACATCCTCTCCAGCACCTGTTGTTTCCTGACTTTTTAATGATTGCCATTCTAACTGGTGTGAGATGGTATCTCATTGTGGTTTTGATTTGCATTTCTCTGATGGCCAGTGATGGTGAGCATTTTTTCATGTGTTTTTTGGCTGCATAAATGTCTTCTTTTGAGAAGTGTCTGTTCATGTCCTTCGCCCACTTTTTGATGCAGTTGTTTTGTTTTTTTCTTGTAAATTTGTTTGAGTTCATTGTAGTTTCTGGATATTAGCCCTTTGTCAGATGAGTAGGTTGCGAAAATTTTCTCCCATTTTGTAGGTTGCCTGTTCACTCTGATGGTAGTTTCTTTTGCTGTGCAGAAGCTCTTTAGTTTAATTAGATCCCATTTGTCAATTTTGGCTTTTGTTGCCATTGCTTTTGGTGTTTTAGACATGAAGTCCTTGCCTGTGCCTATGTCCTGAATGGTAATGCCTAGGTTTTCTTCTAGGGTTTTTATGGTGTTAGGTCTAATGTTTAAGTCTTTAATCCATCTTGAATTGATTTTTGTGTAAGGTGTAAGGAAGGGATCCAGTTTCAGCTTTCTACATATGGCTAGCCAGTTTTCCCAGCACCATTTATTAAATAGGGAATCCTTTCCCCATTGCTTGTTTTTCTCAGGTTTGTCAAAGATCAGATAGTTGTAGATATGCGGTGTTATTTCTGAGGGCTCTGTTCTGTTCCATTGATCTATATCTCTGTTTTGGTACCAGTACCATGCTGTTTTGGTTACTGTAGCCTTGTAGTATAGTTTGAAGTCAGGTAGTGTGATGCCTCCAGCTTTGTTCTTTTGGCTTAGGATTGACTTGGCAATGCGGGCTCCTTTTTGATTCCATATGAACTTGAAAGTAGTTTTTTCCAATTCTGTGAAGAAAGGCATTGGTAGCTTGATGGGGATGGCATTGAATCTGTAAATTACCTTGGGCAGTATGGCCATTTTCACAATATTGATTCTTCCTACCCATGAGCATGGAATGTTCTTCCATATGTTTGTATCCTCTTTTATTTCGTTGAGCAGTGGTTTGTAGTTCTCCTTGAAGAGGTCCTTCACATCCCTTGTAAGTTGGATTCCTAGGTATTTTATTCTCTTTGAAGCAATTGTGAATGGGAGTTCACTCATGATTTGGCTCTCTGTTTGTCTGTTGTTGGTGTATAAAGAATGCTTGTGATTTTTGTACATTGATTTTGTATCCTGAGACTTTGCTGAAGTTGCTTATCAGCTTAAGGAGATTTTTGGCTGAGACGATGGGGTTTTCTAGATATACAATCATGTCGTCTGCAAACAGGGACAATTTGACTTCCTCTTTTCCTAATTGAATACCCTTTATTTCCTTCTCCTGACTAATTGCCCTTGCCAGAACTTCCAACACTATGTTGAATAGGAGTGGTGAGAGAGGGCATCCCTGTCTTGTGCCAGTTTTCAAAGGGAATGCTTCCAGTTTTTGCCCATTCAGTATGATATTGGCTTTGGGTTTGTCATAGATAGCTCTTATTATTTTCAGATACGTCCCATCAATACCTAATTTATCGAGAGTTTTTAGCATGAAGGGTTGTTGAATTTTGTCAAAGGCTTTTTCTGCATCTATTGAGATAATCATGTGGTTTTTGTCTTTGGCTCTGTTTATATGCTGGATTACATTTATTGATTTGCATATATTGAACCAGCCTTGCATCCCAGGGATGAAGCCCACTTGATCATGGTGGATAAGCTTTTTGATGTGATTGTCTTTTATTTTCTAGGCTTACTCCCAGGGTGATCTCATTCTTTCGCAATGGTTTTGTCAGAGACATTCGAACGAGAGTGACTCCATCTTGGATAGAGGTTGGGTAAAATAAGGCTGAGACCTACTGGGCTGCATCCCCAGGAAGTTAGGCATTCTTAGTCACAGGATGAGATAGGTCAGGAGGATTGGTATCACAAGATACAGGTTGTAAAGCCCCTGCTGATAAAACAGGATGTGGTAAAGAAGCCGGCCAAAATCCACCAAAACCAAGATGGTGACGAAAGTGATGTCTGGTCATCCTCACTGCTCATTCTATGCTAATTATAAATCATTAGCATGCTAAAAGACATTCCTACCAGTGCCATGACAGTTTACAGATTTAATGACAACTTCTGGAAGTTATCCTATATAGTCTAAAAAGGGGAGAAACCCTCAGCTCTTGGAATTGCCTGTCTCTTTCCCAGAAAACTCATGAATCATCCACATTTTGTTTTGCATATGATCAAGAAATAACCATAAAAATAGTCAGCAGCCTGAGGGTCTGCTCTGCCTATGGAGTAGCCACCCTTTCATTCCTTTACTTTCTTAATAAACTTGCTTTCACTTTACTCTTTGGGCTCACCCTGAATTCTTTCTTGAATGAAATCCAAGAGCCTTCTCTTAGGATCTGGATTGGGACCCCTTTCTAAAGGTGACAGTTTTAGTTATCAGTTTCATGCTTCACCTCCAAATTTCTATCTCTAGCCCTAGCCTTCTTTACTGAAATATTTTTGAACATCTGTTTATTTAATACCTACATATGAATGTCTAGTGGATACCTTAAAGTTAACATGTGCAAACTGTACTCTGGATTTCTTTTCTCTTTCCTAAACTTGCTTTTTCTCAGAGTGCTCCATGTCATTAAATAGAATCACTACACATGGGCCAAAGTTCTGTTACAAAGACAAGTAGGGGCAGAGGGATGTAATGTGGTTGCATCCTCTAGTTTATTTATCCTCGTTCTATGAGGCATCAGCTTCTTAATTACCCTCCAGCCATATGCTATGCTCCTAACTAATGGCTACATCTGTGGGAGAAAACAAACACTTTTCAGCAATGTGATAAACCCTAAATCCTTCTTTTTTATATGCAATCAATAGTACATCATGGAACTAATTCCCATCGATCACTACTTTGTTCTTGCCTAGTTTGTGTTCTGCTTAAAACATGTGACCAGGTGATAAGTTGCAGCCCAGATAATTAAGAGACAAGTAATTTAAATACTGAAGTATACCCAGGAATTATAAATGGCTCCAGAGGAATGTTATGAGCAGTTTTATTTATTTATTTATTTTTTGTTTCTCTCTTTTAATGTTTCCTTTTTGTTTTCTCCCACCTTTGTCCCTGCCTTTATTGAAGTTTTGTTTTCCTATTTGAACTTTTCAATTTAATACAGATTTCTGAGTCAGAACCAGGGGAGTCTTAGTTCTTCTCAGTCCTAGAAGTTATTCTCAAAACAAATCAATTTGCCATTGTATTTAATAAGGTATGTATTTATTTATCAACCACCTTGTTACTTAAAGGATTTGAGAGCTGCCAATCTAAAAGTTCGTGAAGACGATATTGATCACGAGGGCTTTTTTTTGTGTATATTTTTTGTTTCTTTTGTCTACTTGCTCTGCCACTAGCTTTTAGCATGCTAAGTAGCTTTTTGGTCTCTTCATCTGCCATATCAAAGTAATGACAGATTTTTCTAGAGCAATAAACAGAAGATTAAATGTTTGAAAAAACGTGGAAAGTATATAACATTCTAGATATACAGATTTTAATCTTTTGATGAGACAGGGAAATAATACCTCAGAAAAATACTTGTTTATTTCATTTTTATTTTTACTCTGAGGAATTGTAGAAGTAATCATACTTCATATGTAAGCAAAAATGAAAATCCTAACATATTTATGGATATTAAAGCTTAGCTAATTTTTCTTTTATTTTGCTGTGTTAAACAACATGTTAAATTTCATTTCACAAACTTGATATGGCAAATATCTTGTAGAATGAAGAGATTGCAAAATGTAGAAAAATCAGATTTTTTTTTCTTCAAAGAGCTTAAGCCAGAGTACAAGATTTCACAAAAGCAACTGTAAGATTACATTTCTACAAAAAACTTTGCTCAAGCTTAAATATTTCTCCATGTATTATCAAAGATATACAAATTTCCTATGAGATATTTTATACTGTAATTTTAAAATCATTTGAAAAGATTAGTAGAGTCCTACTTGAGAACATCCAGCTGACTTTCCTGTAACCAAGAACTGCTGCAGACCTACAAACATGTCTGTATTTGAGTTTTTGATCAAGCTGGTACCTAAAGTGACAGTTTTTCTTTGACTGTATTGATAAGATTGCCTTGTTGCTGTTAACTTCCTAATGTCAAAGTGATCAAAATGGGCCAAATTCTGTTGAATACTCAAAATCAAAACTTTACTTCTAAAGTGATAGTTCACAATAGAAAGATACATCATAAATTGACTTTAGCTTTTAAATATATTTTAAAATGTCACTTTAATTTGATACCACAAAAATGACAGTGTGGCAAAACAATGTATTTTTTTAAAATGTTATAGGCTAATAATACATCAAAATCAATCATACTGAGGCTAATGATGGATTTGAACAAAATGTTGGATACGGATGATGTCACGGTGCACTGTATATATGAACTTTCACTGTTACTACAGTAAAAAAAAGAACCATTTTTCACCAACCATTTTCTAAGCACTTCATATGAATTTATGTAATCTTTTGGTAGGCAGAATCATAGCCCCTCAAAGATATCCACATCCCAATTCCCAGAATGTGTAAATATGTTACATATATGGCAAAAGAGACTTTGCAGATGTAATTAAAGTCATGGGCCTTAAATATAGAGGTTACTTTGGATTATCTGGAGGGGCCCAATCTTGTCACATGAGCCCTTAGAAGCAAAGGACTTTCTCTGTCTGAGATCAGATAGATGTAGTAGCAGAAGTGAGAGCAATTTAAAATGTGAGGGGGACTCACCCTGCCGTTGCTGGAGAGTAACACACGGAAAATTTCAGAAGAAATGAGAGCAGCCTGCAGGATCAAAGATTGACCTCTGGCTGACAGTCACGAAGGAAATGGAAAAGTCAGTCCTATAATGGCAAACAAATGAACCTGGCTAACAACCTAAATGGGCTGAGAAGTGGATTTATCCCAGGAATCTGCAGAAAGGAGCACAGCTTTGATGACACCTGGATTTTCCCCATGTGAGACTCTATGCAGATGACTCAGCTGATCCATGCTCTGAAATTCCTACCCAGAATACTCTGAAATATGATAAATAGGTGTTGTTTTAAGAAACTAAATTTGTGGTAATTGGTAAACTTACTAATAAATGTTAGTAATTTTTTTTCTTAAGAAGTAAGTGCTGAAATCTGGTTAAACTTCCTGGATTTCTAGAAATCAACATAAAATATATGAAAATTGTCTGTCTAGTTTAAAAATGATCTCTGAGAATTGTGTGGAAATATGGGTACCACAAAAATAAATCTGGCCACACAATGAACAAAACTTAGCACAGGCTTCTTACAAAGTGTCCTTACAAAATTCAAAATGATATAAATTATGCACCACTGGAGACTACAGAAATGATGGTCATTAAAATACTGCAATAAAGTAAATTAAATGAATTTATTAATAAATCAATGTTAATACAAAACATTGTAAAATGTTATAAATATTAATATTAAATGAATAATAAATATCAATTTAGAAAATCATTAATAAATTAGTGAAAATGTGAAGTATTATTTTCTCACAAATATATCTTTCAATTCAAAAAGTACAGGCAGGTCAAATAATGCTAGTTATATTTTATTTAAAATGCAAACATGAACACACTTTGAAGAGACTTTTTTATCACTTTATCTATTGGTCAACATTGTTGTAACAATGTTAGTCACATTTTAAAATGTAAAGTGATTTTTAATTTTTCGTGATGCTACATGTTCAACATGACTAGAATAAGAAAGATGTTATATATGCTGTATCTGAAATATATACCGGACTTGTTATGAATAAAAAGGTTATTGTGTCAAATGGCATCATTGCAGCATATGTTGAGTAGCCTTGGAAGTCAGATATACATTGGAATATTACTAATATTAGGTAAACATTTTACAATCAATTTTGAAATGCCTCATCCACTCAATTCTTGCAAATTTTCTGTACTTGTAAATCAAAGGACAGTGATTATTAGCATTTTTTTCTGCATTCTGAAAAGTTTTGGTTAATTCATAGAAAGATTCATAAATATTTTAAAAATTACGTGGTAAAATAGAAGTATTTTTCAGTAATACTTATAATACATTTCAACTATGTTAGCAAGTTTCAACTATGTTAGCAAGTTTTCAGCTAACTTTAAATTTTAGTATTTATAAAATGTTTAGCTGATGAAATAGTAGTATTTTTCAATAACTTTTGCCGTATATTTTAATTATGTTAACAAATTTTGCTAACTTTTTAAAAATTGTTGGCTTTGATAGTAAATTAAAGAGAAAAAAGGGAGCCTTGTTTACCTCTAGATATTCATAAGTTCGGCTGTTATGATTGAATTAAAATAGCATGAAGCCTTATAAATGATCTCACTATTAATTTTTATACATAGCCTAATGTTGAAATCATATAGATCAAAAGGAAAACACAATACATCTCACATTGCAAAAATTATTCTCCAAAAGTGGAGGACAAAAGACATACATGTTGCACACATATGCATATGTTTTATAGACCCTCCCTGCATCTTCCAAACAATACCTTAATAGTCCTACACATTTTAAGCTTAGTAGTCACTGGAAGATACAATTCTTGGGTATATAATTTAATTTTTTGTCACTTTGGTCTAGAATTTATAATTGTTTCTGTATGTGCTGAAAATAAAAGTGAGCTGTCTTTTGACTATATATTCAGCTGATACAATGTAACATAGACTTGTCTAGAAATCTATGAGTATCATAGGCTTTGCAAACTCCACTTGTTGTAAGATGCCAATCAGCTCATGGCAATATTAGTCCAATTGTTCCAAATAGGGTTGTGCTGTTCCAAGTTTGTTTTTAAAGCATTATCGTATTCTAGGCATTCTAACCTCTTTTAAGACCACTTTAAAATTCAAGCCAAATGAAATGTTTCTTTGCATTATGTTGCTTTTCTGTAAAGAACTTGACTTCTTTTAGACCTTGACTTCTCTCTCTCCTAGGCCTTTAACTCTTAGTCCTTCAAGAAAAGACAAGGTGATAACATCAGACTCTTTTTTCTGGAAGTAAAACATGGTGTTAATCATCTGTCACCACAAGCATTTATGTCAAACTTCCTGCAATATGGGTTGTTAGTTGATGGAAGTGGTGATAAAGAGAGGGTGTAGACATCTTCCTTATATGTCTTTGAAAATCAAGTGGTCCTCATTGTCTGGAATTGGACATCCAGAGAGCAGACTATTCAAATATAATTTAGACTTTTTCTGCTTTTTTTTTCTCTAACGTATCCTACGTGTCTTGCTTAATTCTCTTCAATAAATTGTCAGTGTATAAAGAAACAATCCTGAATGAAATAGAATGGTTTTATAAATAAAGTTCTGGAGGAAGGCCCAAGTTAAGCTCGTGATTATAAAGAAAGGAAAGAAGGTCTTATTGAAATTGAATCATTCCAATGTGTTGGAACTTTTATGATTTTTGCAACATGATTTTCATTTTAAAGTACTCAAAATTTGTTTTAGAAATAAAAATGTGTGTTATATTTAGTAATAAATGTTGTTGATTTCTGTAAAATTTATACCCAAAATAATCAATCTGTTCAGTTAACTCCTTTATGTTTCACTTGAGTCATTCAAATTACATTAGTGAAAATTAAATTACTCTAAAATGCAAATTTATTCAGGCAATTAAAGAGTGTATTTTATTGTCCTTCATATTAAATGATGATATATTGAATGATGAATAGGGAATTTTTTTCTGTTGAAAAATTACATTTTTTTTCTACAATAACAATTTTTAAATGTTCCTGCCTGGCTTAAAGTGTCACAAATTCTCTTTCCACTTTTAAAGTGATAGCCATTTTAATGTTCACCATAATCTGTTGTCAAAAAGACTCTGAAGTACTAAATAGCTCCTCAGGAAGCCCCCCTTTTCCATACAGATGTTTAAGTCTTGTTTATGTGAGGTAATGAGCTAATTCTCAAAATGTGAACAGTACTGAATTAGTTATTCTTTTTAAAAACTACACTAACAAAAGCTAGAATTTAAAAAATAATTTTAACAGTTTTATTGAGATTCACAAAGCATACAATTCAACCATTTAAATTTTAAAATTTAATGTTTTTGGTATATATATTCATACATTTTTACAATCATCACTGCAATCTAATTTGAGAACATTTTTGTTTCCCCAAAAAGAATCCCTATATTCATTAGCAGCCATTCCCTATTCTCTCACCCCAGTTCTACCCAAGTCCTACGTGACTACTAATCTACTTTCAGTCATCATAGATTTGCCTATTCTAGACATTTTATCTAAATGAAATCCCACAATATGTGGTCTTTTGTGACTGGTTTCTTTCATTTAGCAGAATGTTTTCATGTTCATCTATCTTGTAGCATGTATCAGTATTTCAATTATTTTTACTATCAAATGATAATTTGCTATATGGCTAATCCAAATTATATTTATCCATTCATCAGTTAACTGACTTTTGAGTTGTTTCCACTTTTTAGCTATTAAGAATAGTGCTGCTATGAACCTTAAAGTACATATTCTTTTGTAGACATATATTCGTATTTATATTGCATATATACCTAGCAGTGAAATTGCTGGGTCATACAGTAACTCCATGTTTAGCATTCTGGGAAACTGCTAAACTACTTTACAAAGCAACTGCACAGTTTTACATTCCTACCAGCTGCATATGAGGGTTGAAATTTCTCCACATGCTTGTTGGCACTTATTATTGTCTTTTTTATTATAGCCATCTTATAGACACGAAGTGGTATCTCATTGTGCTTTTGATGTTCATTTTCCTAATAACCAATAATGTTGAGTTTTTTCATGTGCTTATCAACCTTTTGTATACTTTCTTTGGAGGAAGGTTAGTTCAAATCCTTTGCTCATTTTTAATCTGGTTATCTTTTAATAACTGCAGGGTAAAAGGTCTTTATATATTCTAGATATAAGCTCCATATCAGGTATATGATTTACAAATACTTTCTCCCATTCTATGGGCTGACCTTTCACTTTCTTGATGGTATCATCTGCAGCACAAAAGATTTTAATTTGATAACATCCCATTTATCTGTTTTCTCTTTTGTCATTTATGCATTTTTTGTCATATTATAGAATTGATTGCCTAACCCAATGTCATGGAGATTTATTCCTATATTTTCTTTCAGGAGTTTTATGGAAAACTAGAATTCTTTATCCTTTGAGAGAAAAAGAGTAAAATAGTTGGAAATAACAATAATTTATTCCCTTCTCTTTGCCATTTACAAATTTTTGATGACTTTTGGTCATCTTGAGATGTGCTAGCAATTACAGAGATTCTATAATCTCTTAAGGCAGACATTGCACGTTCACTTATTGTTTGTAGTGTCTCTGGTCTAAATTGTGACCTCCACAGGGTTCAGAAATATTGAGCAAGCTATGGAATAGACCCATGTAAGCCTGTGTGAATGAGGACTTCAGGAAGAAAAATCATTCCAGGGGAAGAAGGAGTCAGATGTGAAGAGGTTGACAAAGGCTTAGTCACTGAAGGGAAGGGTCAGTCTGTATCCAGTGTGGTGTCTTTGTCCCAGCTCATATCCTCTAATGATATGAGGACAGCTGTCCAAAGAAGTAAAAATGGGAACACCCATAATTAACAAAACAGGGGGAGAGTTTTTCCTCTTCTTGAACTAAACATTGTAGAGATTTGGCAACTGCAGGGCTCCGGTGCTTCCATTTGGGGTTGAGGAGAGTCTGTAGAGACTGTTAGGAGAGAATATTCCCTGCATACTCTTTAGCGTACAGTGGTACCTGGAGGAAATTGTTGTACTTGCAGGGTGTAGACAAATCCTATAGAAGTAAAAGAGATGGTGCTCAGCATTAGGATGCCAGAGCTGAAGAGGAAAGAAACAGGAACCTCAACGTGGTGACTAACCTCATGGCATTTGGAATTGTGGAAATTCATGTGAGGCACTCCCAGTAACACATGAGAAGGAAAAGCCAGGGGCTTTCATTAGCAGGTTTGAGCAAACTATGGAATAGACCCATGTAAGCCTGTTTGAATGAGGAACCAAGAGGACTCCAGGAAGGAATATCATTCGAAGGGAAGGAGTCAGATGTGAAAGGGTTGACAAAGCCTTGGTCACTAAAGGGATGTGCAAGTGTGAGTCCAGTGTGGTGTTCATGTGCCAGTTCATGTCTTCTAATGATATGAGTGTTTATGACTACTCTTGATGTGTCCCTTGTAATAGTTTCTCAATAACTGCAGATTGAATAAGTGAGGTAAAGGCAATCTGAAAATACTCAATAGATGTGGAAGAAAAAATTGAAAATTGACAAAACATCAACCACAGCCTTTATTTGATACAATTCTCCACTGGTGTACCTAATCTGTCTTTGGGATTTGAGCATTTGAAAGATAGAATTTAAAAGGTGCATTTTTCAATCATCTGATGGTGGAAAAAAGTATCCCATCCTGTAGAAAATAAACATTAATTTTGCCATAGTAGAATCAAAGGATATTAAAAACTAATATGAATGTTTTGGAAAATTTCTTGTTTATCCATTTTATACCTATATGATGTTCTAAAAACCAGGAATATATTTTACTTCTTAATCAGGATAAGTTTCTGATTAACAAGTTTTGAAAATAAGATTTTACTTTGTAATTCCTTGGCTTTGAGACAAAATTTAATGAATTTTAATGTTTTAAAAAATCCTAAAAGATGAATAGGCTGTCAATAATGAAGAAAAATGATCCATTATCAAAAATATAAACACTGCATGTCTTTGCAGCTGCCATACCAGCTTTTTCAGCCCTATAGGAATAATCCCTGATGAAATAAATTAATTGATGTGCATTTTTTTAAAGCCTAATTATTTTCAAATGTTCAGGAAAGCTCATATTGAAGAAATATTTGTTTGATTATGTCACTGCTTGCTTAAGTCCCCTTGATAACTCCCCAATACCACCTGTTTCAGGGTGGGTTCCCCAGTAAGGGGTCCTCAGCAAGCAGACTTGGAAACTGATGTTACTGTGCAAGAATTTTGTTGGGAAGTAGGAGGGGGGGAAGAAAATAATGGCAGAACAGAGCAGAGAGAGAAGTAAAACTGAGAAGCTTTCTTATGGGGATTCAGTTGACCCTAAGGTGAGTTCTGAGGTTGAGATAACCCTTCTGAGTTGTCCTGAGTTGGGGATAAGGAATCAGACCTTATCCACCCATTCCAATCAGTCATTGAACATGGACTACCATGGGAAGGAGGAGGCATGGCCTTAGACGTGATAGCTCTCTCCAGCAGAGGCAAACTTCTTAGGTGGCTCACAGTTGAAGGCTGAAGGCTACTGACTTTCTGCTGGCAGCACTCCTGGAGACTGGGGATGTAGGTCATTTATCTTTGAAGGGGGATTGGGTATTATGGCATCTACACACTACACAACAGGATGAAGTCTTGACTCAATATAGCTTGTAATCCAAGCACAGATGCAACCTACCTTTCTAGATGTATCCTCTGCTATTATCCTGCCTATACCCTCAGTACCAGTCATCTGCCCTGCTCTTGTATGTCTCTGTGCTGTTGAAAACAATAACCCAAGCACATTCACTTCCCAACCTTTAAGATGTACCCCATATACTCCCTTTCTCAGAAGTAGTGCTTTCCCTGTGGCTATGCTATAGGATTTATCTCTCATTACTATTAGCTATTTCCTTATGAACTCTTCAAAAAAGGCATCTGTGTTTCATTCATGTTGTATACCAAATAATATAGAATCAGACAGAGAGCAAGGGTCTTATAAACATTGAGTGACCAAATGAATAATGAAAGAGCAATAATTCATAAAAACAAAGAGGAGACAGATGTCATTTATTCTTTTCATGGAAACTGATTATCTTATTTAAAACATGCCCAATTTATTAAGTGCAGAAATCTAATAGACCAAATTCATCCCAGTCCTGGTATGTGTCAGAAAGTGCTTGGATTGTGGAAAACTACAAATAAATGAGAGTTAGGTTCCCAGCCTTTAAGGTCCTGGTAATCTATTTGAAGAGACAGGAAGCAAAAAATATAAAAAATAAGTGGTACAATATAAAATAGCATTTATTACAAGAGTGCATCAGAAATCATGGACAGCCCACCTGTTATAAGTGGAGTGTGTTACAGAGAAGTATGAGTTTTTGGTCCAGAATTCAGGTTCCACCTTCCCAGAGAACACTATCTGATCTGATTTATCAAATTTAAAATAATCTGTAGTACTAACAGTGACATAAAAGCTAATAGTATTTATTGTGACACTTTATTCATATGTAAAATTGAATTAATTAACACGTTCATATACTCAGTAAATATTTTGATGAGCATCCACTACATGCCAGGCACTGGGGCATAGCTGTGAACCACAGAGATAAGCCCCGTCTCCTCATGGAACAAGTCTTTTGGAAACACAAGACATTGACTGCAATAAATGGAGGTAAGTGTTATAAAGAGGAAATACAATGTGCTATATATGATGTGCTATGGGAGTTTTCTCAAGCTGGAGCTTTTTATATAAGGTAGGATTAGGCTGAGGTTTTAAGGGACTGATGTAGACTGAAGCTTGGAGGGAAGAAGGGAGATGGATGGGTTCCAAGTAGAAGGAAGACATGAGAGAAAATATGCATATAGATTGCATTCTCCCTGTAGCTGGAATGTTGAGAATAAAATGAAAGAAAGCTAAGGGCTGGGAAGATAGGTGCAGGGCCGATCATGGCAAGATTTACAATGAGATTGGTCTTTATCATAAACACCATGAAGAATTAACAGTGGTCAGAGATACTCTGAGATTTGTATTTGTGAAAGATCCTTCTGGAAGCAGTGTAGAGGAGGGGTTGTAGGGGCCAGGGGTGACAGCAAGGAGACCAGGTGGCTAATACTGCCAGGGAAAGTGGACAGTGTGGCCTGAGGTATGGGCAGTAGAAATGGAGAGAAGTGAATGGAAACAAGCGGGTAGAATGAATGATGACTGGAAATTGATAAACTATGGAAGATGAGGGAGGGGGAGGAGCAGGGGACTTCCAGACTCAAATGCCGATAGTATACCTCTCTCCCCACCTGATCCAGACACAGTGAAGGGGGCTTGGTTTTGCTGCCTTTTGAGTACAGGCAACAGTGGAGGAAAAGAGCCCCTGTCAAGGCAGGCCCAGCAGAGGCAGGGATGGAAAGTAGCAGCCCTAAGCAAAGCAAGGTGAAGGAGACCAGCTCTGGGGGCGGGGCCCAAGCCCCGTAGGGAGCAAAGACACTGATGGGAGTAGCGTGTATACACGCACACACACACACGCAGCTCCTGACATCTGAAACTGTTCTAATATTCATAGGTCATCCTCAGTGTTATTATTAACTGGCCTGACATTCAGAGCCAGGCCATTTTGTTTTCCTTGTACATAAACAATTTCTAACCTCAGACAAGTTTACACTGAGACAATGATAAAATGGAACAGAGCAAAGCCGCTTTACTCTTCTGCCGGAACACAGACAAAAACATAGTTATTGTTCCACTCACAAAATACTCAAACATAGAATTGCCCTTCTTTTCTAAGAACATACAATCTAGAAATTCTACTAGATTGTATGAAATCTAGTCGATTTCATACAATCTAGAAATAAGAAATTCTACTTTCTTAGGCCCTTTCCCAAATCACCCAGCCCAAGCTCAAATCCTGTGAAACCGTCTTTCTAATACCTTCTCTCTGAGACACCCCACAGGTTCCCGTGTTGTGTGTTCTCCCTCACTGCAAAAAATAATAAACCCAACTTGTTCTACTACATGTGTGTTCCTGGTGGTTTTTGGCTGAGGGGATTGATAGTAAGTTAGGAATTTATAAATTAGCAACTACCTGCCTATACATGATGCACTGTCATTTTAGTATTATCAAAAGGCACACCATGGTGTGCAATAAATATCTGTTAGATAAACAAGCAAATA
The DNA here is from genome assembly GCF_000001405.40 of Homo sapiens. NCBI lineage: Eukaryota > Metazoa > Chordata > Mammalia > Primates > Hominidae > Homo > Homo sapiens. The sequence continues at coordinate 94,145,938 of NC_000007.14, read as the reverse complement.
TTTACAGGAATGAAGAAATTTGCATTGCAGTAATTCTCCCATTTAGAATTCTTTCTGACCAGTTTCTGGTCTCAAGTTCTGATCTAATCCTGCACTGAAAAGGAAAACAGGGGAAAATAATAAAACAAACACAAAAGAACAAATCCCAGAGGATTTATGAGTAATGCTGCTTCAGTCACGACAGCCTAATTTTTTTTTTTACTTTGATTTTGCTTAGGGAACTTTTAGCATTGCTCATCTTTAATTACCTTAATTTCACGCTTAACCCAGGCACAGAAGATATGTCTGTAATTTCAGATGAGAGAAAATGAAATTCCCCTCAGCAAAGTCAAATTTTAAAATTCAGAAGGAAGAACAATGTGCCGGATAACACACACAAAAATCAACTTTTTATTAATACATTACAAGGTAATTTTGTGGTAATATATTATTAAAGAGCCCAAATTTTGTTTTGAAAACAAAATAAAGCAAAACAAAATCCAACAGAGAGAAAGAGAAAGAGAGAGAGGGAGTGAAATAAAGAGTTAAACCAACATCTATTTATCTCTGGGAAGTGAGAGAATCATAAGATGTTAATATTTTTCTTTAAGTTCTTATATTAATATTTCCCAAATGTTCAAAAAATTCAAGAATTATTCTATAATTAAAAATAAAACAAAAGTGATTCAAACCAATAAATGAAGTTACGTGGAATAAGAAATGTAGTAACTATCTAAGGCTTGATAAAGATTAAGGAAAAAGGAGGGGCTTTGAACTTACATATATGGTTGTTTATATTCATGTTAACCAACCCCTTCTTTTTCCCTTTCTGTAGTTTACTTAATGTTGATTAAACCAATGCTCAAACGCCAAGAAATAATCTCCTGAAACCTTTGATAGATTTCAGTTTGCCAAACTAATTACCTGAGTTTGAGAAAGAAAGTAATGAGAAAATGGAAATATGAGAAAAGTTACTAAACCTTGTGCATTATGGATGATGATATTTAGCAGTTTCTATGAGAGGCAAATACTGAGATCATATTTTGCATTTTTAATATACTTCCTATATTTGTTGAAAAAAACTTAGTGTAAACAGATATATCTCCCTAATGAGGATGCTACAACCGATACTCCTCTTTATTTTGAAAAATACCAAATTTTTTGAAGAACACAGAAAATGTAACAGAAGGCAGAGACATTTTTTAAAAAAATCATAGCTGAGTTTCTTTTTCATTACTGAAATGTGAGTGTTATTAAGAGCACGATACTGATGAATAATATAACAAAAGAATGACCACTCCTTATTTAATGGAAGATATCAGTGTAAGCCTGCAGGCTTTGTGTTTCCAAAGTGAAGATAATGTTAGCCATAACCCAGTTCATTTTGGGAGATTCTACATCCAGACAGTGACATCCTAAATTTGGGAGGTGTCTGCATTCAACTCTTGTGCTTTTCTGTATACTTTGCCAGTGATCTTTAACCTTGTTTTCTTTTTTAGCTACACAAAAACAATTATACCTCAAATTCTTAAAAGTTCTTTTTATTTTCTTTAAATATTTATGTGGCATTCAGCACTTTTTGTAAAGCTTTGAGACTACATCAAACCAAAAATAGGGATGTAAGCTGAAAAGTCTGGAAACTACTGTTCAAGGGGAGCCATCTAGAAGATAAATGTCATTTTATAAATTGGAAAAGCAGCAAGACTAACTTATTGTTGCAGACCAAAGTGATTTTGGTTTCAGACCACAGAGGAAAATCTTAAGAGTGAAAGGGATTATAGAGGCACAGATGAGGAAATAATCCATATTCAAACGAAAGCTTCTAACTTGTGCATAACTAATATTTTTTGAAGAGGTAGCAAGAGGTTTGGGATTTTTTTTTAACTTTCTGTCATTTCTATGTTCTCTACAACCATCTGCCATGGAGTGGTGGTTAATTCTACTTGACATGGCCATCACAACCCTATCAGAATCATAAAATGATACATATTGGAATAAAGAATTAATAAACAATCCAGTGTCAAGACAAATAAAGTTAAAGATGTTGGAAAATCTCCAATCTGATACAAACAATCAAAATATAGAACTTCACTCTATAACCAAGAAAGGTAATGTCCTTGTCACAATGGCATATTCCTGCAGGACTCGAGTAAAGACTGGGTATGTGAAACCATTGGGCCCCCCTCACCAGTAGCTATTTACATTGACTAAAGTACATTGAAGCTGAGGAATCTTCTGCTGAAGGAAAATGGTGGGGTTGATGGGAGTAGGGAGGGGAGACCCTGTCTGTAGAGGAATCTACCCCAAGAAAAGAAAAAGTCTGGTGTAGGAAGCTAGACCCAAGAAGCAGTATCTCAGGTTCTAAGGGGAGTATTGTGACAGGTTCTGTGGGGTTACTGGCATTTGAATAGACCACATCCAGGTTCTGGAGGAGAGGCAGAGTTTGTGTAAAATCATCAGAGTGAAATCTCTCAACCCAGGGTATGAAATCCCATAATCTAGGGGACTAATAGGATATAAAGAAGTTTGTCTGTCTTGTGGGAACTAACACTAGTCTATTGTTTATTTGAGACATAATGGTAAATATTTCTCAATTCCAGAATGTTGGAAGATTCTGGAAACTTCAAACAGGCCTTGATTTCTTTTGCCAGTTTTGACATTTTTATATTTTATACAACCTTACTTTGGTGAATCAGGCATTAACAAAGCTTCAGAGTTGTAATATTAATACCAAATATTCTATGCACTGTAATATAATGCTCAGTACAAAATAGTTGTGCATAAAAATATTTGTCTTCCAACAAAAAGAAAATCTTCTGAGTTGTTTAAACGTTAAACAGAGTTAGATGACTCAGTAGAGAAATTTATTTTGAAAAGTGAACAAAAAACTTTGCTGTAGAGATACAAATAATAGGTTGTTAAAATGTCGAGGAATGCTATAGGGTTTCTAGATAAATCTATGATATGTGTACAAATGAGAAAATGTCTAAAATCACATTTCTCAAAGGTAGATGGAATGCTTAGAACCCGACCATCCAATACCTGAAACTTTGTAAGTGCAGGTACATTTAATAAGGGTTCTCCTTTTGATCAATAAGTGTAGTTGCCTAGATCTGGGTCTCTAGGTCAGACACAGGCTGGATTAGACATGATCTAGCAAAGAAAAAGTTACCACCTTTTGACCAAATTCATTTCCTGCTCCATGGGACTGTCATTCTCATTTTAATCAAATATGCTGATCTCTTTTTGCACACTGCTTCCTCTAATGTCTTTTCATCATATTATTAGCAAGTACAATGTCAGCATACTACCTTTATTTGTGTATCTTTGTGAAATGGCATCACTTTTAGGTGGTGAGTGGCATCTCACCACCCTTTTCCCGCCTGCTAATTCTGCCACTTCTTGGAACTGGCCACGTGATGATAGAGCACAAAATACAGAACATTAAGCCTCCAAGAGGAATGGGGATGAGCTACAAAAGTGATAAGCTAAAAATAGGTCTGGGTACACTTTGATGAGGGGAGCTATATAAAGCATGGGCTAGATTGAGCATAGTACAGTCTATAAAGCAGAGATTTTTGAGGGACTTACTTATAGTTCCTGGCACATAGTAGGTGCTCAATAAATATTTGTGGAAGGGATAAAAACATTAGTAACAAGAGTGTTTAATTTGAACTTAGGAGGTTAATTTGTTTTCATACTTTGTGTAATAATGATATAACATCAATCAAAGTAGGAATCAATCAGTTTAGGTAGTTTCATTTTAAAGTTTATTTGTTTAAAGAACATTAGGAAATTAACAATGTATTATATTCTTGTTTTTCTGCATTATCCATGCCTGAAGTGAGCATAGCTGTTGAGGCTACGCTATCTGAAACAGACATTAATATTTATGTGGTAGCAGCTACCAAAAGAGCAGACATAGTACCCTGGGGAAATAATTCACTTCCTTTGGATCAGCCTTGCATCCCAGATCCTCATCAGTGAAGAAATGCCCCCAGAATATCTTCACTCAAAACCTCTCACACTTTCCCTCTCCGTCTTGTTTCTAGGTTTTCAATTACTCTGCCAGGGTTCCCATCACTCTAATTTTCCAGTGAGGCAGGTACTAATAAACATACTAATTTTTTTAATCAGCTGAAAATGTTGTACAAAGTATTCATGTAACTTCCTTTATGCAGTAGATGTTTTTAGAAAGTGGGTTGTAACAGCAGGTTGTTAAATATATGTTGGCTGAATAATAGTACATCTTTTAAGTGCATTAGGAAAGCTTGCTTTGTAAAGGAAATTCCATAGTGAATTTTGGTAAATTTTAAAGTCTATTCGCAAAAGTAGTTAGTGGCAAAAGGTAGAATAATCACCCCCTTATGTTAAGTAATTTGGATTTTCATGCCTCGTAATTACCTAAATCAGAGATATGTCCATAAAATAAACTAAGTTTTTAATGTTGGGTTTATTTTATTTTTTTCTAGGATAACATCCCCACGTGTGCCATTTAAACAATTTAAGCAAATGTTTAACCTTTGTTAAGCAATACTCTCGAGAGAAACCCAAATGAATTCTGGGTTCAGGTGGTGCTAAGAAAAGGATTCTCCATTTAAATTCGTTTAGGGATCAGGTAGATAAATAAAAAAGTTATCTGGCTAGTTGTCATGCAATAAACAGTGGCCAGGACTGTGACAAACTGAAAATTGTATGTTCTAGCTCGAGAGTTTCTGTCAACTCTTGCCTGGTGAAAATGTTGCTGACTACTGACAGATTTTCCTTTTCAAGAAAAAAGAAAGATTTAATGTGAGTTTTCCTATTTGCAAAACATTAGCAAACAAAAATTACAAAATGGGTGAAGATATGATCAGGTTCTCCACAGAAGAAGAAACCCAAAATGCCAACAGATGTTGGAGAAGTTGAATTAACTTCATGCGTAATCAGGAAAATAAATATTAAAACAACAATGAGAGCTCACTTTGGTACCATTAGATTTAAAAGGGACCAAAATTTTTGTCCCATCAGATTTAAAAATTGCGAGTCCAGCAAAAAGAATTATCCAACACTGCTGGTAGCAGTGTAAATTGGCACAACTATATTTTAAAGCAATTTAGGGATATTTAATAAGATGAAAGATGCATGTGTCCTAAGACCAGCAATTCCACTTCTGGATTGCATGCTAGAGAAAGCTACACACATTGGTACATAAAGACAGTACATGAATGTTTGCAGCATCATTGTTGGAAGCAGTAAAACTTGGAGACAGTCACACTGTCCAGCATAAAAAGTTCAGAAAACTGTTCTGTGGTACATTTGTGTAACGGAATGTGGTGCAGCATTACAAAAGCTATCTAAAATGACATCACATTATATCAAAAATATACTACTAGGCAAATAAAACCCCAAAAGTATGAAAGGCAATATACGGCTTGTGCATAAAGTTTAAAAACCTGGAAAATAACACATTAAAAATAATACTGGCCAGGCACGGTGGCTCATGCCTGTAATCCCAGCACTTTGGAAGGCTGAGGCAGGCAGATCACGAGCTCAAGAGATTCAGACCATCCTGGCCAACATGGTGAAACCCTGTCTCTACTGAAAATACAAAAATTAGGTGGGCGTGGTGGTGTGTGCCTATAGTCCCAGCTACATGGGAAGCTGAGGCAGGAGAATTGCTTGAAGCTGGGAGTCAGAGGTTGCAGTGAGCCGAGACTGTGCCACTGCACTCCAGCCTGGCAACAGAGTGAGACTTTTTCTATAATATACATATATATATATATATAATGTTTACATACGTATATAGTACAAAAATTAAGTATTTACACATATTTAAATTTGAAAAAATGAAAAACATGCTTTGAGAATAATAAACATAAACTTAAAAGAGTGATGACTTCTGAGAGAAAGGGGGATGGAGAGAAATGGAATTAGAAGGGTATACAGAGGTTCTTACTTTAGCTGCAATGTTGTATGTATAAAACAAAGTAAAGATTCAATAAAGCACAAAGAGTTATATGAATTTTCATTGTTTATTCTTTATATTTTAAGTACATCTAATTAAATATTTTATTAAAACAACTTGTATAAGAAGTTGCTCTGCTCAAGTATAGGAGAGCGAGACTCATATCCTCCAACTATACTGGCTACTCCTTTTTAGTCTTTTTGATTGATTCTTTTTCAGCTCGTGGATCTTTGAACATTTATGTTCTCCAGGGCTTTAAACTGGGATAGCATCTCTTTTTTATCTACACTTGTTCCTGTGTGCTTCTTTCCAGTGTCTTGGTTTTAAAACCGCCAATATGCTTATGACTTTCCAATTTCTATTTCTACCCTGAACGTCTCGTAACTCCCCTTTGACTCATTTATTCCACTGTCTACTCAATATCCTCACGTGTATGTCTGTTAGACATCTCAAATATAGCATGTTCATTACCCAACTGCTGATTCCCATCCTGAAGTTTCCTTCCTGCAGCCTTGCCCATCTCAGTAAACACTAACTCCATCCTTCTGGTTGCCCAGGCTTCAAACCATGGAGTCAACTTAGAATTCTCTTTCTCTCATATCTCATGTTCAATCAGTTAGCAAGTTATATGATTCTACCTTCAAAATATACTCAGAATCTGACCACTTCTCTCACCACTTCCACTGCTACCACCTGGTCAAAGCTAATACCAGCTTTGGCCTGGATTGCTGAAATAGTCAACAGATCTGATTACTTCCACTCTTGTACCTCTTCAATCTATTCTCAACACAGCAACCAGAGTGATCTTTTAAAATGTAGGCTGTTATGTCACCATTTGACTCAAATTTTCTAATGACTTCCCACCATTTACAGAGCCAAGCCAAAGTCTTTCCAGGTCCAAAAGGCTCCACAGGGCATGGTTCCTCTCTATATCTCCATATTAATTTCCTACCTCTCACTGTCACTCTGCTACTCCTACTGACCTCATCGCCCTGCCTTCCAAAATCTGAGACTGGTCTCAGAGCCTAGAGGTCTCTATGCTTCCTATCCCTTATATCCTACTTTATTTGTCCACATAGTTCTTATCACCATTTGACATACTATCTACTTCTCTATCTACTTTTTATTATCTGTCTTCTCCCCTATAAATTAAGTTTCATGAAGCCAGGAAAGTTTGTCTCATTTATTGCTATATCCATCTAACACATAGTAAGGAATCAGTTAATATTTATTGAATGATTTAATAAGTGGTGATAAAAATACCTTTATAGAAAGAGTGAATAACTGACACAGAATCAAGATTTTAAAAAATAATCTTGATAGATTAGAATTATGCCGATAAACGTTTTATGGATATTGTGAAGACCTGGATTTAGATGAACAAAAATCAATTACACAGAATAGGAATGTACTTATTCCCATGTAAAACAAACTAGCATATTTAAATTGATCAAACATTTCATATCTGTTAACTTGATTGATGTAAAAAAGTGTAGATAGACTACATTTAGAGAGGAAGATGAGAGAAAGCTAATTAATGACACTAGACAGAGGTCAGATTTTAATTCTCTGGGGAAAAGAATAAAATCATACTTGAACATCTTCTACTCTTCGTATGAGTCTAATTTATACTGAAATGAGATACCAGTTTAACTGTCATTCTAAAAATTAACTCTCCTTAGTTTTCTAAGAACATCCATTCATTTTTGGTAACTGTCTTCCATGTCTCTCCCTTTGCAGCATTATCAATATACTTCTACTTTATTGATATTTTAATTGCAGATATAATAAATCTAGAGAAAACTACACAAAACACAAATACAGAACTTAACAAGTTGTTGAAGCCGAGCAATGGTGAATCTAATACACTTTTCCTTTCCTGTGCCTACTCCTAATCTTCCAGGTATTTATTCAAGTCTTTTATCCTTTACGTTAGTGTGTTACCTTTCTTTATTAAGATTTTCTTAAAGTTGATCTCTCCTAGGGAAGGAGATACAGGCTCTTTTTAAGGAGGGATCAAAACTTCTCTTTCTTTCCATCAAAGTCTCTCTTCAGGGCCTTGAACATTGAAAGAGCTCAGTAAGTGTGTGTTGAATACACAAATGAATTAAAAAGTATAGTTGTTTCAATAGATGGTAAGGATGCAGGGGTACATGGGCCCCAGCATACCACCAAATAATGAAATGGAATCACTGTAAGTATTGAAATAAATGAGACATATTATGTGATGATCAACCCTCCCTTTCCTATTTTTTAATGCCTAATTTAATAATGGAACATTTGATATTGAAATGTTAGACTTTATGAAGAAGCCACAATTTAAATGAACCAGTTAATGAGGTAGAGAAAGAAGGAGACAAGAACAAGGCTTTCACAGCATCTTTGCATCAACAGCCAGACCATGATGGGAAATGTTCGCTTACTGCAGGAGACAAGGAACACAATCAAGTGCCAAGCATTAAATGACTGCTATCTAATGTGCTAATTAGGAGAACATAGGCTCTTTCCTTTTTATACAGCCCTTCCCGAACTGCTGGTTATGACGATAAATTCACCTGTCTCCATAGAAAGGGGAAACAAGCAGAGTCCTCAATTGTGTCAAGTAAACAGCATCTCTACCATCTCCATAGAATATAACAGCTTTCTGATGTCAACATTGTGCTTATTGCTTCAGATGTACAGAAGGGCAAATAGTAATCTAAAAACACTCATTGCTTTGCTGCATAAAGCTAACATTGATAAAATTTGATGAGTTTTATCCATAAAGAGAATTATGTGAAAAGAAAAAATTTAGTGCTTATCTGCCCTAAGTCCCTCACCTTTGTAGAATGCTTGCTCCTGAAAACGTTATTCCCCAACGAGCAATGTCTATCCACCTTTGTAAATCAATGCTGCTGCCAATTATTTTAAAAAGCAGTTCCTTTGGCTGAAAATCTCAAAGTGCTAGAAGACAGAAGAAAATTCAGTGATATTCCGAATTCTACTAAGCAGAAGAACTAAATCACCAAATCAAAAAGATTCAGTTACCTTTAGTGCCTAGACTTCTGAATTAAGTTTCCAGAAAAATTTTAAAAAATATGACAATGTATAAAATGTAGGACAGGTAACATCTACTGGAAATCACATAAAAATATAAAAATTATGCAATAATACCTCTAAGAATATTTTTGTGATTTGATTTAGAATTTCATTATATTTGTAAGATCAAGGCAGACTTTCCATTCTCACTTGCTTTGGGATTATTTGCCTTTCTCTTTGTATGGTTCCTTCTACTGTCCAAATTCTTCTACCAAAGGAATGTATAAAGTTTATTAATATCTCAAATTTATTGTTCATTTCTGTCTAAATGAAAGTGAAAAAGAAATAGAGAAGACATCAAATTTAGAATACAAAAGAGACACAACTCAGAAAGAAAAAGAAAAATAAACTTAAATCTGATTTCAAATTAGAAAGCAATCCAAATGCTCACTAATATGAATTCAATTACATTATTTGTTTAGTAATTATGTTATGAGAAGCACTGAATGTCAGACCATGCCAGGAGCTGACGATTACAGCTTACATTTAGGTAGGGGCTATGTCAGAATGCATGTCAGAACTGAGAACTGGGTAGAAAACATGGTGGTTGTATTTATTAGATAGCACCATGTTACAAATCATCCCCAAATCTAGTTGCTTAAAACAGTAATCATTTTTTCCCCAAGAGTTATTGGGATGCCTAGTGGTTCTCCTAGTCAGTGGCACTCTAGCATGCCAACTTTAGATCAGTCAGGTAGCTTTGCTGATATGGGACAGACTTTCTCTGAGACCTTGAATGGGACAACTGAGCATACTCAGCTCTGCTCCATGTAGTCTCTCATCTTCCAGCATGATAGTCTGTTCTTGTTCTCATGATTAAGGTAGAAAGCCAAAGTGTCCATGGCCAGGACTAGCCTGGCATTCTACACATTTACTTCTTCCACATATCAAAAAGAGGTCAAAAGGGTAGTCACATCAAGTCATAGGGTAAAGAAATAGACTCTACTAATTGAAGGGAGGAGCTGCAAAATCACATTGAAAAGAATGTGGGTAGAGGAAAAGGTGAAAAATTGTGGCCGCACAATGGTTTTACTTGGGGACAAGAAGGAACATAAGGTAACCTAAATTTGACTTCAAACTAACTCAGCTAAGACAATGAAGTTTACTAAGTGAGAAAGATACAGGCAACAAGGCACATATAAATCCTACTCACCAGTTAGGTAACAATGTCTTCAGACGAAGAGAAGCTTTAATTCATTAGTCAGCATAGGTAATCAGTATTTAACACTCAGGCACCTGGGAAGTTAGGTGTTGCTAAAACCTAGTGGTAAGTTCTGCCTTTACAGTGATCTGAGATCAGGGTGGGGCTGGGCCATTAGGTAGGGAACAAAGATGACAGTTCTCAATAAACTACATTTTATTGCAGAAAAGTTTTGGCTTATTTGGAAGACTGTGTATACTAGGGTTGATTGCTTCTAGAAAGTCCAGTAATTTCCATAACTTCGAAGCCACACTTTTATTTGACTCTAATTAGTTCTTGCTTTCCTTCTGACAAAATCCCTTTGGTCTCCTTTACCACATATACAATGTTTCTTTGTTGTGTTCTCAGCTTAGGTACATCTGGCTGAGAGCAAATATTCAACAGTGAAAAGAAATGAGAGGCAGACTCAGCCATTCTCCTCTGATTACATTATGACTCAGGAGGACACCCACCAGTAGTTTTATTCATTATTGGATATTAAAATCAAAGGCCCTTAATATGCAGCAACAAAGTTGTCCAAATTGAAGCCCATCTGTGCATCCTTGTAGAAGTTTTCACAGCATGATACATAGGCAATTTTCATAAACTTATTAGTTTTTCAGTCTGCCCCCAAGGACTGAATAAAACTTCAGCATTTTCTTGATGCTTCTTGGAGCAGCACTAGCTCTTTTCACAATCTAGATATTTTAAGACAAGATTGCACTGAGGATGAAGGATGCAGGCACCAATTTTAAGAGCTGTCTGCTGCTTTTAGGCAGCTCAAGGTGTCTGTCCCAGGACATAGATCTCTTTTCTCCCTCTTACCTATCTCAACTGATTTCTGATAACTCCTTCAGCTTTTAGATTTTTGTGATAAACACATCAGATCCTAGTAACTCTGGCCTCAGAACCTCTGCCTTTCAAATTCATCTTGCCTTCTCTTGTCATAAATATCAGTGAAGGGGACTTTAGGAAAGGAAAACATATTCTGAGTGAACTTCCAATGTGTGGTTCTTCAGATGCTTGAAGAAATTTTAGAGGCAACAAAATTCTGCTGCTAAGACCTGTACTTCAATTGCCTTTGATTTTGAAATTAGAGATCTGCTTAACTTCTTTCCCTGCTCACTTAACAACTTTCTTTTAGTTCGGGTCCCATTTCAAATGCTAGAACATTCTTCCTAATCTTCTTTCATGGTTGAAGGGACAAAGCAAGAGATCATATAGAAAATGAATTCCAGAAGAGTCGAACAGATCTGCAATTAAATCTTAGAGAAATTATTTAAACCTTGCTAAGTTTTATTTTCTTCATATTCAAATGAGGTTTAAAATTGTTACTACTTCATAAGGTTGGTGAAAAATTATTATCGTTGCTACTAGACTAGGGAAACGACTCACTCAATCTTCAGAACTGTCTTAAAGACAAACAATATACTACCAGACAGAAGCAGCACTTTCTATAGCACTTGCCGTTAGTCAAACTTGGTTACAAGCACTTTATATTTATTAACTGACTTAATACTTATTACAAGTACTTTATATATGTTAACTCATTTAATGCTCACAACAGGCTATGAGGGAAATACTGTTATTTTTCTCTTCTTGCACGTAAGACAACCTGACACAAGAGTTCATATGACCCAGCTGAGGTCATATGACTGGAAAGTTTCAGGGTCAGAATTTTAACCTAGGCAGTCTGCTTCCAGAGGCTGTTTTCCAACCATCATGTTGTACTGCTTCTGGAAAGAAAATGCCCTTTGCGGAGGAAGAATGCCACAGTTATTGTAGATTTCTCCTGTAGTTGCATAGCTCTAATTAGGTGTATGGTTTATTGACTGACTTGGGTATTTCAAAATGATTTCCCTTCCCACTTTAGAATATAAAGTCCTCAAGGGCAGAGACAACGTGTATTGTTTTCTTTATGCTGAGTACAACTTTCTGTATTGCCGTGGTCTACACCAGGTCTTATTGTCTGGCTTGCTCTGTCTTGCATTTTCCCACAGGGTTTCTAGGAACTTTAAATAGGTCCCAGGAGCTGAGAGTTAAAAAGAGCTGTGGTTTGGCCTCCCTCACCCCCTTGTGAAATTCTCATTAACACTTCTGAGGCAGCAAAGCCCTTGTTCATGTAAAAGAATTCTAGCATTCTGCAGAACCACACTCATTTCTGGAAGCTTCTGAAATGACGACGTCCACAGCTGCCAGTTTGGTGGTGAACCCTAGCACTGCTGAGAGTCTCACTTGCCAGAGCCAGTGGGTTCCCTGGACCAAGGTTCAGATGCTGTGGAAAGCTGGAAGGTGAGAACAAAACCAAAGAGAAGCCAGAGAGCTCAAAGGAAAGAAAATACTGAGCTGTCTTTGTCAGTCAGTAAAATGCTTTTTCATTTGAAGATTTTTGGAAATGTTTTAAAATTATATTTTGTAGGCAAGCAAAATGTCATTCTTACAGACAATTGAGGATACTGCAGGAGGCTGCATAAGGTACATTAAGTTTAACAGGTAAAGGGTTTAATATGAAAAAAAATTATCCTGCAATTTGCTATCCTAATAGCTATATACAAAATAAATCTCATAATGTAAAATTAACTTAATATTTCAAGAATCAAATCTTTCCCAATTTCAAGTGTTTACTACAACACAGAACATTCATGAGGTGGAATATATTTTTGACCACTTTGTTGGTGCTCTAGTATTTAAAGCCTGTTTGGACTGTCCTGCTTAGCAGTCAGGGAAATGTGGGTGCAAATCCAAGCTCAAATTCTTGTTCGATGTGTGACCCTATGGAAGTTATTTAGCTCTCTCTTAACTTCAGTGTCTTCAACTATAAAAAGGGACAATACTATTTCTACCTCTTAGAGTTATTTTGAAGATTAAATCAGATATGACATACAAAGTGCCTGGAACTCAGTAGTTGTTCAATTAATGCATACTACTATTTTGTCTGATAAATTAGATCCTGGCCATTTATGAAAACACAAATATCCTGAGAATAGAGACTTTGTCTTGTTCACTGATATATGGACATTTTAAAGAGTGCCGGACACATAGTAGTAGCTCAAAAAAATATATCTTGAATGAATAAGTATTTGAAACATTTTGGGCAAGTTTGAGTTTTGTAACAGGTTTGTAGTGAAGACTGGATCCCATTCTGTATTAGCTGAAGAGATGTGAAGCTTTCATGTAGACTTCTATATAAGTGTCACGTTAGAGCTAGTTTCTATTTCAGATCATACATGATTCTTGACTTTTATTCCCTTTCCTTTTCTCTCTCACTCTTTCTTTCTGGTTCTCCTTTGCGTTTTTTTTGTTGTTGTTGTTTGTTTGTTTTTTGTTTTTTTTTTTAAGAGATGGAGTCTTGCTCTGTCACCCAGGCTGGAGTGCAGTGGTGTGATCTCAGCTCACTTTTGATCCAGTGTTTATAAATTATCAACCCTTACCCTGCTGTGAGGATGGTGATCTATTTTCCTTAGTTGACTGTCTTTCACAGACGTTGTTATCAGAAACTTCTGAGTTTTAGGGAAACTGGCTCACTTTTAAACTCTGTGTAAATTTTGGTTTAGTGAGTCTGTGGGAAAATAGAAGTAGGAATAAGGTAATTCTTTCTTCTTCATGCTACGATATTGTGGTCACAGGTAGTCCAGAGGAAAATTTGAAATAAAATGTGGGGATCTCAACAATGCAAAACTCATTCTCTAAAAAGAATTGCACAGAGTTCCCAGTAATTATAAATTATATATTTACACATCAGTCTGAACTCACTCTCGCAATACAAAGATTGACACATCTGATTTAAGATGAAAGGGAGAGACCGATATCAATGCAGAACTTGTATTACTCAAAAAACTGAATTTTGTGGGTGTGGGGTCATAAACAGTCATTCCTTGGTATCTGTAGGGAATTGATTCCAGGACCACCCCTTCCATACAAAATCCACAAATGCTCAAGTGCTTATATGAAATAGTGTAACATTTGCATGTAACTACGCACATTCTCCTATATACTTTAAATCATCTGTAGCTTACTTATAAAACCTAATACAATGTAAATACTAAACAGTTGTTCTATTGTATTGTTTAGGGAATAATGACAAGTTTAAAAAGTCTATACATGCTCAGTACAGATGCAACCATCCATTCTGTTTTCTGAATATGTTTGATCTGCCGTTGGTTAAATCCACAGATATAGAACCCATGGATAGGGAGGGCCAACTGTATTATTGAAATTTTGCAATAATTCTACAAGGAAATCACATACCTAGCCCACTGTGAAAGGGTCTGGCATAGCTCTCATGATCTGAGCTTAAAACTGAGCCATATTTATTAACAGCAGTGAACTAAATCCTCAGGTTAACTGGGCTGTTCTGACTCCATGAGAATCTCTTAGCTGAGGCTTTAGGAGACCATCATATCCTATATTCATTATTTTATATATATATATTTTTTTTATTTATTTTGAGATGGGGCCTCACTCTCTCACCCAGGTTGGAGTGCAGTGGCGCGATCTCAGCTCACTGCAACCTCCATCGCTTGAACAGAAGGTTCAAGCAATCCTTCTGTCTCAGCCTCCCAAGTAGCTGGGGACTACAGGCACATGCCACCACTCCTGGCTAATTTTTGTAGTTTTTACTAGAGACAAGGTTTTGCCATGTTGGCCAGGCTGGTCTCAAACTCTTGACCTTAGGTGATCCACCCGCTGCGGCTTTCCAAAGTGCTGGGATTACAGGCATGAGCCACCATGCCTGGCCCAGCCCCTGTATTCATTCTTTAGACTGGAATCTGCAGGGAATAGGAGCAGAGACATGATCCTTACTCTCTCTGAAGGAGCCGCCCTCTGATTGTATCACAAACTGAACACAGGTTTCACAACTAGAGAAGAGCTACATGAGAACTGCTGGACTCTGAGGGTGAAACAACCATACAAACAGCTTTGTGGGCCAAGCAGTAGAAAAAGAATTTATTGACAAGGTGGGACTTGAATTGGAACTTGATGGTGAATAGGACAGAGAAGACAGAGGGACAGAGGGAGTGCAATCCTTGTAGCAAGAATGCCATAGGGAAATAAGTCCCAGAACAGTGCGGGAGAGTGGTGGAAAACAGGACTGAAGGAGAGTTTTGATATGAATAGGATAGGCATGGGGTTGGGGGCTCTTTTTTTTTTTTTTTTAAAGAAAATGACATTGAAAGCATAATTTATTCAACAAATAGGAATTGAGCACCTACTCTGGGTAAGCCATCAAACCAGATAAACAGGTCAAACTCTTTGCTGTAAGAAAGCTTAAAATTCATCAGAATTTATTTCAGAAATCTTGTTTTAGAAAGATGTATTTGAGTGGATGTATGTATTAAATGAACATTTCAGGAAGGGTTGGGAAAAAAAATTTCATTATTATAAACGTAAACACTGTTAAAGCCTTCATTAAAAATTCTTCAGCTCCATTCTTGGTCCAAATCTACTTAAAACTCAATTGCAGCACTTAATGGCACAAAAATATCTGTCGTTCACAAAATGTCTCCAAAGACTGGCATTTAATTTTGTTCATTTTCAGAGTTTGTGATATGAATTCTGAGGGTGGCTATAATTTCTGGATTTAGATCCTTTAGCCTGATAGCTCCCTTTTAGGGAGTTTAAGATGCTCATTCTTTATACTGGCTATGACCTGCCAGGGTCTCTTACCCAAAGCAGATACTAACATCTGTTGTTTTCACTTGGGATGCCTCAGATTGCATGAGCCATATTACTTGTCAAGATTAAACAAGTGACTCACTGTGTTTATCTTTCTGCTAGCTTCCAAAGTCATGTTGCTGATATTGAAATGTCAATTCCTTGACCTTTGGATGCACATGGGAGTCTCAGAGAACATTCCAAGCATTTGAAAGTAAGTTGTAAAAATCTGGTACTGGAAAGAAACATAACTTCAGTTGAAGTCTTTGGGGTTAATGCAGTACTGTATTAAAACAGCACTCTGTGTTCCTCGAGGTTTACTTGAGCAAATTTAGACAGCAGTGTAGGTTAATGTAATTACTCCTTGGAATTGCTGAATTCTTAGTGATAAGTGGCTTGGAAATAAGTATTTTTCTTGGGCTATATATTTGTACTCCTTAGGTACATGTACTTGGGATAGTGTCCTGTAATCTGTTATGCAGAACTCTTCCTTCTCAGGAATGCCCAAGACTCTGTACAGTATTATTCTAGTAACATCTTGATGAATAGGAAAACATTTTTACATCCCACAAACTTGAACTGATTAAAATGAATATGATTGTGACTGGGTAAAAGGCAAATGCAATTTTAAACAGTAATTAGCAAAATGTGTATTCCAGGGTAAAAATGAATATGGTCAAGGAAATGAGGCATATCAGGTCTTTCCACTCGCCTCACAAATCTTCTATGAATTAATAATCACTGACATTTTTATGAAACAATGTCATTCTCAGCACAAGTCTCCGCTTTCCACATTATGACTGCCTTTATAAAGGCTTACCTCCAAGTGAGAGGAATTAAAAAAGAGTCTTCATAGTACTCTTCAAACAATTGCCAAGGAAGCAGTAGAGGGAAATAAAGGCCCAGCTTCTTCTGCCCTGAAGAATTCTGGCAATTGACATAAAAACAATGAGTACATTGAGAAGAGAATCTAAATGCTATATAATTACAGAGTATTCCAACTAGATGAATTATCAGAGAAGACCCAATTGGAGAAACAGGGTCTGTGACAGTCATTACCTTTTAAGAGTCTTTCATTAGATTAAGGTAACACAATCAGAATTTTCTACATCCATTAAGGTCCAATAAAAATACATGAGAATGAACAACGTAAAACTTATTTGTCCATTAGTGTAGTTTTACTTTGAAGTAAAAGCAAAAGTTTCTGCTATATTTCTTTTCCTAAAAGGAGTGATAAACTTGCATTTGAAGTTTGAAACTCTTAGTAATCAAAGGTTCTCATCCAAGAGGAAATTTTCTTTATGGTTAAAGATTATTTGTTAATCAGAATGAATTATACATTCAACATTTTATTCAGACTCTCTCTAAATTAGTTTAACCTATTTGGAAAGCCTTTTAGGGCTTTAGTGAGAAAGTGAATTATTGAGATTAAAAACACAGGGACTTCCTTGCAATGACTTTACGGCTCCACATACATGTAAGAGGAGTTCCATTCAGTTGCTGTTGTTTAAAAAAAAATGGAACATCAAAGCAAACAAAGAAAATTTCCTGCCTCTATACTATTGGGATAGTAATGATAAGAGTAGTAATAGCAAAACGAGTCAATGGTAAGACTTGAAAAGGGTCTTCCAACATCTTTGATGGTAGTTTTGAAAATGTTCATAACGTATGGTGCTTTTGTGAGAATTCATAGATACGTTTTTTTCCAAAATACCTTCCACAAGTTATTTGATTTTATACCCAGAGAAGACTCTGAGGTATGAAAGTCACATGCCATTGCACAATTTTAACAGATTAATAAACTTAGGCCAAGGGAAATAAAATGACTTGCTTAAGATCACATATTTAATGGCAATTGGGATTAGACAACTGACTTTCCTGGCTCTGAGTCAGAATCCTTTCTGTAATAACAAACAGGTGTTTTTCTATCATCTACCATCACAGCTGTACCTACATCTCCATCTCTAAAGAGGAATGTGCTAGTGACATCAAGGTGGCAGTCACCTCCATAAGCCTATGTGCATGCATAAATAAATCCTCATGTGCCCAGAGCCTTTCCTTGAAGAAGCCTGATAAGCATCGACTATTCATTCTTATGTTTTTTTTTTTTTTTTTTTTTTTTGAGATGGAGTTTCACTCTCGTTGCCCGGGCTGGAGTGCAATGGCGCGACCTCTGCTCACCGCAACCTCTGTCTCCTAGGTTCAAGCAATTCTCCTGCTTCAGCCTCCCGAGTAGCTGGGATTACAAGCATGTGCCACTACGCCCGGCTAATTTTGTATTTTTAGTAGAGACAGGGTTTCTCCATGCTGGTCAGGCTGGTGTCGAACTCCCGACCTCAGGTGATCCGCCCACCTCAGCCTCCCAAAGTGCTGGGATTACAGGCATGAGCCACTGCGCCCAGCCCACTCTTTTTTTCCTTGAAAACTGGCCCGGCCCAGTTTTTTCCTTGAAAACTGTTCCATGGGTCACAGCACCATGATGTCAGATCATATAAGTTAGGTTCTTATGTCAATTACAGCTTTGGGGCTTGTGTTTGATAGGTAACATGAGACTCCATCTTCATTCAAAAGTACCTGGGTGCCTAACTGCTTCCCACCTTCTCAATGTAAATGGCTCAGAGGAAAGGGTTCTGCTGTAATATACGCTGATGTTTATAGACAGGCTGGAGAGCTCTTACAATAGGCACTCTCAACCTAAGGTCATTGGATGGATGTACTTTGGGGAGTCTATAAAACTACTGAAATTATACCTGGAATCTCCAAGTATGTGCATGTGGTTATTTTTCTGGAGAAAGGATCCATAAACTCATCAGATGCTCAAAGGGATCTGTGACTCAAATAGGTTTAATTAAGAACAACTGCTTTCTGTTTTATTCTTTTGAGCATTTAGCAGAACAAATGCCAAAAATCTGTAGCTTTACAGCAAAAGGGAAAATCCTAGGAATGCTGTTAGCAAGTTGAGTTTTCTAACATGTGAAACCATTACTACTACCTCCTAAGGGAGAATATGAGAATGATGTCCATAAGGATTAAGCTGATATAAGATAGACATGTACAAGTGTGCAAATTATGTTAATATAGATATGTTTCATAAAAAAGGCATATGTCTAGCCAAATGTCCTGGGATTTTGCTTTCAGCTGAGATTCTAACTCTGCCTTTACATCATAGAATTAAACACGGTTATAAAATAGTCCTTTGTTTTAAAGATTGAATTTAGGTTATTGTGTCTACAAGTCCTCCTCACAAATATGTAAGGTACATGAACAAGAAAAATTTTCTTTTGTGGCAGTATAGGAAAATTTTGAAAACAATGTAGGACATGTAAATAAATTATAGTTAATTGTTAATTATTTTTTCCAGTACACAATGCTAAAAGCTGTATATTATATATGAACTCAATACTGTAAAATGTGTGTGGTGGATAAGACAGTGAATATGCTCAGGAATTGTCCAGAGGAGGGCTGTACTTAAACAGATTGAAAGTGGGGAAATAAATAGAAAATGATAGATAAGTGAAAAGGAACACAGATTTAGGGGAAGGACTGATATTCCCTGTAACACCCACTTTGCAACTAGTTAGTTTCCAATTAGTGTTAGGGGATATATGCTACATTTTCTATGGAGGAAAAGCTTAAAATGATGGCATGGCCAAGTATTCCCAGTGCCTGGTTTGATACCTGACACATACTCCATAAATATTTGTTCAATAAAAAAATTGCTCTTTAGGGGGCTACATCACTGTGAGCCACATTCCTTCCAACTGCATTTTGAAAATTATACCATTTCCAGTAACAAAAAAGGTGACCTGTACTTGACTCCTCAGTCATGCAAAGGTGAAACCCAGTAGAAGGTCTGGCATGGTGGGCTGGCTTGCACAGTACAGGATCTCTTAAATCATCATTATCTCAAAAATTTATTTGAATGTGTGAAATTAATATTTTCTCCAACAGACCTTCCCT
Source organism: Homo sapiens (assembly GCF_000001405.40). Classification (NCBI taxonomy): domain Eukaryota; kingdom Metazoa; phylum Chordata; class Mammalia; order Primates; family Hominidae; genus Homo; species Homo sapiens. Next base: position 94,126,139 of record NC_000007.14, on the reverse strand, counting down.
TATCTGATCATTAAATGATCATACATGACATTTATTGAAAACTCATTCCATGTCAGCCACTGTCCTAAGTATCCTGCATGCAAAATCTCAGGCTCCACTCTAGCTCTTGGAGTCAGGATCCACAGGTTTACCAGATTCCCAGGCCATTCGGATGCATACTGATGTTTGAGAAGCAGTGAATTCATTCATTTAATTCTTGCAACAGCCATTTGAGGTGGTGCTATTATTATTTCCATTTTAAAGAGGGGGAAATAAAGGCACTAAGTTGAGTTACATACGTAAGGACACTCAGACAGCAAAGGGTGGAGCCAAGATTCAGACCCAGAGAGGCTGACATGGTATCTGTGATCTTCACCACCTTACTACTTTTCTGTTTGATAGCACTACCACCAGCAGCAATCCCAAATCCATAACAGTTATCATAGTAAAAGTAATGACACCTTTGAGCAGGAAGATTAAATGGAATCTGGGGAGTTCTGCAAAGAGGAAGTCTGCTGTAGCACAAAGGACACAGGATTTGGAACAAGTGAGATCTGAGTTTTGCCTCTTATTACCAGCGTGATCTTGTACTAGTAATGTATCCTATCAATTAGTTTCCTCATCCGTTAAACTGGGCTACAATTTCCCAAGTTGTTGTAAGAATTGATGATAACATATTCAATCTACCTTGAAAACTATCTGGAACTCAGTAAGTGGTGATGCTTATCCTTACTGGAAAGGGATCTGCAATTATATGTTTGTCATAAGTAGCTTGAAATATTTATTTGAACATTAGAATAGTTACAGATCATCGTGAGCAAATATTCAAACAAAACTTGTGCTTTTTCCCTCGTTATTTGAACCAGAAGAAAAGCTATTTTAAAAAACTTTGCCAGCTTTGGTAATTATTAAAGAGTTAACTTAGTCATTTAGAAGGAGTAGGTTAGGTACAACAAAGGACAAGTCATTTTGCAGGCATAGGTCCACTACAATAAAGTACTGAAGGAGAGAAACTTCTGGAATTCTCTATCAGTCTCAAGATGTATCTGATCCTTAGGCTTTGTCTTTATTTTCTAGGAGCTCTTTGGGATATCTTTGGGAATAACACTGTAGGCAGACCCAGAATTGTTCTGGGACATCACCAGTATTAGTTCCACATCTGACAGATAGAGGAGAACAGATGCAATTTCCTTGGAACTTTAGAGAGGTAGAAAGGAGAGTAGGCTGTCCTCCTTTTCCTTTTGGTCTCTGATTTCTCACAAAAGATGTTAAACTTATCCACTGAACTTTGGGTTTTCAAATTTGGTTATAAACGATTTCCTTATGTGCTGATCATGAGTATAATTGAAACAGTGAGGTAGGGGTTGTACCTAAAATCACAGAACCACTTCTCTTCTGGCTCTTCTGGTGTCTGTGAAGATTCATGGTCAGGCTAGGTATAGGGGAAGAACAGAAAAATAAGCTCTTAGCTACCTAAGGAAAGGGAGCCTTGGCCATTAATTCAGTTATCAAAGCCCTGGCAGCATGTTAACACAATTGGCCCACTCTAAAGCATACAATCTATTTTTCTTTATCTCACAACTGTTTCCTCAGTACTATTAGGTTCTTACACAAAGGTTTTCTGAGAAGTAAAGCAATTATATTAATGTTGTCAATCATTACTGCCAGGCTGATCAATAAAAACAATGTTAACCCTACTAATTAATTGCTAGCAATCACCTAACTAACTTGAAGAAACTATTAGTTGCACACAACTGAATAAGGAAATGCTCTAAGTGATGTTTATAATGTGCCATTTGAAAAACAAAAAAATTCAATTCTTCTCTAAAATAGAACCCTTCAGCTCTAAATAAAACAGTAGCCTCTTTCTTCTATTTAGTTTTGGATAGGAGTATATTTTTATATTGCAATTGTCATGCATGGCTTCTGAAAATAAGTCTGGAATGGTCACTACAGATGTGTGAATTGTATAAAAGTTACTTGAATAATATTGTTCTGTCAGTCAGAGATAGCCAACCCCTTCTCAGACCTCATCATGACTGAATTGTCACCTGGTTTGGGGGCTTCTAGTTTAACAATAGCTGAGTGGGCTTCTTGCTTGGGACTTTTGGGAAACAAAGGAGTCATTCAAATATTCTTTAATAACATCAGCGAATTGTATTGAGATCATTGGAAATTTAATTTTAGTGTATCTAACTCAATTCAATATTTTTCTGCAGATTTAAAATATCATGAGCTTTTATGCAGGTTGAGGCACTACTTGGGAATAGTGCCTTGGTTTTTTGACTGAAATTGTCAGTAGAACTATTTATGCTGAAAGCTAATTTTTCTGGGATTGTAAGGCATCTCAGGTAATCTGAAATTTACATGTTATCTCTAATACAGTATTTTTTAAAAAATTAAAATGATTTTTGAGTAGTGAGTTAAAAATGCTGATTCCTGAGCTGACCCACTAGAGAGTCTAGTTCAGTAGGTCAGGTGTTGTTAACAAGAATCTGCAATTTCGTTAGGCACCCAGGAGATTCCAATGCACAAGGATTGTGGCCCATATTCTGAGAATCATAGCTACAAACTTGAATCCAGAATCCAGTCTCTTCCAGACACTGAGCTTTCTGAACCTTATCAAACCCTAAACTCCTCTGAGCCCTAAGTATCCAGGAGACTGAGCATGACATGGGGGTTGCAGCTCTCTTAGGAGCTTTGAATGCAGGTGGTAGTAGCAGAACAGCCACTTAAACATGGATAACCCCAAAGTTAAGTGTTAAATTGGTAACTGCCTGAACAGCAGTCATCTGGCATTTGTGAGTTTAACATTCATGGTTTCAGCAGTGTGCCAATGATCTCATGAGTACTTCAAATATTTATTTGTTACTTTGTGAAGACAGGATGCTGAATCCATGACCTGAGAAGCTAGTGTGTAAGCACCAGTCTCTTAGCTAGGAGGGGAGAAAAGCCCACCAGCCAACCTCCACATCTCAAAAACTTTTTGCTGTTCTCTATTTTCATGAACTCAGTCTTCTACACGGATAAAAATTTGGTTTTTCAGTATCTACAATAAGGTTGGAGTGGCTCATTTTTTCATTTGTTTTATTTTCATGGAATGGTTCTGAAACAAAGGTCAGTTCTTTGTATAATCAGGCTGTGCAACAGATTTTATGAAGTTCTTCAGATTTGGTCCTTGTGAATTACATTATTTTTATACTGTATGTATTATTTCTGCTTTTATATCAGGGCAGTAGAGGAGCACAAAAGTGACAAAGTGGCTGCTGAGTTAGAATCCTCCTGAGAGGGAACAGAAATTAAAATGGATTGTTAAATTCGGGAAAAGATGGATAGAATCGCTCAACTGTCTTTTAAATATGCACTGCATGATGACAGTGATGTTATTAACTGTCAGTGGCAGAAAAGCGAAATTTGAATAATTTTATTTTCCTTTTTCCCCACAAATTAAAACCACAATACCCCACTGGTTCTCTTTTCAAATTAAAAATTATGAGACTTTGAGCGGGCATTAGGGAGTAGACAGAACAGAGTTACGCTTGCAAGTCAGTTGTATTTCTATGCCCACGATGAAGATACAACCTGTCTATTTCATTCTCATACCATTGGAAATGCTGTGGCCTTTGCCTAGTTTTACCAGAAGCTTCATTTAATAACATTTTTGATTGTCTACTGTGTGCAGGGCACTGAATAAGCTACCAAATGGAAGCACTTGCCTTTCTTCAAGGAGTTTACAGTAGGAGAGATAGGCATGGATGTAACTTATAACCGAGGGCAGAAGGCAGAGGTGGTATTAAAAATGTAAAACAACCAGTGGGATAAAGCCAAGAGGCAACTGGGACAAATAGAGTACTAAAGATATGGATGCCAGCAGTCAACAGGGATTCTACCTGCACAGGCATATGCCTGATAGATGTTTGCACCCACAGAAAGTGACAAAGGCTGTGGGAGAGAGATAGACTGTGAATTCAGAATAGTTCCTTCTGATTAAAGGGATCAGAGGAAAGTATTTGGGGCTTTGAGGAATGGATGGAGTTTGAATAAATATTAGATGTAGGAAATGGCTGGAAATAAAAAAGGCATGAACTCAGAAAAGTTAGTGAATGTTCAAAGTTCAGCAGTGTTTCAGCTGTTTTCTGGATCAGGGGACATTGTAGATGGGCTGTGGGGTGGAGAGCTCACGGGAGGACTGTAGGTGGATAGGGAGAAATTCTAGGAGGCTGAAGACCAAGCCAGGACCTGGAGGAAGGAGCAGAGGTGTTGTTTGGACCAAAGGAAAGGTGCAGAGTATGTGAGATACTTCATCTGCTCTTGTCCCTGTAGGCTTTTGCATGGCAGGAGACAGAGAGAAACCCTGAAAGGAAGACTGAACCACAGGATTTCTGACCCTCTAGGTATGAACTGACCAACAAATCACTGCATTAGAATGAAAAATAATCAGAAATGACACTATTAAGTTGCTTGCCTGAAGTAGGTTGGGAGCTCGGATCAGAGATCTGACAATTACGGCTATAAAGAAAATCACATTTTCTGCTGACACGAATTTGTGATGGTGGAATTCATACCTGTGTTGCAGCTAAAGCATTTAGCTCCTATTAAAAGTTGGATATTCTCGGCAGCTGACGGAACAGGAGGATCTTCAAGATGTCTAAATTAAACTTTTCTTTTGCCAGTTAAACTCTTTTCTCTTTATCTGATTCCACTGGAGATAGAAAACAGATCCTTTTCCCACCCTCTGTGTCTTTGATTATTTTTCTTGTTCAGGGCGATTCTTTTATTCCCCCTCTAGCTTCCTATTTGTCAGACCTTAATCCATTTCAGTTTCTGTACACTGGATGATGTTCAAACCGAACTATAAAAGTATGCCAAGACAATGTTGAAAAAAATAAAGATGGCATTTTAGAGGCTGTATACTCTGTTCACCTAGTATACATTGTATTTTTATTTACTAAAAGTGAAAAACAAATTGCAAGAGATCATAGCTTTTAGACCTCAGAGTCAATCTTGGTCCATCTCATATTTATGAGCAATGTATATGACTTTTTATGGCCTTTATGATGGAAGATATTATGCCTTCTAGTCTGAGTTGGCACTTACTTGAACCACCAATCTAAATGTTGACTTCTGGTTTGAATGGGCCATTATGCATTCCAGGCCTCTGAGGCCTTGGTAAATTAGTAAGTGTTTCTTACATGGCAGAAGTCTTGCAATTTGGGAAAGTTGTATGAAAATGCAACTCAAGTGTTCCCATAATGTGGAATGATTTTATTTTTAGTTTCTTTCGACAGATCACGAAGCAATCCAACCCCAGTCCCATGATTTCTGACTGGTAATGGCCGAGGAAGAATGAGGGAAAATATTGTTCCTTTTGTTTGGGGACAGAGAATATTTATTTGATCTGTTGGTACCTTGAGGTTAGACCATTTTCCAGCTACTCCATTTCATGCTCTGCTCATTTCCTGAAGCATGCTTCTTATAAAGGGGCACAGTGATTAATCCCAGTCCTGGGAGAGGCAAGTCCATGGTTCTGATGGAGCAAACAATGGGCAATACTTTCTCTTTCATTCATACACTCTTTGAGCAACCCAGGAATCCACACATTTCACCCGGGAAACACTCAGGGGAAAGAATTGAGAGTTCGTTCTTCTCAGCACCTTCATGGTCCAGCTGCAATACTGAGCCTCAAAGCACGATCTCTTGAAATCAAGCTAGATTTCCCTGCTATTTATTTATAAGCAAGAAAAGTTGTCACTCTGATCTGGGTCTGTCATAGTGTGTGCCTCATTTTCTGTGTTGAGGATTAAAGGATTGGTTCTTGCAAATGAAAACATACTGTGATCCCTGCTAATCAGAAATTCTGCAGTTGGTTACACGGCTGAATGTAATATTACCTGTTGTCGGAAGTACTTTGTTAAGAACCTCAGGGGAGTGATAGGAGGAGAAAACAGGAGGTGACCAGCATTTAATAGGTTATGGTCATTGCCTTCATAGCCTTTATTTATTTTGCTGAATTCCCCTCATAATTTCCGGAGTGAGCTCCATCTTCGTTTTGCTATCTATTATTACACACACCACCATGGCACCCCTGGTGTTTGGAAAGTGCCCTAGATACTGGGAGCAGTGAATGAGAATGTGAATCTATCCCAAGGCTTGGGTATGAATTAGAGTAAATGCCCTTTTGAACAAGGTACTTGACTTTGTTTTGCAGAAACGTAGCTTTTGTTGCCTTTTAAATATCCTTTAATTCTCTCAGGGTGTGAAATCCTCTATTAATTTGCCCAGTTTCTATTAACCAAATCCCCTATATCCAGGTGGGATATTTACCTCAAACACTGCTGGAGAATTTCCAAAATATGGTTGAATGTATATCAAAATTTTCCATTCTTGAAGATTGCTTAGAGGAATTGAAACATACATTTTAACAGATAAAAGGAGTGATTATGAATTACTTAAATTGCCAGTTTCAACAACATTTAACTTATTTATTCAATATAGTATTATAGTTCTATAATACTATATATAGTACATATTTATTTTGTTTTATAATAGCAGCACGTGGTCACTTAGGATAAATTGGAAGAGAAAGAAACAGAAGTTATTTTGATGTAGTTTCACACTCAGAGATAAAAACTGTTTATATTTAAATATATTTCCCAATCTTGGTATATTTTTATAACTTGCTTCCTCACATATTTGTAGTGTTTCTCCCATGTTACTAAATATTTTTAAACATGTGCTTTTGTGACTAAATGACATTCTATTAAACAAAATTGCCATAATTTCTTTAATGCTTTGTTATTACTCATTTAGCTATTTCTTATTTTTTGCTATTACAATCACATTACGGTGAATGTTTTTGTGCATATTTGATTATTCCTTTAGAAATTCGAATTAGAAAAATTCCTGAGGGTTAAATTATTGCATTAAAACATTAACATTTTAAAACCATATACACTGTCAAATTGCCCTTCGTAATTTGCCCTGGCAATTTACAGTTTCTTCAACAGTGATTAAAATATGTTTTTTTTTAAACAGGATAAATCAGCTCTTCTAATAAAGAGAGTTTTTGATTTAAATAAAAGGTGTTTAAGATGTTAAAGAAAGGAGTTAATAATTTCAGAGGCTGTGATAGATGACACTGAGATGAGAAAACAGAAAACCATGTATAGTCTATTTCCAATTCCTGCTCCTTCATTAATTTCTCTCAGTATGAGCTGCAACACCAACAAAAGTTGTTTTTATTGCTTGCTTGCTTTTTCTTTTTCTTTCTTTCTTTCTTTCTTTCTTTCTTTTCTTTCTTTCTTTCTTTCTCTCTTTCTCTCTTCTTTCATTTCTTTGTTCTCTCTTTCTCTCTTTCATTCATTTGTTCTCTTTCTTTCCTTCTTTCTTTTTCTTTCTTTCTTTCTTTCTTTCCTTCTTTCTTTCTTTCTTTCTTTCTTTCTTTCTTTCTTTCTTTCTTTCCTTTTCTTTCTTTAGTTTTTGGCATTTGTTTGTTTTGTACTTTAGGGGAAGAATAATTCCTAATACTCTCAGTAAACTTATATGAGTTTCTCAGACCAATAAAGTGTCACAGAAACTCTGATCAGTGTGATTTCTGAAGGACAGTGGATCAACACATAGGCGTTCAAGAGCTCCTCTTCCACAGGACTCATTTTACACTCTGTTCAAATGTCTCCAGCAAGACTTAAAGGACTCCCAAACTATAGAAAGATCCTAATAAAAGCCCCAATCAGAGATTACAAGAGCCTCTGCCTTATTCTTTCATCTATTGTCACAGCCTGTCAGGCTTTCATTAAATTTCTGTCACAATAAGCCCTATATAATTCTTACACATCCTTCTCCTGTCCCTGCTTCTAAGCCTTGGCCATGATGTGTTCTTTCCTAGTTCATCTTTTCTCAAACCAGTCTCTGTGACTCCAAAGCTGTGCTTAAAAGTTTGTTTCCTTACAAAGTGTTCTGAATGTAATCTGCTCATTTTAGTCCCTTCTTTCTTTAGGGTTTGTTATAAAAATTTTTATGTTTAAAAATCACAGGGGCAAAAATTCATATGATTAAATTCTCACTGTATTGCAAAGCTCCTGTTTTTATTATTTTATTCTTCTGCCTTAATTTCCTATCCCCAACCCCATTTTTTGCTTGCTCTTTGGAAACCATTCTTATTTATTTAATGAAGGGCCTTTGACAGGTATGTGTACCTTTGAAAAATATACAGTGTTAGGATGGGGATATATACCTGACATTGTACAATGGCTTTCATACTCTTTATTGCTTTTTAAAATCAACATTTAGTTATTAAGATCTATTCATGATGCTATATGAATATCTAATGAATTAGTTCTGACTGCTGCATTGTATTCTATTGCTGGCAGATACCATATTTTAGTATCATATTAGATACCATATTTAGTATCAGTGTTCATTTTTCTTGTAAGGCTCTCCTGAGCTGCCCCATCTTTACTATTACAAACAGTGCTGCAATCAGTATTTTTATACTTATTTCCTTGTAGACATGTGGGGGAGTTTCTCTCAAATATATATGAAGAAATTGGGTGGTTAAGTCATAAGAAATTATGATAAATGGAATAATCACTCCAATTATTCACTTTTCCCTGTGTCCACACCCTTTTTCATGTAACTTGAAAGTTCTGATTACTTAAAGTGGGGTGTGCTTCCCATCACGTAACTTGCTTTGCCAATAGAGTGTGGGCAGAAGAAACAGTGTGCCAGTTCCAGGCCTAGGTATGAAGACCCTTCCCATGTTTCCACTTGCCCTTTTGTGCCTCTGCCATTGCCATGAAGAGAACATGCTCCAGCTGGACTGGTAGTCAAGAAGGATGAGAAACATCTGGGAAAGACATCAACTCAACCAATAGTGAGGAGCCCAGACTAGACAAACCTGCAGCTTAATACAGTCCCCAAGCCTTGTCCAGCCTTAATGAGCTGACTGGCAGCAGCAGATTAAAAAGAGCCTGACGGAGATCAGCGAACTGCTCCTGCAGACACACAGTGGCATGAGGAATAAGTGTCTACTGTTGTAGGCCCCTGGGGTTCTGTAGTGAATTACAATGCAGCCATGGCTGATTGATAGAGATAAGCACACCTGGACTGCTTTCCAGAATGGCTGTGCTAGTTTATCCTTCCAGTAGGTCTGGACAAGGGCTCTTGCTTCCTCTTATCCTTGTCTACAGCATTGGTCATATTATCACATTTTCTAAGTTTTCTTAATGTGATGTCGTAGCTTATTTCATTTTGAATTTCTTACAAAAAAATCTCTTCATGCCAGGCATGGTGGCTCACGCCTGTAATCCCAGCACCTTGGGAGGCCAAGGCGGGTGGATAATGAGGTCAGGAGATCGAGACCATCCTGGCTAACACGGTGAAACCCTGTCTCTACTAAAAATACAAAAAATTAGCCGGGTGTGGTGGCGGGCGCCTGTGGTCCCAGCTACTCAGGAGGCTGAGACAGGAGAATGGTGTGAACCCAGGAGGCGGAGTTTGCAGTGAACTGAGATCGCACCACTGTACTCCAGCCTGGGTGACAGAGCTAGACTCCATCTCAAAAAAGAAAAGAAAAAAATCTCTTCATGTATGTGTTAACCATCTGGATTTCCCCTACTTTCAAGGGCCTATTTATGTCCTTTGTATACACTTTTTTCTTTAGATTGCTTGTGTTTTATTAGATTTGCAGGACTTCCTCAAATATTCTAGATATGAAATCCTTGAAAGTTTTAGGCATTGCAGATATCTTTTGCTAGTCTGTCACTTGTCTGTCAACATTATCTAAGAATGTCCATGGACTATTTAATTAATTTTGATATAATTCAACTTACCAATTCCCAGCCTTCATATGCTTGTGTTTTTTTAAAATTTAATCTTTTAAAAGCAATGATTCTCTAAACAAAGATTTCAAAGGTTTTATTCTATTAGCTTTTAACCTATTTTTTTCTTTTAGCTTTCTCTTTTCATACTTACTGTTTTAGTACATTTAGAGTTTACTTTTAAATATGCCGTATAACTTTTCATTGGTGTTTGTAAATACAATTTCTCTAAAAATTATGACTCTAAGATAATATAGCTAATTAAAAAAACCAATATATTAGGTATAAACACTCAACTCAGCACATTTGTCTCTAAAGTTGTCATGTTGGGGTACCTGTTATATCTACAAATGTTTAAAACCCCTTTGGAACTGCTCCTTCAGAATTTCCTTCAGTGATTACATAACTTCTTTGAGAATATGCTTAATTGTGAAAAATTGAATCTGGATTTTGAAAATCACTCAAAATAAAGTGGTTGATTAAGGTCAGGAATATTAATTTCAATGAGAAAAATGCAGTTCATTTACCTGTTTATGTAAAGTTGTGTGTGTGTGTGTGTGTGTGTGTGTGTGTGTGTGGGTGTGTTACTTTTGTTACTACTTTCCATAGATGCAATGTATCAAATATTGAAGAATATGGGCCTGGACTTCAGAATGACTGGTTCAAATACTAGTTCCAAGTGGCCTAGATCAATTCTATATACCTCAATTTCTGCACAATAAACAAATGTGAGTATGAACTCATTCAATAGAATTATTGTGAGGATAGTGTGGGTTAGTAGTCCCTGGTGTGGAGTAAGCATTCATCATAATCATTACCTGAGTCATCCCATATTATCTAAGAGCCTTGCGTCTATGAGAGAAGGCCACTTCCTTAGTCCCACTTGTTTGATGATTTTCTTTTTCATGATTGTTGCTGGCAGCCGGATCCATCTTTCCTTACAACACACTGTAGTGAGCCTGGGGAAATAGCATGTTTCTATATACTTGTCTTCTGTTCCCCCTTGGATTTTAATTCTTTCTTCATCATACACACGCCAATCAGAAAACCAAATTATTTACACACAGTATAATAACTCCATGCATATTTATTCCATATACTTTTGAGGCAAACAAGTAATTATTTCTCTGTCTCTCAGACTTAAGAGTTTATTCTCAGCTTGCTGCCCTCAGCACTCTCACAAACAGGTAAACACAGTAAATGTTTCTGTGATAGTTAGTAACCATCAGCTTCCATTAGCATGTGTTTAAAATGTGCAACAGTTGCAGCAGACTCCTATTTTTAAAATTTTGTTAGCTCCTAAAGGAATAAATTATAGCTTAAATCCAATATACAACTTATAGGCCCTAGCATGCCACTAGGCAGCATTTTTAACCTTCAACAAAAATAAAACATTCCCTCGAATTCAGGATATTGTGTCAGAATTAATGACTTAAACAGACATCTTATATTACTAAATTATAGGCAACAGTAACTACCCCACTGATTCCTACTTTTCAGAAATGGAATCCTTTTGCATATTTTCTGTGGCTTAAATTTTCACTCTTCTTAACTACCTGCTTTTTCACTGTTGGCAGGCTTGTAGGGACAATTAAGTGCTAACAGAATTATGAATGTTAAATTGGAGAAACAACTTGATGCTAAGGAAAGAGGGGATTAAAAATTACTCTTTTAATGGAATATTTCTCAGTTTTATATGTCAAAAATAGAAGAAAAGAGGAGAGGACAAGAGATTAGAGGAACAAAAAAATCAAAAACAGAGCTTGACAAAACCAAGTTTTCATGACATGTTCGGTTAGGACTAGCATTATAATCTGAGCAACACTATGTAAATCATTCATTCCAATAATAAACTATGGGAGTATGACCACTGGCCTTATTCCCATCGGATCTATGTTGTAATTGTTATAGATGAAGGTGGTCAAGGTAGACCTAGACTCTGGCTAGATTACTAGAGGAGGTAGGGGAGGCAGTCTAGGATGTGAATGAAGATGGAAGCAAGCTGACATCTGAGAAAGTGAAGATGCTCTTCTGACATTTTTGAGGTACTCAGATGAAGGAGCAGGGCTGAAGGGCAGCAAAGGCATATGGGTGATAAAAAGTTTGGGGTGGAAGAAAAACAACTGCCTCAAGCTCATTGCAATCATCCTTCTACACAATCAAAATTAAAGATGACCATTTACCAAAAAAGAAGAAAGTTGGTACGAAAGTCATGATACTGAGTTCATTTTTATTGCATGCAAGAAATAAGATGACAGGTTCAGAATGTAATAATGTATCAACAGGATCTGGACCCAGCAGTTTTGTTGAGTATTGGCAGTGATAAATGATTCAAGACTAATACCATCAAAGTAAATAACTCCTGTTTCCATCACTGGCTTTGTACATACTCAGGTGGCTCTGTTAAAGGAATTAAATGCACAGCACCATATGGGAAGAATTATCTTGAGTTTTCCTTATGACTGACAGTAAGATAACACATTTTAACATGCAGGTTATGTTCAGACCAGTAAAGGTTAGGGTCATGAAGATTTTCTTTTATATATTTGTCCTTATTTTAGAGTATGATGTTATAGCATTGAGTAAGTTAAATATAGCCACTACCCAGCAATACTTCAATCTACCATCTTCCTAATATATACATTGGCTTAATCTCTTCCTGAAGATTACATCTATCTCAGGAATAAGCACCAACATTTATGATGCTGCTTATTTGCTGTAAATCATTCAGCTCTTTAATAAATCTCATCTGTATTCAATTCAGCCTATAGGAGTCATACCACATTGTCAGCCAGAATATTAATATTTCAAGATATAATCTGATATAGATCAGAAGGCACTATGAAGGCAATTCAACAATTTACAGTTTCCTATTTATTCCGTCTGGGTGCATTGTACTAAGTGTAGCTAATGCCTCATGATGTTGTTTTCTTAGATAAGAAATTGTTGGAATCAATCAGTTATAAATCTTTAAGTCTGATTAGTTGTATATAAAATCAGGGTAATTCTGTAATATGAACAAAATTACCAGATTTTTGACCATGTAGTAATATATTTAACATTCATGGTAGAACTATATATCCTGAACCTTTTTCAAGACGTTTTGTCTTTGTAGAAAAAGTTAGGAAGGAAGAAAGGAAAAAGATGAGGGAGAGAGGAAAGAAGATAGGAATGAAGGCAGGAAAAAAGAAAGGAAGGAAAGAAAGAAGGAAGGAAGGAAGGAAGGAAACAAACAATTGAATTAACTTCACCCTTCTTTCCCTACCAGCCAGGAGAAAAGGAGAAAGGAATTAAACCTCAAGGGCCAAAAAGGTAGACTGAGGTCTGAGTAAGGCTAATATTACTAGGTAGCTGGTATCAGCTAAAAGCAACAAGTTTTCTCTCTTCTCTCCTATCCCATTACTTTCTCCTTGCCTGGGTCAGCCTATAAGACTCAGCACAAAACTCAGATTGGCTGCTTTGATGTGCTAAAGCAAAGACTGGTCCTCACTGAATATATATATGCTTACGTACTTGAGTCTAGCTGCAATATCTGCAATGTGATTACTCTGTTCTGTAAGTCTTATAGTCACAATTATATACATGCATATGTGCTAAATCCTTCCTTCCTTCCTTCCTTGTTCCTTCCTTCCTTCCTCCTCCCTCCCTCCCTCCCTCTCTTTCTCCTTCCCTCTCTCCCTCTCTCAAACATTAATTAAATATCTATTGTATTTCAGGCAGATCCATGACCTCTGGGAGCACACAGTCTAGGAGGAACAGAAGCATGGGAACAAATAATTAAAGAATAATACAATAGTATAGTGAGCTATACTGACTGACTGATTGAATATGTTTGATGATCTCCACAAACTTTAGCCTATTTGAGAGGCTGTTAGGTCTCAATTCAAGCATCTTAGAAACACTACTAGTGACCTCAGGATACTGATGCCATACAGAATTAGAATAAAGAAATTTATTGCCATCACGACTGTTTCCTATATTGGCACTCTTCAATTGTTACTCCAACTAGTGGATTGTAGAATAAATAATCGTTAAATGATATTTAAAACCTTGTATCTTATTACTAATGCACCTTGGAAACTATGATTAAATTGTGTTGAAAGTGAAACTAGAATCTTCAGGACTAGGATGCTGTTATCATCATTTTAGTGTTTATTACATTTATGTTATTAATGAATCAGAGATATGACAAAAATCTCCAATTTATCAGAAAAAAATCATTAAAAATTGCAACTTTGAAGTTTCCAAGACCTATTCCCAATCTAAACAGGAAAGAAATGAGAGAACACAGTGTTTCCAAACAGTTTGTAATGGGAAATCTGTATAAAAGTATTTACATAACCAAGAGAAGTGCCTAGAGAAAGGAGGAATTTGCAGGTAAATTAATGCAATGAATTCATAGAAAAAAAGGGGGGCTATTTTAAGGCCCAAAGGTGCACTTTATGGTGAATAATTCCATCAAAATTATGCGTGCAAATTAGATCAATTAAAGTGGAAGATGCTCAGTCACATACTCGTCTAAGAGTTAACAGTTCTGAGAATAGAACTAAAACCAATTCCAATTGAAATTGTCGAGAACCTCCCAGGTGGAAAACAAAATAATTCCTAAAGGAACAAGAGTAAGTAAAAGCGTTATTTATTTTCTTTCTTTTTGTTTTTTTGACGGTTGACATTAGAAAAAAATTATACATATTTTGTCTGGCTATTTGTACATTTCTATTCTCCCTGAATAACAAAAATAACAACAAAAAACACACAAGAGAAAGGCACAAACCTTTTCTAAGGAATAAAAAAAGGCCAACCAAAAGTAGGTCTAAAGTGGTGAGCCTAGTTTTATCAGAAATTAGAGATGACTATTTATTCACCTGCTTTTTGTTAGAATTTTTCTGTACTCACTGAAATAAAATACTTCTTGTTAACTAAGGACTTATAAGAGAGAAATGTGAAAACTAAACATGTTATTTTAAGAAAAAGCACATAGATAAGGTGAACTGGTTTGCATAGCAAACTGTTTATTGCTCAGATGTCTGTGGCATCGAGAGCATTCTTCTAGTTTCAGCTGGACACCTGTATTTCTGGTCAGCTCTAGGTCGAGTAGCAGCTCTGCCTATATAGTTAGGGCTCCCTAGCAAAATCAGGCACCAGCCCACTTGGAGACTGGGGTGCTTCAGCTCTTCTCTACATTGTCCCTCACTGTGCAGCAGACTAGCCCAGGCTTGTTCTTAATGGCAGATGCAGTGGGTTGAGACAGTGGAGGTAAGTGAGCTCTCTTAAAAAACCTAGGTTTGGAACTGGTATGCTGTGGCTTCCCCCATATTCTGTTGGTCAAACAGATCAGAAGGGCATCCCAGATTCAAGAGGTGGGGAGGCTGGGCGCTGTGGCTCACGCCTGTAATCCCAGCACTTTGGGCGCCTGAGGATGGAGGATCACGAGGTCAGGAGATTGAGACCATCCTGGCTAACACGGTGAAACCCCGTTTCTACTAAAAATACAAAAAATCAGCCGGGTGTGGCGGCGGGCGACTGTGGTCCCAGCTACTCAGGAGGCTGAGGCAGGAGAATGGTGTGAACCCGGGAGGCGGAGCTTGCAGTGAGCCGAGATCACGCCACTGCACTCCAGCCTAGGCAACAGAGCAAGACTCCTTCTCAAAAATAAATAAATAAATAAATAAATAAATAAATAAATAAATAAATAAATAAAAAATAAATAAAAAATAAAAAAAAGAGGCGGGGAAATTGACTCCACCTCTTGATGGGGAGAGTTTCAAAGTCACGTTTTCAAAGGGCCATTTGAGAGACCGTTATATGGGCCATCAATGTAGTCAGTTTCTCTCACAAGAGATAAGCAGCTTTAAGGGAAACAAGACTTTACTGTAGACAAATTATTATAGGCTAGCAACATCCAAACCATTGCCCCACAAAATGACTTGTGCTGGAAAAAAAAGAAAAAGAAAAAAGACCCAGCAGAGAACGAAAAGCTAACACTGAACCACAGAACAGCCTGTCCTTCATTACTCGTTCCTTTTAACTAGCATTGTCTAATAATCACCAGAAGCTTTCCATGTTGTTGGCTTTATGCCATACTTCTAGCACAATAACAAATAACACTAGGTAACATTTATTAAGCACCTATTATTTACTAAGTACTAGACAATCTATATTATTAATCTCATTTAATCTTTAAAATGACTCTGTGATGTCAAACTTATTAAAAGAGAAAAAATGAAGGCACGGGGGAACTTACCAAAGAAAACACCCCTAATAAGTAATAGGATTTAAATCCAGAGTTATCTGAAACTCAAGCACATGCTTTTCTTTATTTTTAACATGAGTGTTTAATTACATAAGTAGAAATCCGCCGGAGTATTCGCTGCCTCTTCTGGTAACAAAAAGAATGCTTTAGCTTCACGGTCCAGGTGCCTTACAGGGGTCAAAGCCTAAGATGGTGTGTTGCTATCTTCCCATCTCAATCATTGGTTCACCTGTGGGATCCTAACTACTCAGTACTCTAGAGTGAGTCTCAAGCTCCTTCTAGGGTCAGTGGCTCACCAAAGACAGGCCAGCAGAAGTCAGCCGAGGTGCAGACAACAAAGAAGTGCTTTGTGGAGAATTTAAAAGCAATAATGAAACTACACATTTTTGTTTTTGTTTTGTTTTGTTTTGTTTTAAATCACCACCTGCTGGCAATTCTAAACAAGGGTAATGAGAAAATACCCCTCGCTACCAATCTATCTGTGTCTTTCCCCAACTCGGAATGTGTTGGGTACGATTATTGGGATGAAGATGCTAGCTTCTTTTTCTGGATTCAAATGGAGAATCCAAGGCCCTAGGAATGGTTGGCAGTTCTCTTCTGAAAAAATTTGGACCTGTTAGTGGAGACAGCCCAGGAAAGTGGAGCCCAGATGTGATCTTGTTGATAATATAACTTGAATCAAGCCACAAATGAAGTTGCGTTGGGCCTATACATTTTCAGCTTATCTGAGTGATTTCCCTCTTTTTAAAGACTGGTTTATTTCAGAAATCCAACCAATAAATGAGAAAACATCATTCTCCTTCTCCTCCTGCTCCACCCCCTCCTCCTCCACCTCCTTCTTCTTACCCCTCCTCCTCTTCTTCCTCCTTCTCTTCTTCCTCCTTCTCCTCCTCTTCCTCTTCCTCTTCTTCGTCTTCCTCTCCTTTTCTTCCTCTTCTTCTTCTGCATAGGGTCTTGCTTTGTCACCCAGGCTGAATTCATTCTATTTTAAAACCAACTGCTAAGGTAAAGCTCTCTTTGGCTACTATAATTTGTGCTTATCCCTCAGGTTCAGCAAACATTTTCTGTAAGGGGCCAGAGAGTAAATATTTTAGGCATGTATGTAGTGTTAATGAAATTCTAATTTAATTATTTAATTAAATATTTACAAGTATATTTATAGTCTCTGTTACCTACTAGTCAACTCCTCCATTGGAGACTGAAAGCAGCCATCAGCAAAATGTAAACAAATGATTGTAGATGTATTCTAGTAAAACTTTATTTATGCACAACAAAATTGGAATTTTATACATGTGCTTCAAAATATTTTCTTCCTCTGATTATTCCCCCAACGATTTGACATTGTAAAAACCATTCTTAGGACGCAGACCTCACAAAACCAGGCAAGCTATAGTTTGCTTCTCCTTGCAACAGATCATTTTAAGTATTCATAGACACATGTATCTATGGAAAATAAATACTGTTGCTCAGTGATTTTGCAAAATATAAATTG
Organism: Homo sapiens; assembly: GCF_000001405.40. Taxonomy (NCBI): domain Eukaryota; kingdom Metazoa; phylum Chordata; class Mammalia; order Primates; family Hominidae; genus Homo; species Homo sapiens. The sequence goes on along the minus strand of NC_000007.14, from coordinate 94,108,597 downwards.
TGTTGATATAAATACCATTCTAAAACATGCATTTATAACTCAATAAAGGGTTTTTACACATTTAACTGTTAGTCCAAATCCTCCTTTTTAACTGCTTCCTAATACTGAATGCTTAATATTGATATACTAATAGTTGATGCTTTATACTTATATTGCTATAATACTGGTAATCCTAAGAAATAGGTTGTTTCCATCTTTTGCAACAAACAGTTTTACTCAAGCCACCTTATTCCCAGGCACAGTACCTTTTTAGGGTACATGCTCAATTGCTACTAAAAATGTGTTACGCACATTTTAAATTTTAAACCATATGAGACTATCACATTCTTTACACCCTCACAAACAATTGATAGCATTAAATGTTTTAATATTTTGACAATCTGGTAGACAAATAGGTTGTTTGAATTTTTCTTTCCCCGAATATTAGTGAAGTTGAATACATTTCTGTACCTGCATTGGCCATATGTATTTTCTGTTCTATGAATTGATCATTCCTTTCTTTTGCTAATTTTTTATTGCACTACTTGTCTTTTCCTTATTGATTTGTAGGAATTCTTTATATGTTATCGATGAAAATCTTTTGTCATTACCTTGCAACTATTTTCTCCTATAATGTCCACATCTATTTATTTGATTAGTATTGTATTTTATCAATCAGAAATCCTAACACTTGATACAGCCAAATTTATCAATTTTTAGTGTCTTGTCCCAGGATTTTTCCTGTTTCAAAGACATAAACATAATCATTTATACTTTCTTCCATTATTTTATTATATTGTCTTTTATATTTAGGTAATTTTAATCCATTCAGAACTTAATATTATAATTGCTATGGAATAATATAACTGCTTCTTTTTTGAAATAACTAGGCAATCATCTGAGAAGTACTTATTGAATAATCTGTCATTTCTCCATTAATATGAAATGCTACATCTATCATGGTCTAATTTCCCAAATATGTATGGGTCAATTTCTGAATTATCTTTTTAATCCTTCTGATGTATTTGTTTATGCTTTAGCCAATTCCACACAGTTTTAATCACAATACCTTATGATATACTTTAATATCAAACAGGGAAAAACCATCTTATATTATTTTTAAATATTGTCTCGTCTATCGTTATGCATTTACTCCTATACGTGAATTTTGGAATTATGTTTTCAACTCCCATGAAAAATTGTATTGGGATTTTGTTTGGGATTCATTGAATTGATATATTAATATGATAAGAATCGATAGCCAAAATACTGAGTTTATGCATCTATAAATATGGAATATCTTTTCATATATTAAAGGGTTTTTAAAGGTTCTTCAGTAAGAGTCTATATTTTCTCATGGATTAAAAAAATTAACTGGTTATATTTCTAGCTATTTTGTCAGTTTTGTATCTATCGGAAATGACATATTTTTTCTTATTATACTTATTGTATTATAATTGGTTTTCTTATTATATTATAATTAATTATGCAGGTCTCTAGACAAGCTATCAATGTTTGTACCTAAATGATTTTATCTTATAGTTTGCTATCTGAGATGATTATGTGCTATCATTAGCTATATATGACTCCAGTGTTTTATGTGAATCATAACATAAATTTAGTAGCTTGGTATATTTTCCTATACTCTGTAATGATTTGTATAAGTTGGGAATTCCATGTTCCTTGAAGGTTTGGTACATATCATTTGTAAAAGAATTAAGTCTTAGTAAGTTTTGAGGGCCAGGACATAGTTTTAAGTAATATATTAAATATATTTGATTGATTATGGTCTACTTAGGTATTCTACTTATGTTGTGGTAGTTTTTATCATTTAAACTTTCTCAGTATATCGTGCACTTCATTTTAACTTTATTGGTTTAATGTTACACATATGATCTTTACTTTTTAAGCCTCTATCTTTTGTGTAGTTATATCCTAGGCTATTACTATCTTTCTTATAGTAGAAAATCTAACTTTTAAGAACACAAAATTTAATTTGTACTTTATATTCAATGTCAATATTTAACCAGCACCTAAGTCATCTTTCTCAACAGGAGATTGATATGCTTTTATTTCCTTCTCCTTTCCCTCATCTCTTCCTCCTACCCCTCATGCCTGATATTCTTTGGATTATTTTTTTCCCAAGTGGCTACTGAAATTCATTTTTACATAGAATGTATGGCATAAATCCCAGTTATTTAAAATAATACACAGAACATAAAAATATGGTCACAAATATTAAAGGCTATCATTGGCAAGGGTTCTGGTTAACTTTCCTTTTTATGTTTTTGTATTTCAAACATCCCCCAAAATATCAATACTCAATTTTTCTTCATGAATTATATTGGCTTGTATCTTTGATCTTCATGCATGAAAGAATCAAATTACAATAAAGGAGACAGAGAATCCACTTGTTAAGCACACTGATTAAAAACTAATACTTATTTAGAATTAAGTTTTACTAGCTTTTGCATGTCATTGTTTCATTCCTCTGCTCCTCCTGAATTCATTTTTCTCTAATTGGTGTATATCACCTAGTATATCTTTCAGAAAGAGACTTTCAGTGTTAACTTTGAGTGTCTTTGTATGTCTAATAAGCCTTTCATCACCTTCTCAGTTGAATGATCCTTTAGCTCATGAAGTTCTAGGTTTCAAATGATTTTCCATCAATGTTCTGACAACAATATCACAATTGGTCAAAAAGGAAAGGACACTAAATTCCACGTATTATTTGATCTGAGATGACAGAGTAATTATTACTTTTATTATCATAACATGCATTTATAGAGCAGTTGCTCTGTTAGAAAAATTATAATAAATACATTATTTAGGTTATTTCATTTACTGTTTACAATGACACAAAGTAGATATTGTTCGTCATCCAATTTTATAGGTGAAAAACACTTAGAGAAGTGAGGTAATACTGAAATGGAAATAGAAATTATATAATGGAGTTGAGAAGCACATAAAGGTAGTTTGACTAGTTTGACTTTTTTAAGCCTCTACTCCTACTTTCTGGAAGAAACCACCTGTAGTTTAATGTCATGAATTTTAAAAAAAGACATTTTATGTTAAAATTGGGTAAAATGATCCGTGTGGCCATGCAGTGTTCAGAGTATATGCCTGCTGTCTTTTAAGACTTTATCTAATTTTGAAATTATAATTGAGCACTTGACATTGGCCTCTCTGTGGAAGATAAAGTCCCAGGAGCAAATCAGCCAGATCTTTTTGGTCAGCCTTGATCATCCTTTCAGTTGATTACTGCTATAAAGGTAATGAGGCATTCTCAAGGATAGCCTAGTTAAAATTCTTGTAAGCAAGTGCAAATTTACTTTCAGGGATGGTAGCCCATATGGGTCAAATTACCACTGGAAAATTTATGCTTTTTCACAGGAAAGGACCCAATTTGAAAGAGTATGCTAACTGGCCTGGTAAGTGACACATGTCTTTATGGTCTTAACAAAACCAATTCTAGGATAGTGAAAGGAATTCCTAGTCAAGGATTTCATAGAAGCCATTTCTGAATGCTGTGAACTAATTTCCTATTTAAATTGCCAGTTCCTCTGTGATTTAGGATTTTTGTTGAAACTACGTGACCTCAGAATTTCTGTGATCACAAGATCTCAAAACTTTCATATTAATGTCAACTTGGCCATTCACTTCCTAAGAAATCACTGTGATTTTAACCAATTATATGCCACTTTTAGAACCGACCCTTTTCTTGTGTTGTGGCCACTCACAAGCATTGTTGCAGAAAACTTCCATATTAGCTATATCTGCAGCTGTGCCTAGACCTGCTGAATACAGTACAGGCCCTTTTGCTTGTGAATAATAAAGTTTATATGCCAAATGATATGAATTACCATGATGGTTCCTTGACTTTATCCAAGTATATTTTGAAATACATTCTCTTTCATAGTGACCTTTCTTTTTTCAAATGTTTATCGCATCCTTGAATTTATAAGCAGAATGTTAATGTCATTTGTTTTGGTTATTTATTGCTATGTAACAAATTTTCCTAATACTTAGCAACTTAAAACAACAAACATTGTTTCTCAATTTCTGTGGGCCAGGACTCAAGCACAGCTTAGCTAAGTGCCTCACCTCAGACTCATAAGGCTGCAATCAAATGGTCAGTGTGGTTTGCCTTCATCTAATGGCTAACTTAGGGGATGATCCACTTACAGGTTCACTCATGTGGCTATTAGCAGGCCTCAGATTCTCTTTGCCTTTTGGTCAGGGGCATCAGTTCCTTGCCACATGGGCCTCTCCACAGGGCAGCCATCTTTTGTTGGAACAAGTGAGTGAGGGAGCAAGAGAGGGAACTAGAGACAGAAGCCACAATCTTTTTGTAACCCCACTGCAGAGGTGACATCCTATCACTTGTTTCATAGTCTATTCATATGATGTGAGTCAATAAGTTCAGCCAACACTCAAGGGGAGGAGATAATAAAAAGGTTGTGATGACCAAGAGGTAGGGATAATTAAAGGCCATTTTAGAGTCTACCTGTTGCTTATTTCTCCACAGCGTCTGCTGAAGTTGAAGTATACAAATTGACTTGTAAAAATATTGGAGTATTTCTGTGGAGTGCTTCTGATAGCCAACTTATTTAATAGAGGGGCGTAACTCTCTAGGCAAGGATATAATTCTAAGCACTTTAATTTTTATGCATAGTATTAATATTGATTCTGGGATAGCTGACAAGCTATAAGTGTATAGATATCTATCTTGCTTTAAAGTTTACAATTGTTAATTGAGTGTTTATACTATGCCAGGCACTTTTCTAACCAACCTGTAAAATTCCTTTGCATAGTGGGCAGTATTCCCATTTTACCAAAGAAGAAACTCAGAGAGCTGATGTCAAGTACTCAGGATTACATAGCTAGTAAGCTGGGTAATTGGGGCTAAAACCTAAACATAAAACCTGCCCTACACTTAGCCCAAGACCTGTCCAGAAAATCCAGCTTTGAAAAGACTTTCATCTAGCTTCCAGCAAAAATGTATTTAGGACAAATAATATTTTATAGTAGTAATCTATGGTAGCTAATCTAAACCCTGGTTCATCAATATAATCAACTGGGGGATTTAAAGTATACATAGTTGTGTAGTCCCCATTTCAAGACCTGTTGAATCAGAATTTCTGGGAATGTCTGGGAATACTTATATATTTCTGTTCTGGAGACATTCTCCAGGTAATTCTGATGGTCCAGGTTTGAGAAATGCTGACGCAAGGCTTACTTAATCATTTGTCCTACTAAATTAATATTTCTCAAAATGTGGTCAATTGAGCTGATGTCTATTAAATAGTAATCTCTTAACAAGAATTCCTAGAACTGTATCTTAAGCAAGCTTCCTGGGAGAATCTTGTTTACATTAAAGTTTGAGAACTATCACTATACCCTTCTAAGTTCTACTCTTAAAATACCTTAGTTTGGCTCCCTAGTATTGTCACAACTGACAAACTACTTCTGAGTTTTTGGTTTTGCAGAGGATCCAAAAACAATAACAAAACAAACAGAAAACCCAGGTATATAGAGAACACTTCAATAATCTTTGCAAAATTATTATTAGGTATCTTCTATCGATTGTGATTTGCCAGGAAATAAACCAAAAGATAACATTAATGTTTAGTAATGTTAATTACACCTGGTTTCTGGTTGAATTATTGTTCCTTTTTCTACATCATTATTCTTTGTTGAAGTAGGAGGAATGGCTGTCCTGTGCATTGTAGGACATTTACAAGCAACCCTGGCCTCTATCCACCAGTAACAATCCAACCATCCAGCTCCCTCAACTCCAGCTGTGACAACCAAAAATGTCTTCAGACATTGCCAAATGTCCCCTGGATAGCAAAATTGCTCCAAGTTGAGAACCATTGAATTACATGATTATTTCTTCTCACTCACTTTATAGTTAACAGTCTCACATAAATATTTTAATTGTAAACTACTCTGAGCATTCATGTAAGTAGAGTTGTAAATTGTAAACATATTGGAACAAAGACAATTATGACTTTATTAAAAATTCATTAATATTCAGAAATGGATTGAGGCTTTATATAATAATCAACAGATTCCAAAATAATAGTTTTTCACTTCAACGCGAACTTTTTGAGATCTATGAAATTGCTTGCCCTCCTGAGCTTGTTTTCTTGTCTAAAAATTTAGCTAGGATTATCAACAATATTTCAAAAATGTATCATAGTTCTTTAGTACATGACTGTGTCCGGAATTGGTGGGTTCTTGGTCTCACTGACTTCAAGAATGAAGCCGCAGACCCTTGCGGTGAGTGTTACAGTTCTTAAAGATGGTGTGTCCGGAGTTTGCTCCTTCTGATGTTTGGACGTGTTCAGAGTTTCTTCCTTCTGGTGGGTTCGTGGTCTCACTGGCTTCAGGAGTGAAGCTGCAGACCTTCGCAGTGAGTGTTACAGCTCATAAAGACAGTACGGACCCAAAGAATGAGCAGCAGCAAGATTTATTACAAAGAGTGAAAGAACGAACCTTCCACTGTGTGGAAGAGGACCCAGGGGGTTGCCACTGCTGGCCTGGGCAGCCTGCTATTATTCCCTTATCTAACCCCACCCACATCCTGCTGATTGGCCCATTTTACAGAGAGCTGATTGCTCCGTTTTACAGACAGCTGATTGGTCCGTTTTACAGACAGCTGATTGGTCCGTTTTGACAGGGTGCTGATTGGTGCGTTTACAATCCCTGAGCTAGACACAGAGTGCTGATTGGTGTATTTACAATCGTCTAGCTAGACATAAAAGTTCTCCAAGTCCCCACTAGATTAACTAGACACAGAGCACTGATTGGTGCATTTACAAACCTTGAGCTAGACACAGAGTGCTGATTGGTGCATTTACAAACCTTGAGCTAGACACAGAGTGCTGATTGGTGTATTTACAATCCCCGAGCTAGACACAGAGTGCTGATTGGTGCGTTTACAATCCTTTAGCTAGACACAAAAGTTTTCCAAGTCCCCACTAGATTAGCTAGACACAGAGCACCAACTGGCGCATTTACAAACCTTGAGCTAGACACAGGGTGCTGATTGGTGTGTTTACAAACCTTGAGCTAGACACAGGGTGCTGATTGGTGTATTTACAATCCCTGAGCTAGACACAGAGTGCTGATTGGTGCGTTTACAATCCTTTAGCTAGACACAGAGCACTGATTGGTGTGTTTACAAACCTTGAGCTAGACACAGAGTGCTGATTGGTGCATTTACAATCCCTGAGCTAGACACAGAGTGCTGATTGGTGCATATACAATCTTCCAGCTAGATATAAAAGTTCTCCAAGTATCTACCTGACTGAGGAGCCCGGCTGGCTTCGCCTAGTGGATCCCGCACTGGGGCCACGGGCGGAGCTGCCCACCAGTCCCGTGCCACGTGCCTGCACTCCACCATTGGGCAGTGGATGAGACCAGGTGCATGGAGCAGGGGGCGGCACCCATCAGGGAGTCCGGGGCCTGGCGGGAGCCCATTGAGGGGGGTGGCTGAGGCCCCATGAAAATTCGAGTGTGGAGCAGGCGGGCTGGCAGTGCTGGGGGACCCAGCACCCCCTCTGCAGCTGCTGGCTGGAGTGCTAAGCCCCTCACTGCCCAGGGCCAGCGGCACCAGCTGGCCACTCTGAGTGCAGGGCCCACCAAGCCCACGCCCACCCGGAACTCACACTGGGCTGCGAGCGCATGCACAGCCCCGATTCCCGCCGGCGCCTCTCCCTCCACACCTCCCCACAAACAGAGGGAGCCGGCCCCGGCCTAGGCCAGCCCAGAGAGGGGCTCCCACAGTGCAGCAGGGGGCTGAAGGGCTCCTCAAGCGCAGCCAGAGTGGCGCCGTGGCCTGAGGAGGTGCCCAGAGCGAGCAAGGGCTGCCAGCACACTGTCACCTCTCAATAGCATGTGTAATCTGTGCATGGATATTACAGAAGATAACATATTACATAGAACTGGTGAAGTGAAGGGCAGAAGAAAGGAATCATAGGGTTAGTATTTGTCCTTCATTATATTTGTTTTTGTTTTTTTATTTATTACTCAGGAAAATGTCCTAAGACATCTGTCATAGCTGTGTGTTTGATGCTGGCTCCAGATAAGCATTGGTCCAGAAAAATAAGTATTTATTTATGGTATTTGAGATGGAGTTAATCTTGGATTTTTAGAGCTAGCTCTCATTAAAATTACTAGCATTTCTATTTACATTTTTTTCCTGTCTGTTGATGTTTTGTAAAGAAATATTTAAGTACCAAGTGGCTACATCTATGTGCCTCCAAATATGGGAATAAAAAATGAAAGCTATAGTCATCTAGATGTTCCTATGTTTGCATGTTTTGTTATATGTTAACAATGCTAATTAAAACCAAACAGGACAGATAATAACAGGAGGCCCCATTTTCCTACATACTCACATAAAAGAGAGCATGAGAAAATTGGAGTAATTTGAGGACATTTTATGTTTACATAATTAGAAAATATGTACTTCACTAAAATTCACTTCTTTTTTAAAAATGTCTGAAACACAGAGATACACTGTTATGTTACATTTAGGACTCTAGTATTCATTAGAATTATACTGCTTTACATAATTAGAAGGCCACTGAAAATAAAAGTAGTTTACTTTTATTCAATTAACACTAATCAAGCACATACATTATGCAGATGTTGTGCCACATGCTAGGAACCACTAAGATGAATAATTATGGTTTCTGCCTTTGGGAGTTCACAGTCCAAGCGGGTAACAGACAGTTAAGTGACTAGTGGCAGCATAAAGTGCAAAGAGGTGCATACTGTACCCTGTGAACATAGGCCATAGATGGAGGAACCAGCAGGCAGCTCTGTGTGGCTGGAGGTCACAGAGCTCAGTGGCAGGTTGTTTCAGAACATGGGCTGTAATGGTGGGCTGCAGACTTCATTCCTTAGAGAAAAAACAAAGTGAAAGTATTTTCTTCAGTTAACATTTGCTAGAGTTATACAAAAGCGGGATAGTAGTTATAGTACTTTTTTGCTGCTTTTATTGTAACAAAATAAATCAAGTTTTTGTTTTTGTTTTTAACTCAAATCTGACCAGTGGTGTATTTACCAATAAAAATACCCAAAATCAAAAAATAATATCTCTATTACTTGGAACTTCTGGTTTCCAATAGAAATTTTTTTCCTCTGACTACATAACTTTCACTAGTGTTATATAAGAAATTTTTCACTAGTCTTATTTAAGAACAAGCAAAGCTTGAAGTGACAAAACTTGTGGATGTATTTTATTTTCCTGAAGGTCACGTCAATCATAGACTCGGTGCTCCATGTTTTAAACAATTGAAGCCAATTTCTGTCATTTTTTTTTTCATACTAAGACAGTGGCTAAGGGTTTGACTCTATCTTTAGGTAATTTTGATATCATAAAACCCATGCCCAAGCATTAAGTCACACTAGCCTATTGGGGTGCTCAGGATATATCCAAGTGTGTTAAGTCAAGGGTACCATCAGTAACAGCCTTGGCTTCCCAGGTAGTTGCTCTCTTACTCACATGTCCTTCTTCCAGATTAGGTGTCCTGAGCCTCCTGGTCTTTTTTCCCTTTCTCTTTGCCAACCCTACTAGTAGGACAATATCTGATATTTTTTAGTATAAATTTACACTACTGCATGCTTCTCTCTGGGTTACTTGCTGTTAAGGTCTTACCTTTTATTTTGTATACAATAAATTGTGATATTTTTGAGTAGAAAAAGGAGATAACATTGAATGAATTATGTTAATCCAACCCTGACTAAGTACTTACTACAATGTGGAAAGTGGGAGATGCTTAGTAACTACTTAAAGGCTCATCAAATATTAGCTGCTTAAGAAAGGAAAGCAAAGTATGTAATTTCCTATCTTTAAATAATGTTAGAGGAGGAAGAGTATATTAGAGACCATCTATTTTAGTCCCCTCACTTTACAGACTAGCGAATTGACAGCTAGCAAGTGAAGAACCAGGAGTCCAGGGTCCCACAGCTGTAAAGAGAACTCAGATCTCCTCAGCACAATCCATTTCCCACTATGCAACATGCTATTTCCCACGGAGCAGACAACACAGTTTCTGATTGCAAAAGACTGAAGGTGGATAGAGTTTGTAATACACAAATCTTAGCTGTGGCATTTTGACTCTTATATTATTATTTCTGACTATCTTTACCATGACATTAGTCAAGCCCTAGCACTGGAAACACTCTATAGGATTGCTCTTGGTCAATTATGACAACTTTTGCTTTGTTTTCAGGAGTACTAATCACTTAATCACTATGTTCTGTTTACATTTCATCATACATGCCTTTTTTGGTTTTGTTTTGTTTTTTATTTCCATACGTTTTGGGAGGAACAGGTGGTGTTTGGTTACATGAATGAGTTCTTTAGTGGTGATTTCTGAGATTTTGGTGCACCCATCACTTATGCAGTATACACTGTATTGAATTTGTAGTCTTTTATCCCTCACTCCCCTCCCACCCTTTTCCCTGAGTTTCCAAAGTTCATTGTATGACTCTTATGCCTTTGCATCCTCATAGCTTAGCTTCCACTTATGAGTATGAACATATGATGTTCGGTTTTCCACTCCTGAGTTACTTTACTTAGAATAATGATCTCCAGTTCCACCCAGGTTGTTGTGAATGCCATTATTTCATTCCTTTCTACATATATGCCTTTTTGTTGGTACAGTTGAGTTTATATGATGTTTCATTTTCACTGAGAGCTTTGAGTCCCAGTTTCATCAATTTTTGTCAAAAATATATCCCATTTACATTTGTAAGCAAAATGTTCCCTAGGCTTACCAGCCTCTAAAGACAAAATGAAAATACATTTCTTCTAATAACCATATTATTGATAACTTAGAACTGTCATCAAGTTCGACTACAGGGAATGCAGTCTCTCACCAAGTTCTGCCTAGGAATGTTTAAGTACTTTACAACTCAAGGCTGTCTTCTGGGGTTTTATCAGTCTTCTGTTTTCTACTCTGCCCAGTGAGTTGTTACTTGCTCCACTGCACATCACCTCTTGATATTCTGAGAATGCAATGTCTCTGGAGCAATTATCCTTCCCCCAACCCATGCATTCTCAATAGGGGTGACAGCAAACCCACAGGGGTGAAAATTGGTTCTTGGGGGGGGTGATAATATCTTACTCTTTTTATGTATAAAGCACAGAAGTGCATATGGGTATGTAAACAGAGATATACAGTCTATCTGTAATATTAACATTTCATAAAGGGAGGCGATTAGGGGAAAATTGCCTAACAAGGCTTCTTAGAGGGTTGGTAACAAAAAAAGTTGAGAAACACTGTTTTAACCTTTGATTCCAAGTGTGGAAACAGTGCTGGCCCCTTCCCCTAACTTTGTGTAGTCTGGCTTAGACTAACCAGCAGGTGTTTTACAAGATTTTACTAAATATTCTGGGGGTTTAGAAGATGAGCATCCTGGATTAGTGCTAAATGTGGTCTCACTCAGATCATGTCTGCCCTTAGGGTGCCTCACAACCTGTTTCCCTGCCTGCTTCCTTTTCTGTCTGGAGCTGCTGCTTTTCAGGGTGATTGACGCTGGGAATCCCCCCTTCCTTCAGGATACTGGATACTCACAATGGGTAACCTTGCCTCATGGCCTCCAAAAGGAAAATCCTATTGGAATACCCTAGTCCAATGCAGTACAATTTTCAAATCTGTGATATCTGGTCTTACATTCTGCTAAGATTGTAACATCAACAATTCCATCAAGATTGAGATTAGTAAAACCCAACCCAATACAGTTTTGATTTTCCTTCCGTCTGGTATGAGATCATATTGGCAAGACCTCCCAGTCATCTTGAAGATCATAGTGCCCAAGTCTCATACAAACATTTAGAAAATGGTCAAGAAATTATTTGCCAAGTTATAATGGTTAGGGGCTGGGTGCGATGGCTCATGCCTGTAATCCCAGAACTTTGGGAGGCTGAGGCGGGTGGATCATCTGAGGTCAGGAGTTCAAGACCAGCCTGGCCAACACAGTGAAATCCCTGTCTCTACTAAAAATACAAAAATTAGCCGGGCATGGCAGTGCGTGCCTGTAGTCCCAGTTACTCAGGAGGCTGAGGCAGGAGAATCACTTGAACCTGGGAGGTGGAAGGTTACAGTGAGCCAAGATCGCACCACTGTGCTCCAGCCTTGGTAACAGAACCAGACTCCATCTACCAAAAAAATATATATATGTGTGTGTGTGTGTGTGTGTGTGTGTGTGTGTGTATAGTGTGTGTGTGTGGGGGTAATCTCGAAAAGTGTATCATTATTCTGTCTTCTTTTGAATACCATCACATGTGTGTCCCAGCAAAGTTGTCAGTGTTTGGGTAGTTAATATATGGTTTTATGCTATCTCAGATCAAAGTGTGCACTGATGGTAAGTGAAAGACAAGTTGCCAGGAGGTTTGCCAACTGGCCTTGCTTTGCCTGGGGCTTTCTCAATCTTAGCACTGAAAGTCCTGAGTCCCAGGACAAACTCGAACTGTTGATCACTGTAGTTTCTCACTTAGCTCAGTAACTACCTGGAGACCATTCTGACAAAGGTGACATAACATCAGCAGGTATTAGTGTGATCTGTGGTACAGTGCTGGCCTTGTTCCCTTGGTGCCACATTCTCCCTTACCCTATTCCACTCTTTAAAAAGAAAAGCTATACAGCAATAATTTTTTCATATATAACAAGTTAAACATTGTATCTTATGATCAATATGTGAACACACATATCTTTCAGAAGATATTTAGATGGTCATTCTGTAACAGGCTTCTACAATAGAAGATGCTATTATATCTGACAGCAGGAAATGGTGAATCATCCTACTTGGGAATCACAGTTTGCTAGTTGTCAAAAAAAAAACATTTTAAATATTGCACGTTATTGCTTAGCCCTCTGCCCCTCCTTGTCAATGCCGCTGCTATGTCTCCTGAGAGACCCAATATGTTAGGGCATGTCCATTGAAAATTGAAGCTGCATAATCTATTACAATGCAAAATAGAAAGCAGCCTCACGCTGTGGGTAGCATTGAAACAGGCTTGTTACATTTATAAAGATTGCTCTGATAAGAGCATCCCCACTTGGCCAGCATATGGGCACTGATGAGGCTGTGTGTCTCTCATTTAAATTATAGTTGGAGCGTCCACCTTTGAGGTTTAACTAGCTTTTCAATGGTACATTTCGCACCTGTTCAGTATTACTAATCCCAAAGACTATTTTCTGTTTTATCCCATGGAATTACCCAGAGAGGCCAATTAAGAAAAAAAAAAGCAATTCAGGGATATAAAAATGTGCTTTATCCCAGAGGTTATGAGATAGAACGCAGGAGGGAAAATGAATTCATCTTTGAGTTTGCTACTTTAATTTAAAAAGTAATGTCTTACATATGTAAAAAATTGGTCCATACTTCAGGAAGCTTTTAATGAGCTTTAAAAATCTCTATTAATTTCTAACATATATAATTTAGGTATTTGTGTAGTTCCTACTGTATAGATTAATGGATATAGACAGCTCTTCCTTTTCTCTTCACAGAAAGAATAGAGTTTAATATCTCATAACTTCCGTCTTGGTTAGAGGAAAGTAGGAGATGCTCTCATTTCTATTTTATTAATGGAGAGACCATAACACAAAGATATTGTAACAGCTCATGTAACCTAATAATTTGTCAGCATGCCTGAAATATGAGTGAGTTGGCTCCTACATCCCTCAGAGCTATTTGGTGGGAAAATGGTCCCCTTTTTTCTCACTATATTTTTTTGTCCTGAAAAACCTAATTTGTTAAATTTATAAAAGATTTATTTTCTGGTGGGTTTTTAGGGTGAAACCAGAAGGAAGCCAAAAAATCAGGTATTAGAAGTTCTGTGAAACCTACGTAGAGAATAAATTTCTGTAAATAAGCTGGAATAAGTGGAGTATTTGTGCCCTTCGAAGTTTCAATGAAAGCAGTTTTTGCTTTTGCTATGTCAGGATAGTGATCTTTGATATTTACTATTGTTTTGAAATGATTAAGAGGCAGTCTTTTCATCTATGACCTGATACAATTATTGTGATAAATTTTGGTACTATGGAATTAAATCAGATCAATTATGGAAGACTTTATGTAATTTTTCTACTTATTTTAGAAAAATTTCAGTGCCCTAATTGCTTAATAGAACTGCTTATATTCAACTAAGATAAAACTATAGTAGATTCTATCATAATATTTAATTATGAACAAAGGACTTGGCTACACTAAAGAGAGTTCTGACCAAATATATAGTTTAAAACACATGATTCAGTTTTATTTGGTTCAGTCTCACAATTTCAGGTCCTAAAAGAATTGTGGCTCTATTATTTCAATAACCCAATCCTGATATAAAAATCTCTTTTTTCTTAAGGAACTCTTTTTTCTTAATCAGCTCTACATTCAGAATTTTAGACTAATAGAATGTTGGGAAACCTAAGCAAGTTTTATAAGATACCCAAACTTTTTGAAGTTTTGATATATGTCTTTTTCAAAAAAATAAAATCTCTTTTGCTGTTTTCTTTAGCTAAAGGAAGCATTTGAGGTATGAGTGGTGGGGAGAGGATGCAATGAATGTTCTTTAAAAATATGTTTTATAGAATAAAAACTTATTAAAATAAGTTTTATAGACTTGATAGAAACATCTTAGTATACTGGGAAGAGATTATTGGGAATTGCTGGCTCACCGTTTTAGTGGCATATTTAAACGCTGCCCATTCTCAAAAGAATCTGAGGTGGTTCACAAAAATATATGAATACAAAAGGATGATAAATAAATTAGGAAATTGAGGAGATAGGAGAATAAGAAACATCAATTAAAAACCCTTCATAAATTGCAGGACAGTGGAGTTCATCTCTATACTAAAGTTTCTCAGCCTTGGCTATACATTGGGATCACATAGGAAGCTTTTTAAAAATTTCAATGCCTGAACTCCACCTCAGAACAGCTATATCAGAATTCTGAGGGTGGGGCCTGGGCACTGCTACTTAAAAAAATAATCACGTAGCTTATACTAATATGCAACAAGAATTAAGAATTATTGTCTTATACAAAAACCGCCTGAAAACATAAACAAAGCAAACAAAAAAAAATCCCTTGTGTTCTCTCCTTTAAACATAAAGAAACTTACTAGACTTTCATTGCAACCTAGTCTGTCTCTTACGTCATTACTTTAATTAAAATTGGCTCAAATTCTTTTTAGGAATAAGTTATTTATCACTACCCTAACTTGTTTTCAAGATGCTTATCATCCTGTGAAAGCAGAAACAGAAAATACTAGTCCAAAATGCAGAAGAAGTAATTGTTGAGTAGTGGTATAAATATGGTGCTGTGAAAGAAAGAAGTGATTCATTAGAATTAAAGAGGAGGGTGTGAAGAATCACAAAGGACTTCATGGAGGAGAAAGCATTTGTTCCAGGCATTGAGAGCTAAGAAACAGCTCTTAGAAGGTGGAGGCAAACACACTTGTGGCCGAGGGAGGAGGGAGCAGAGGCCAAGAATGGCCCCTGTATGTGGGGATTTCATGGATAGAAGAGCCCCATTAGGCAGAAATGTGGCTAAATAATTACACTTACAAGTAATTCTCATACTACATTTCTTAAAATATATTTTTTCAAGGCTGAATGAAGCAGGAAAAAAATTCCCATTTGACTACCCTGGCGTTAAAGAAAATTGATGGTATCCTGTGTCTGTGGCAGAATAATTAATTGAAATATTACTTTGTTCTTGTTATCCCTAAGATTTTCCTGCCTCCATATTTTTTGAAGCAAGTTACCAGGCTTTGTGGTTCGTGTAGTCCTTGCAGCCAGAAATTTGAGTAGGATGAAAGACAGAAGAATCCCAAAGCACATTGTTGGAAAGGTTTTATCAGTTGAGATTTTGCTAGGAGGATGATAGGAGAGAAAGCCTTTGAGGGGGCAAAGGATGTGAGACAGGGCTCATTCCTCTGAGCCAAGGGGCATCTCAGGAGGTAGATCTTGGCGCCTTGGTTCAGAGCATTAGCTTAAGATTCTCTTACTTACATGGGTAGGGACACAGCGAGTCAGGGAACTTCGAAAGGACCAGAGTAGGCAACAGCCATCAGGAATCAGTAGCAGCCGGGATATCAGCAGCTCATCCCCTCCAGGTACCACAGAAATCTTTGAGATTCTGCCATAACCAAGGGGAAAGAGCCTGTCACAACTGATACAAAACTCCTACTGCTCTGAAGGATGATACAAGGTGAAGAGTTCATGCACACTCAAGTTTGTGGACCAAAATTTGTACCTGCTAAATACATGAGAGTCTTGGCCTTAAAAGCAATACCTTGGGCTGAAGGGGATCGGGGAGAGGTCAAACCACCTAAGTTTCTGCCTTTAGTTTTTGGCAGAGCTTCTAGAATATAACTAAATTTTTAGTACACACTCAGTTCAAGATATTTAGTACATTACTTTATCTTTATAGTGTCCCTATAAGGTAAGAACTCATTTTATTATCCTTATATAGATGAGACCAGACCAGTCAACTTGGTGAAGTCACTCAAAAAGTATACGGGGAAGCTGGCTTCAACCCTAGGCAGACATGCCGAAAGCTTATTTCCTTAACTTTATTCCTGTGTTCCCTCCCTATAATCTTTATTCTATGCCCTACTAGTGAAACATACACACTAATAAGCCACAGGATAGGAAGGCTGTCAGCAGAGGACTTATTCTATTACTTTTCCTCCTTGATAATGTGAAAAACTCTGATGAAAAAGGGCTGAACAAATTCAAATCCTCACTATACCAAACTTCCTTTTAGAGATAACTGGAAGAGAAGCATCTCCACTATTACCCAACTTGCTCTTCTGGTGTATCTCTGCACATTTTTTCCTTCTCTGACAACTGGAAATTTTTCTCTGCCAAAGACTACCTGCCATTTACATTCATTCATTGTGCTCTGATAAAAGGACATCATAGCTTTAAAGTGACAATTCCACCAAAATAACCTTCAAAGAAACCATCCCAAATCAAATGCATATAGATCTCTGTCTCCCTGCTCCTTATCTTAAAATGAATATTTGAGAAGAAAATCCTTTTGCTACATATTCCCTGGGAAGGAAAATGGATTGCACTTTCCATACTTGAGGCAGGATTTTTGATAAACTTTGAGATATTTTGGTACTTTATGCACCTGTCACTTTCTTCTGCCATGGTAGTTTTGTTTTCTGACAACTCGTATATTGATATTAAGAGGCCAGTGGGAAGGTGACCTAAATAGGGAAAGAATTTCCTAAATGGTACTTGTGTTGAGGAGCGGCTTCTCCATAAACCCAGTTCATGGTGGAGGCCTTAGGAATAAAAGGGCCCTAAAACTTTCCTGGTGCTCAATTCTGTATTCCTCTGTCTCCATACAATGCAGTTGAGAAAATCTGTATGAGCTGGAGATTGGATAGAATAACCTGTCCATTTTGCTGTATTCAGGAACAGAGAGAAAGGGAGACAGAATGGATGCCTCAACGTAGAATTACAGAAACGTTAGTAGCTTAGTAATTAATGGTGAGATTTTGGGAGTTTTATTACCAGTTTATATTATTTTTTAGGATTCACATTTTTCTAAAGTGGGTATCTATCATTCATATTAATAATTTACAAGCAAAAAATGAATAAGATACATAGAAATAGCCTTATAGGACATCTGCAAAGAAAGGGAAAACTATATAACTCTAGCTTGAAAGTATCCCTCATTACCAACTAAAATGGTACAAAATGTTCTGTCAACCACAGGCAATGCCTCTGAGAACCTTGGAATGGAGAAAGGGAACAATGTCATCTGCACTCAGTCATGGAGGAAACAGCTGGACAAGTCAGCACAGGGCGGAGGTGACCGGTGGAGGCGACTAGGACTTCTTCAGGTACCTGGAGATCACTGAACGCTGGCCTTCCAGACCCCTTTACACCAAGTGCGCTATCCTGAGGGAAATGGCCTGCCTGAAAGGGACTAAATGAGTTTGGCCTTCATGCTCAGAGAGGCACAGCAGAAAGTGTAGGAGGAGATCAGGGTCTTTTGCTGTTTGCTGTCTCTCTACTACCAATCTCTGAAATGCCTTTCTTTAAAAAAAAGAAAATGAAATATCTTTATTGGCTTGGATTTTTCTAATGACAGAAAAGAGAAGTGAGGAGACAAGATTGGGAATTGAGGTCAGAGAAGCATCCGTGGGTAGACGTTGCATTGTGAGGCGACGTCGGGGATCTACTGATTAGCCGGTCTGGCTGCCGCTCTCCATCCACACAGGGCATTTGGCCACCCATTCCTGCTGATTAAGGGGCAGTGTCCTGGCAGCTTCTGATAGATAACTTGGTTGTTTTGTTATAAGGAGCTTTATTTCCTCAGGATGAATTATGAAGATTTTTCTTTTTGTTGTTTCAAAATAGGGCTGTCTTATCTGAGAATGTGTTAATTAAAGTTATCATGTATTACCTTGTTTCTAGTCCTACACATTTGATATGAACAAATTACTGTTTACAAGACAGCTTCCTGTACTTAGAATAGCAGCTGTTGTTACTCCACCAAGAAGAGCTGCCCAGAGGGGCTAGGGCATGAGGAATAGGTTTGGAGACAGGAAGAATAAAGGAATGTTCAGATCTAGCTCGAGGGCAGGCGGGACACTTGTGGTGGGATGGTTGGGTCCACTTCGCTTTCTGTTTTGCCTCCTAACCAATCTGATGTTATCTACTCACGGACCTCCATTTTCCTGGTGCACTCTTTTGGCTGGCCCTCCTGCTAAATCTCTTTGCTGGCTGAACCTTAGCCTTCCCTAGCCACAAGCCAATGAGAAAATCACTACCTCTATCTCACTAGGTTGGAGCGTAGCACTTTGGGAATGGAAGCAACAAGTCCTAACCTCACAGTCAGTCAGGCATTCAACTCAAATACATGATCATTTATTCAGGAGGCATCTGCTGTGTGCAATGGCTTTGGGACAGCACAGAGAGAGATGCAAAGATGGAAACACTGTCTCTACCCCAGTGTAGTTTAGGACCTGTCTTGGGAAGAAAGCAATTGTTTCCAATAACAGTAGTAAGAACAGCAAGAGAGATGCAGTGATGTAGAATGGGAAGGAGATTCAGAGCATTCTTGAGTGAGCTGCTAATTGGAGGGCTGAGGGGATTGTGACTTCATCCTTTGCATCCAGGTGCTGCTGGCGTGTCTGGTGCACAGTGGGTGCTCTGCAGTGTTTGCCAAGCCATTATTGAGAAGGGGTATCCAATGGTGTGCATACCCCTTCGAAAGGGCTTACTAGTCATGTGAGGTGCTACTAGAGAGACAAGTTAAGGTTTTGAATGAGAGATGAGAGTTGGAAGAATATTCTAGTGGAAAAAAAGAATATGAGAAACAGTTCAGAAACATGGAATCCCTGCTCAACTTCCTCTGCTCACTGCCCCCGGCCACTTCATCCAGGGATGTTGAGGACAGATTTCTCTACAGGTAATTGGAAGCAAGACTTACTTGGAGAAAATAGTTTCATTGGTCTCTTGTCTCTGACAGTACTCACAAAGCCTCCTTGCTTGTTTGCTTCCTTCCCTTAATCCCATTCTTTCATTCCGAACCTTTCTACGTCTCCCTTAAGTCCTATTTTCTTTTTCCCTTGTTCTGAGCTCCCATCACCATCTTTATCCCCTGTCAACCAAGGAGACAGGGCACAGGTGCAGTTACCAGGTCACCAAGCTAAACAAAGGGCTTTAGAGTTGGTCTTTTTTGTGACTGTCCTGCCTCCCTCTAGGTATTTATCTCTTTTCTGTGGGTAGCATAACAGAAGCTCAGAGAGTTGATGTGCCTGCAGCATGACATAAGTGGAAGTCACAAACATTCATTTTCCACTTCTTTATTTTGCCTTCTGAGTCATGGTGCCTCTGCATAATTTAAACCTTTTCTCTCCCCACTGCCTTAACCCCTGAAAATCTGCAACAAGTTCACATGCATCCTTAATTCTCCACTCTAGAATTTCAAATGGAAGTTTTAAACAATGTTTTGGCTTCTTGTGAAATCTGAGAATCCAGTGTATGTCCTTGGTCTTACAATAAAAGGCTGGTAAAAGTCCTTTTTTTTTTTTTAACTTCCTCTTTCTCTACTCTATTGTCCAGTTTTGGCTTTCCTATTTTCCCTCATCTTTGTAAAATTGCCTTCCAGATGTCTCTTCAAATGACTTGACAGCAGCCCTGTTATCTTCTAAGAGCCTAAAAGCACTTTGGCTGCTTTAGAAAAATGTGTTTGTTTTTTCTTCTTATTAGGCAGCATCTGAAGTCTCTCTGAAAACACAAGAAAAGAATATACAGAGAACCTCCCAGAAACTGCAAGTCCCATGGAAATTAAGGCCATTAGTGTTTTGTATAATAAACAGTCACCTTTGCATTTAAAATGGACTATTTTGTTTTGGATATAGGTGGAGTAGGATATAAATGTATACTTCCTTGCTTCTTAGTTTATCATAGGAATCTAAGAAAAGAACTAAGGATAAGAGAAAAGGAGGAAAAAAAGACAGCTCTGCTGCTTTTATCTCAGGTTATTTCAGAAAAAACAAAATGATAACCCTGCAAAATTCTCAGCACTCTTCACTTTGGTTCCACCGCTTTCAGTGGGTGACTTGTCTGGAAAGGAATCTCTTTTAGCCTTCCTGGCTAATGAGCCATGGCAGATAATGCCACAAGGTGTCACTATTGCTAAAATCGCTCTCCACCTACAGGATCGATTGCGGTTATGGTTATGTGAATGTGAATTAGATTTCACTTTTGTTTCTAAATAGGCTCCCTGGGAGAGGTACTTTTTGACTGGCAGTGTTCGCTGCCTCCTTCACTCCAAACAAACAAACTATGGCTTTGGCTAAATTATCTAGTGAAGCTCAGATTTCTAATATAGAATTGAGTAGGAGATAATTTCTGTCTTTCCGGGTAGAAAACCTTGGTATAGCTGAGTTTCAGATGCAGCACTTAGTAGGTACGCAACAAAAGTTAGCTCCCCTAACTTAAAAGCGAGGAATGGAGTTGGAAAGTGTGCATGGGGAAGAGGGTGGTAACTTTTTGAGGCCCCTTTCTTTCTTTTTCTTTTTTTTTAAATTGGATTTCAAAGCTGCAAAAATATCAAACACAGAGGTCTGGTTGTTGTTAACAGCTATGCCATAAAAAAATGTTTAGGAAAAGCTAAATACTATAGCTTCCTCTTACATAATCACCGTATTAAAGTCTCTAAGAGGTCCTGCTATAAAGAAATCTACTTAATTTTCTTTACAGTTTCTCAAGTTTCTTTGAGCAAAGAACATATGTGTATATATATGTGTGTATATACACATACACACACATTTGTGTGCATATACATGTGTAATATATTTATATATGTGTGTGTGTGTATAATTATTATTAACATCTAAATTGAAAAACTTTAGTCTTGTTTAATTTTTGATGTACGTATGAGAAAATAGAAACCTAGACAGTAAGGTTTGGTTCACAAAACACATGTCTTATTTTAGAACCACTACTGTGTTAGAACTGGCTTGTACCAGCTCACAAGAGCCAGCTATGCTCTTCTCTTCCCAATTCTGTGTTTGATGATGTCAGGTTGATAGCTTGAAATCAGCCACTGTGGGAATATTTACACCACAGAAATCAGCAAACACTACAAACCATTTTTTCTTTTTTTCAAGAGAGTAGGTTTACCAGTATGCTACTGTTAGAATCTAGCTGTTCAGATTCCCAATACTACATTCCTGTGATTTTTCAGTTTCTAAGGCACTTTGAAAATAGTTTGGCAAAGAAATGACAAAAACTCCTACTACTGTTCTACTATATGTAAACATGTGTGTGGGGGGTATAATATATATGATGCCTATATATCATCTATAATATATGTCATTGCAGGGAGAAGCAGAATATTTCCCTCATATACTAGGAGATATTTCCATTTTCCAGCTGGGTTCTAACTGGCCAGACCACAGTCAGTCAAATTTTAAGATGGAGAAGGAATGTTTGCTAACTCTTCAGTATCTCTTTTAGCTCAACTCTGATTTCTGGGTAGCTTCAGGGGCCAGATCAAATCAGTGGCTCTATCCATCCCACAGCTGGCTTAAGATGGCTTATTTTATAGACCCATGGAAGGCAGGGGTTCAGTGACTTCCAGGTGTTTCCCATCTGTTCTAAAAATAACTTTTTCTTTCTTGAACCCATCTGTCTATCTACTCTATCTATCTATCTATCTATCTATCTATCTATCTATCTATCTATCTATGTATCTATCATCTATCTATCTATCTATCTATCTATCTATCTATCTATCTATCTAGTTTATCATAGGAATCCAAGAAGAGGTATCCAATGGTATGGCTTTAACCAGATAGACCAATCACTAGACTATATATATATATATATACACACACACACACACATATATATATATTCAATATATTAACTCCTCATCACTGATATATATTAATCAATATATATCCCTCACTGGAATACCTGCTCCATGCCAAACACTACATTAGCTATTTCTCATCCCCAGTTTAAGTCTTATAGAGAAAACTGAAGTACAATGAAGTTGAATAACATTTCCCCAGTCACACCACTCACAACCGTCTGCCAGACTTTAAATGCTATGACCCTTCCCTTGAGCCATTTAGCCTTCCTTCTGTATAGAGAAAGAGGGGCAGAAATGATCTGCCTGGCAAGGATATTCTTGGACAAGAAAATATACCAGAACCAAGGAAGAAACCACTCTTTTGGAGAGGCTTCTATCAACTCTCTAAACTCACATTTCCCTAAAATAGGAGGTTGGAAATGGAGAAGTTCCATGCCTTGTGGGGGAATATTACAAAAATATGTTGGGAGACATAGAGAGATTGCTGCAGTTGATTGTTGGGTTCCGGACAGAGAAAATCTAGAGAAAACTAGAAGGTTAAAGTAGTTTTTGCAAACAAGTTTGGGTGTTAAGCCAGAATGACAAGCTTCTTCATGCTTCTTGGGAAATGGCTTCAAATCATTCATCAGTGTTTCAGTCATGACAACATTAACAAAGGCTCTGTAATTTGCAGTGCGATTGCAAACAGAAAACATAAAAAGCACATAACCTGTGGGCTGTGGCATTGGCCCTATCCCGTGGGGCTACTGGGTTGTTTGTGGGTGCTGTGGAGGCTCAGTGCCCAGGTATAAGAGAGTTGGAGACACTGGTCTGTCCTTTGCTTATGCCTCCAGCTCCACTCTTAGTGGCAGTGGTTATGAGAACCCAGAATTGCAATAAGACCAGCTAGGAATCCCTGGCAGTGATGAAGAGGACCTGACCACTCCAGCTGCATAGTTTTTATTATTATTATTATTGGTTTGCAGGATAAAGCTCTGGAGCTATGAAATCACTTTTGCATTCAGGCTTGGATATTCAATTTGTGTTCGCTATGGTCTACTGGTGAACTTCACACAGGTTTTTCATCTTGAAGAGTTTATATATTTTATTGATAAATTTGAATTCAATGCTACAAAATTTGAACTTGAAATCATATCCTATGCCACTATTTATGACTCAGATCAGAAAGGTGCCACTTCTCTACGACAGAGTTCAGTCACTCATGGTCAAGCTTCCAGAATCAAGCCTTCATCATTTGAGCATGGATGAATTGAATATCTTTTTAAGCACATTGTATGTTGGTTTTATAAACTGGTTGCCTGTGTCAAAAGATCCCTGTACTGAATAGTATGCTGTAGTGGAAAGGTCAGTAATGTAATCTGTCATGATCACAACTCCTTTCCAAAGGGGTTCAAGAGTTATTTACAGGTGATTGCTTATATAGTTGGCCATGTTTTGTACCACATGACATTGAATTATTCTTCCACACTAGGCCCATGACCTGTGATCAGGTCAGAATTTGAACATGAACACCTAATTTCAAACTGGTCTAGAGTTGTGTGCCATGAACAGTGGTGGCAGTGTGGACTTTGGCAGCTGTAGAATAATATCTGATGAAAGAAGTGGCCAAGAAGAAAAAAATATCAAAATGTGGCCATAGGGTTCTTCCACCATGACAGTTGCTGCAGCTTGTGGCTCAGCACTGGATTGGTCTCATGGTGGACAGGCCTCCTAGTGAGCCAGTAGATGGAAGGTTTAACTCATGCACTCAAATAGTAAGAATCTACAAATATCCCTGAATTGGGAATGAAAGCGTTTTAAGAATGAAACAGCATGAAAATATAGAATCTGATAGAATCTGAAGTTTAAATAAAAAGTAAGTAAAATATTAAATAGAACAGTAAGATCTAATATCCATTGGTGTTATTAAATGCAATTGATGATCAAACTTTCACTGCCTACTATTTTATTTTAGACCTTGAAAAGCATGACAGATTCGAAAGTTAATTATGAAAAGGGAGGGAAACATCATCACAGTCTTTGTGTGCTTATCTTTATCCACCACAGCAGTTGATTAGCACTGCTTTATCTGAGGATGTTACAATGCAGACACATCAACAAAGCTCATTTATTAATTCTGTTAATGAAATTAGATTGTCAGAGCTTGTTTCTAAATTTTTGGATCAAAGCTGAATATTAATAAGTAAACAGATAATTGAAAATAGAGGAGTGCCTGCTCTACAGAACCCCCCATTCTCACCCCTCCACCATCTTTGAACCTGTAACATTTACTATATTTGCTTAGGTCACCTATACTTGGAGGACCTTCTATTTATTTGTTGTATGGGAAGCAGATGCTTTCTAGTGGGACAGTCAATCGCAATGTCACTCCTACGTGCTTCTTCATTTTTCTTTTTGCTCTTCCCCTTCATTATAGCTTGTCTCCAACAACACTGGTCTCCTCACCATTCGCTAAATACAATTTGTTCTTCTGCTTCTATGTTTCCATTCATGTCATTATTTCCAAAAAGAATGCCCCTTCCTTCCAATTCTCATCCTCAAGTCCTACCCATCCTTCAAAATGCAGCTAAAAATGACTTAATTTGGCCCCCAGAGCAGGATATGATCTTGTCCATCTGGGGTCATCCAAAAAAGTTATTTTCAAAGTTTGGTGTATATAAGAATCACTTATAGAGCATGTCACAAATGTAGATTCCTAGGCTTTACTCCTAACCTTTCTGATTTAAACAGATCTTGGGTGTGGCTCCATAAACTTCATTGTTTTTAAAAGTATCACCAACTAATTCGGATGCACTGTTTGTGGACCATTTCTTAAAAGGATTGTATAAGCCAGACACCTGACACCTTGTGTTTATTGTTTTACATTTTCTATTTGATTTGGATCTTAAGAGATAAAATGACATCATTAAATATTTTCAGAACAAATAAATGAAATTTCGCCGGCCAGGAGTTCAACCATCATTTGCTCTGTGAACAGCAGCAGGCAGCTGAAGTAGTAATCTTCTCAAAATCAAAGATTCTCAAATCCCACTGTAAAGGTATCTACCAGGTGAAAAGGACAACATTAAGTAACATCATGCACATCGGTGGTTCTTATCAATGTCCAC
The DNA here is from genome assembly GCF_000001405.40 of Homo sapiens. Classification (NCBI taxonomy): domain Eukaryota; kingdom Metazoa; phylum Chordata; class Mammalia; order Primates; family Hominidae; genus Homo; species Homo sapiens. Next base: position 94,083,142 of record NC_000007.14, on the reverse strand, counting down.
TGAGTGGTCTTGACCCTTGATAAAATTTTCACCACTCTATCTAGAAAAGCAATAGGGCAATAGGATACATTTTTAACAAAGCGCTTACTTTTCTTTTTAAATTTAAATATGGTGTTTTATTTGGGAACTATGTTTTTCCTTTTTGTTGCTATTAAATGCTTTTTTTAATTTTCTGCATGAAATAGTAATACTAAATGACTATATTTTTAAACATCTTTACTTAAAAAATTTGCCTCTATAATAGACCCCGTTTTTAAAAAATGACCAGCTACTACTGGTCAGTAAAATGATAAAGTCCAAATACCTCTTAACTATGCATTAATTCCAGCATCTCCATTCCAAAGTGCATCTCCTTTTCCTAAGACTCTGATATGTGATGTATGGTGCAGCTGCTGGGTCTCTGTATGATTTTTCAGCAAACCCTCTGCAGACAGTGCTATGAGGAATAGCTCCACTTCCTTGAGGAAACACTCTACCCTCAACATTGACTTTCTTGAGGACATTCCAGACCTTTGCTAAATAGCTTATTGTGATGCCTTTCAGTTTTGTTGCCTTAAGAGTGTCACTTTTTCTTATGAGATGGTGGCAGTGAATGATAGAATTTAACACCCTTGAAATAAATTGATACACCCCTGTGATGCTGCACAAAGGACAGAAAACCACAAAGTACTGGAATTCAAGGACTTTATTTTGATTTATCTCATTTGTATTACTACATTGAGTTTATTATATTTCTACCAAGGAATAGAAGTTTATTATTAACCCTCAAGCAGTATTTCCTTGACATAGAATGATAGTGCAGCAAAGGCACTCTGAGATGTTTTTCCTCTGATGTGGAGGGAGCCATCCACTGAGTTATCTGCACTTCCTGGCTGGGAGTTGCTAACAGCTCTGTCTCTAGAACAGATCAGACCTAATGATCATAGGACATTCTCTATCCAACTGCAGAAGCCAAGCATCATTTTTGAGATAGTTTTTAAAATTCTCATTATGAAAATATAAAGCCTTGGTCCCTGTCTTTAGAATTAGAAGAAAATTTGTCACTCTTTGGGGCTGTAATTGTTTCCATAAATTGCCCATAGTTGAGACTTGATGCCAGCTAATTTACCAATACCTTCATAGGTGGCTGAGGAGTCTAAATATATGGTCTGAATTATTTGACAAACAACCATTGTCTCAGTTCCTCCAACCATGGAAAAAATTATGGTTTTTCATTAAGCATACATCTAGCTAAACTTAGTAAACTATTACTTTGCAGAGAAGCTTCGATCCTATTTTACTTAATTTGCTTTGTATTAAAATTGTTCAATTAAACCCAGGAAGAAAAATAAGGTGTTCCTCTAGTGTTTATATAAAAACCATTATTCCAAATGAGTTTCTGTATGAATATACGTAGTATTTTGTCAAAAATTAATAGTTTTGACTTGAAAAAAATCATAGTACTATATATTAATTATCCAAAGCAGTGGTTTTATTTATGACCTCTTTGACACAGCTTTCACCTTAGTAGTCTCAACCCCAGAAGCCATGAAGAAAATAGAAAAGGAGCTGAATGTAGGTTTTCAACCGGAACAGTGGTTAATTACTTCTGTTCTACACTATTTGTGCTGTATGGTCAGTAACATGCTAATGAGTTTCAATTAAGTTACCTTTGCAAAACTGAATTGCCTTTGCAAAATTCTGCCAAGAAACAGAAATTGGGTCATATAAGGTGGGATATTAAATAAATAGTCTCTTGCTATCAGTGAAAATATATGCTTAACCCCTCTACTCTCCCATTATCTGTGATTCAGGTCACTGCTGTGTGTTATGGGGTTATGATCATGACTGCAAGTGGCTTAGAAGGAAGTAAAAGACTTAACAGACTAAGCAGTTGTAGCTCTAACATGTTCCATGCAACCTGAAAGGTGTTCATTGAACTGTTCTATCCTAAACCTTGACAGCACAACATGCTGAGGTGGGAAGGTGACTGGTCTGAAAAAAGGGGCTGGAATTAGAGCAACATTTGTCGACATGTTCTCCCAGAACACTAATCTCTTAAAATGAGAGGGTAAAAACATATTCTAGGAAACACTGCATATTCTACCTTCCCTTACCACCTTGCAGATTTATATAAACTGAAATGTCTGAAACTCCTGCAATTAAAGAAAGACCAGCAAATTATTTAAGCCTGTTAACCAATATCTCCTGATAGTTTCCCAAACTAAATCCTTATTTTGAGAACCATTCATGGAATTGGTGTTCTCGCATCTGCGAACAGAAATTTTAGGAGGGTTCCTTCCATTCCCAGAACTGGTAAGAGTGACTCATGGTGCTGAAACTATTTATATAGACAATGTGGTGTGTCCTCAACACCTGCTTTCCTTCTGGGAGTCTGGGATTTAGGTATGTGCTTGGCAGAGGGTCTCTATGTGATTAGCCCCAGTATAAACACTGGACAATGGGTCTCTGAGTTTCTCTGGTTGGCAACGTTTTACACGTCACAACTCATTGCTGGAGAGATTAAGTGCATTCTGTGTGACTCCACTGGGAAAGGATGCTTGGAAGTTGACGCTCAATTTCCCTGAGTGTCACCCATGTGCCACTTCCCTTTGCTGATTGTGCACGGTATCCTTTCACTCCAACAATCACAACTGTAAGCACAAATATCTGCTGAGTCCTAGGAGTCCTCTTAGCAAATTATCAAACTTGAGGGTAGTCTCAGTAACCCCAAACAGGTGTAGCAAGCAAAACAGACATGACTCTACCCTTGCAGAACTTACCAGCTGAGGATGCAGATATTATTATCAACAAACAATGCTTACAAAATAATCACTTATAAATGGAAAATTTAGATAAGTTTTTTTTTTTAAGGAGAAGTGCCAGTTTCTGTGAGACTAGTAACGGCAAAACGGAATCTGAATTGGGGATGTTAGAAAGGCTTTCACCGACGTGAGGATTAAGCTCAGTCCTGAAAGATGGGTAGTAGTTAGTTACTCAGGACAAAAAAAAGGGAGAGGAGCAATTTGGAAAGAGGGAGTAAAAATTGCAAAGGCACTAAGCCTTGTGGAAGATGACACATCTAATAAACAACAGATCAGAATTTTAAATAGGTTTCCAGGACCTCTGTTGAGTGGTCTTCCATAGCACTTATAGTACAATACTGCTTCACACCAATAGCATATAAAGATTTTCAGTCCGTTTTTTCTCTGATCTTTTCATTCCATTGCTCTGATCTTGTCACTCTGATCTTGTCATTCCATTGCTGTGTATATCAGGAAAAAAAGTCCAATCATGCTAAGGACCTTTATGGATTGAGCCCAGAGTCAAAAGATCTGGCTTCTTTTATATATGCCTTATTAGGGAACTTCTGTCTGCTCTTAATATTCTACATCTTGATCCAGGTGGTATATACCTGAAAGTACAGTTTGTGAAAGCCTATTGAGCTGTACACTTAAAATCTGCACACTTCGTCACAGATGTAATTTAGCTCAAAAAAATGTGCTGAAAAAAAATGTGAATTCCTACCCTGTTACTATCTTGCCCTGTTATCAACATGCTTTTGTTTTGTTTTGTTTTTTTACTTTGGACAAATCATACAGTCTCGTTGAGCCTCAGGTTTATTATCTATAAAATGAATGAGAACATCTGCCTGCAGTTTTTTCAAACTTTATTGGAAATAAGATGTCTTAATTAACAATATTATCTGATTGAGAGATGTGATCTTAGCCTGTGATGCCATTTTAAAAATTCATACTCATTTCAGTTGCCTCTCAATTATTCACTGTCTAATTATCTAATGTGTCAGTTTTCTAGACTTCAGCTCTTCTCTTCCAAACTGTTTACCCACAAGAGGTATTTCAGCAGAAAATGTGGAAATAAAAAGAACAATTTTTATTTTTTTACTTGGCACAATTTTGATAGAACAGGAAGAGGAATAAAGTCTTGAGTTTATGTTTTAGTATAGTTTTTAGATTGTCAATGTATTTCCATTTTGTATGCTAACTTGAATCTCTAACAATTTATTTTGATAATTAAAAATAATTGCTATCATTTATTGACTATACATTGTCATAGATCAGGCATTACATAAAATAACATATATATTATATATAGATAGATGTAGGATTACAAGAGACTTTTGTATAAAACTTTACTGAATTAAGAAAAGAAACATGACCTTTCTCATGGAAAAAAAGAGTATAGTTGAAAAAGTAGAGAAAGAGAGGGGATGGGGATTGACATAGAGATTGAAATCTTAGGAAGCCTTTGGAAGGACGTGAAATAGTGCATGACATGTTAGAGTAAGTAAACCAAGGCATCACAGTGCTTGAGACACTGAGGTCTGTCTCTAGGGCTGGTTTAGGTAAGAAAACAAAGACAGGACCTTTCTGTCCTGTTCAAGAGAAGGAGGGCATTGGTTGTTGGGCCCTGCATACAAGATTAACAAAGAGGAGACACAGCTTTCTGCTTCTGCATGATGCCCCATCAGCATCAGCCAGGCCTTACTCTCATCCATTTTACCTAAAAGAGGCTGACATAAAAGACTGTAACACATGTGGTAGCTTCTCTGAGAGATATTCTTTAACATATGAAGCCTTAATAATGAGGTCAGCTTGCTGAAAGGGGTGACAAGGTTGAGGGCAGGCAGAGTGGAGTGGAATTGTGGCTGAGAGGCAGACCTCAAGTGAAAGAAATAAAAGAAATCTCTGGATAAGTGAATGCTCTTAATATCTAAGCTGGTCACAAAGTAACTAAGAACAAAGTTAAGAACTTTATGTGTCTAACTTTGTGTCTCTTTTCCTCTCCATTCTGCTATCACTTCCCTGGAGCCTTTCGTCTCATCTGTAAGTGAAAGGCATAGAAATGGGTAGTCTCCAAGGTCATTCTCAGCTCTGACAGCCTTGGATTAACCCTTCCACGTGAGTGCAGCCCTTTGTACTGTATGTAATACCACATTTCCTATGGGGAGGAAACTAGACTGCAGCACAGAATTATGAATTTGAACTTCGAAATTTAAACTGTTTTGATTTTCACTGTTCTCCTAAGGCAGCGGTTCCTGTTCCTTTAGTATTTGGAAACTAAACATAGTTCTTAAAGCGAATTGGTGAAAATGACTATTATCCATCATTCAACACTGAGGTCTGTCTCCAGGGCTGGTTAGAGGGCACGTGGCTATTTGAGGTGGAGGGAATGGAGCAGGAGAAAAGTTTATTATGCCAAGTACTGTGCCCGCTAGAAATCTCAGGAAACCCAGTCTCTGGAGCTCCATGGAATTTGGAACCACTTGGAGCTTGAAATAATTCACTTCTGCCTAAAGAAAAAAAATTTCCAATTTTTTTCCTCTTGAAATATCACCAGTTGTTCCAGACATTTTAAAAAATAGCAGTATTTGGACATTTTAAAAAGAGTCAGCAAGATTCAGCTTACATTTGCCTTGAGGCTTTGTGACTTTATATTTCAAGTCAATTTGAAAAACAGTTTGAGATACCTGTTAAACTTTGAACACAGCGGGATTTATCTATCTCACTTTTTGAAGCTACAAATAATCCTATATATTTTGGTAATGAGGTAGAAAAGAAGCAAACATATCCATATTTCTAAATGCTCTGACAACAGAACTTGCTCTACTTTGGACCCATAAAATGAACCCAGCAACAGTTCCCAAATCCATCTTTTGGATGAACCTAAGATAATTCTTAGTTCAGAATGGCCTAGAGAGAAAACTTAAATATCTGAATCAGGTGGAATCCACTTAGAGGCTGGTTATTTTAAATGACATTTGCACCAAGAACTCTGTGAATTACAGGTACTGACAGAGCTGTTTCATTTATTTCATCAGCTCATGCTGCCAGGGAGGCCCCACATATATCTGAAAAGATGTACCATAATAAGTTGTGCCATAATGGAAGCGGATTTTTGTGTGTGTGTGTGCTTTTAAATGACTTCATGTGAAAGTAAATTAAGGCCTCTTTGGATGGTCACTAATATGTCCTATCGTCTTAGGTTAAGTTCCTTGGAAACAGATTCTGGGACAGTTATTTGTGAACAGAAAGTTTACTGGAAGGAAGCAAAATTAAGCAGAGGAAGAAACTAAACTGTGATATAGTCACAACTATGGTCTCAGCTATGAAGCTGTGATTGCCTTTCAGATTTGTCCTGAATTAAGGTAAGGGCCCCAGGCCTTTGTACTTCCTTTCCCCTCAGGTGAGCAGTCATTGGAGGAGGACTGTTCTTGGGGAGAGGGGAACATATATTTGAATGAGACAGAACTCTTGGGCAAGGGAAATTTCTGGAAAGCAATTCAGCTATGAGCTGAAAGTAGGCTACAGTCCTGACATAGGCAAATAGGTGTCCCATTCTTAAAGGGAGAATATGGCCTTCAAACCACAGCATCCACTATAGTCCACCCCTTGGGCTGCTCAAATCCACTTACTCATATAAAAAACATTTACCCCATCAAAGACAGCTCCTTCAGGATTCTAGTTAGTCCCTTTCCCTGGGAAAATTTAAAATAAGAGTATCACTAAGATAAGCTCTAGCCCTGTTTCTGTACTTAGCCTAAGGAGCTCAGGTGACATTCGTCACTTCTCGCCTCCACCAACTCACCCTTAGTTACCACCTTTTCTGGTTTAGATGGCTTAAATATTGAGGCAACTCAGACACTTATCCATAAAGCGTCTGATCCCCTGGCCACTGTGCCTTTTCAGATGATGGCTGTTGCACTTATCAATTTACTGCCAATTTGGACAGGGTAGTACCAAGAGATGTCCCAATGGATTGCCAGGTGGTCAAATGTATTCTTCCCTGCCTCCATGTAAGGCTTCCTGTCCCAGTGGAAGACCTGCCTCTGCCTGATCACCGGGGTCAATTACTTCTGCCAGGATAGTAATTCCTTCTGTAGCTTGCCAATCTTTTGGTATAAGAAGTCTGAAATAGGGCCTGACACGGTGGCTCACGCCTGTAATCCCAGCACTTTGGGAGGCTGAGGCAGGTGGATTACGAGGTCAAGAGACCAAGACCATCCTAGCCAACACGGTGAAACCCTGTGTCTACCAAAAATACAAAAATTAGCCAGGTGTGGTTGCACGTGCCTGTAGTCCCAAATAATCAGGAGGCTGAGGCAGGAGAATTGCTTGAACCCGAGAGGCAGAGGTTGCAGTGAGCCAAGATCTTGCCACTGCACTCCAGCCTGGTGACAGAGCGAGACTCTACCTTAAAAGAAAAAAAATAAAAGTCTGAAATGACCAGATGGCAGCCACAACTCAAAGTTAATAGGAATCAGAAATTCCACTGTCCCTGGTGGACACATTACTCCTATAGCAATCAGGACCTTTAAACCAAAAATGCCTAGAATTGCAGATATGGGAAGCATAACTTCTTCAAGTGGGTACATAGAAGCAGAGCCACTCTCTTCTACCACTTGTCTCTGCACCCACATAGTTTACCTCTTGGAAACATAGCACCATATAAACTTCATTGATTTAAGGTGTACCTCAGAGTATCAGTTTCAAGCTGGTGCCTTGTCTATGCTGTTAAAAAGGCCATCTGTTACTCTATCCAACTGGCAGTTTCTGTGTGCACGTGACTTGCATAACCACATGCCCACTGCTATGACTGCTACACCCTCTGTGATTGTTAATTTTATATGTCAACTTAAATGGGCCACAGGGTGCCTAGATGTTTGGTCAAACTTTATTCTGGGTGTTTCTGTGAAGGTGTTTTCGATGAGGTTAACATTTAAATTGGTAGACTGAGTAAAACATATTGCCCTCCCTGATGTAGATGGGCCTTATCCAATCAGTTGAAAGCATGAAGAGAACAAAAGGATGTCCCTCCCCTGAGTAAGAGATAATTCCCCTGCCTGATAGTCTTCAAACTGGAACATCGGCTCTTCCTGGTTCTACAGAAGCTTTTGGCCTTTGGACTCAAGCTAGACACTGGCTCTGCAGATTTTGGACTTGCCAGTCATCATAATTGCATGAACCAATTCCTTATAATAAATCACACACACACACACACACACGTGCACACACACATCCTATTGATTCTGTTTCTTTGGAGAACCCTAACAAGTACACCTCCTTGCTACAAAGTGGGCTTCTTGGTTCAAAGCCATGTTATTCAGAATCTTATATGGTGGTAGTAGTGCCTGAGGCCATACAAGCAGAAAAGACAATCTTATATCGATATTATTAATCGATTTCAGGTAAGATGAACCAATTCTCTTTCCTAGATGAAAGGGGTCCAGTGTAATCAATTTGCTATCAATAGCTAATAGCTCTTCAAAGCATGGTACTATATTGGGAATTCAGTGTTGGTCTCTGTTATTGGCAGGTTGGGCATTCAGCAGTAGCTACACACGCCTTGGTGAATATGCATTCATGCTGTTGGACATATGCATGGCCTCTGTATCTGCCACCATAACTACTCTGTTCATGTGCTCTTTGTGTCAGCCCTGGGGTAGCCAGTGGCAGCCTTGCTTTGTCAGCCCGGCTTTGTCAGCCCGGCTTTGTCAGCCCGAGTACTCTGTCTACTTTGTTTTTAGTGTTTCCTCCATGTAGGATGCCCTGCAGCGGACATTATCATTCAATACACAGACCTTCACACTTGGTGCCCAATCCCATAAGTCTGTCTACTGGCCTCTTCTCCAGACTGCCTTGTCTCTACAGTCCTCTAATCTCTCTCCTGGGCCCTGACCCATCAGGCAAGCCATTTGCCACTGCTCTTCAGTCCACACATATTCTTATCATGGGTCATTTTTCTTTCTACATAAAGTGGATGACCAGGTGTACCACTCAAAGTTTTGTCCCTAGGTAGGATTTCCTTTCACCATGATTTTAAGTGTCATAAGAGTGAAGCTGTAGTGTAACAGCAGTTTATTGTCATCTTTCACAGAGATATTGAGCTGACCCATCTATGAACCAAACTGAAGCTTTATCCTCCTATTTTTTGTGGTCATAAAGAATCCTTTATGTGGACTGGGTGTGGTGGCTTACGCCTGTAATCTCAGCACTCAGGATCACCTGAGGTCAGGAGTTCGAGATCAGCCTGGCCAACACAGTGAAACTCCATCTGTAGTAAAAATACAAAAATTAGCCGGGTGTGGTGGTGCACACTTGTAATCCCAGCTACATGGGAGACTGAGGCAGGAGACTCAATTGAACCCAGGAGGCGAAGGTTACAGTGAGCAGAGATTGTGCCACTGCACTCCAGCCTGGGTGACACACCGAGACTCAGTCTCAAAAAAAAAAAAATAAAGAAAAGAAAAGAAAAGGCAAAGAAAAGAATCCTTTATGTGGCTAAAGCTCTATGTAAGCTGAGGAGAAAAAAGTGTGGGTGCAATACTGGTGAACTTTGGGGATCTGGGCTACCTCCTGGTGAGATACAAGCATGCCGTGTCCTCTGGCCCAGCTCATGCCTAATTCAGTAGGTACCACTTCTAACTTACAATTGCTTTCTCCTGGGCTTGCTTGATGTTATCATTTAGTGGGTCTGACAGTAGCCAACCCTGTACCCATAGCTGGTGGAATCAAGAACAGAGATTGCTTATTTTTTGTCAGCAAGACAAAATCAAGACTTTTCATTTTTTTTTTTAATGAGAGGGGAAGGAGATATTTTCTAAGAGACCAAGAGATTTTAGAGAGATCCATTGTATTCAGGAGCATAGGAGTTCATAAAAAGTGAAAGTAAAGCAATGAAAATGAAGAATGAAGAAAGAATTGAGGAAAGCAGCCACTCTACAATTCAGGGTATTCAGGATGTGACTGCTTCCCTTTTAACATTGTGGGCAATTCAAATGAACCCCATAAAACAAAGCTAATGAGAAGCTTTTAGGTTGCTAAGTTTTATTATTGCTGGTGTTCCTGTGGTATCTATCTATCTATCTATCTATCTATCTATCTATCTATCTATCTATCATCTAATCTATCTATATCTATTGTGTCAGGAAAGTTTACCAGCCTGGGTAACAGAGTAAGACTCCGTAAAAAAAATTTTTATTTTTTTGAGAGGGGGTCTCGCTCTATCACCCAGGCTGGAGTACAGTAGTACGATCATGGCTTACTGCAGCCTCAACCTCCCAAGCTCAAGCAATTTTGAAAATTTTACTTCAATTTTTGCAGAGACAGGGTTTTGCTGTGTTGGTCTCAAACTCATCTAGGCTCAAGTGATCCGCCCACCTTGGCCTCCCAAAGTGCTGGAATTACAGGTATGAGCTATGCCACCTGGCCCATAAAATTTTTTAAAAAATTACCCAAGCATGATGATGTGCACCTGTAGTCCCAGCTATTCAAGAGGCTAAGGCAGGAGGATTGCTTGAGTCCAGGAGTTTGAGGCTGCAGTGAGCTATTATCACTACAGAATAAGATTCTCTCAATCAATCAATCAATCAATCAATCAATAGTTTAGAAGCCAGGAGTTCAAAGAAAAGAGAGAAAGTTGTGATTTCTGGTGTTGTAAGAGACCTTGATTTGCTAATCATGACTTGCTGCAGGATAAAGACAAGCTTCTTCTCACCTGAAGAGATGGTCTTGGGAAAGAAAAAATGACATCTCTAGTTCTGTTAGCTGATGCCCATCCTCACATCCATATGCTTGAAACACACAGAAAACTGGGCCTTTTTTTTTCTGATTTACCATATTATTAAAGACAAGAATCCTTGCTTGTATCTTTGGTATCTCAAACTATATCAGTTTGATTCATAGAGAAATTAGTATAACTGTTCTCAGACTTCAGTGAACATATGAATCACCTAGGAGTATATTAAATTCCCGGAAACCACCTTCAGATGTTCAGATTCAGTGAATTTAATTTTGTCATTTTCAGCAGGAAAAGCACTTCAGGTCATTCTGCTAGAGATGCTTGGGAACAATACCTTGAAAAACATGAATCCAGTGGACCCATTTGAGGAGGTATCGGCCAAATGACGTTAATTCTTTGTGGAGTTCTTGGTCATTGTGATCACAGTGATAATAACTCTTAATGAAATGTATTCTGTGGTATATTTTAGTATCAGCATGCTTTTCAGGCAGTGGGAAATTTTCTCATCCAATTGACATAAAGAGTACATCCTATTGAATTTCCTTTTTCTCTGTTCACTAGATGAAAGACAGACATCAGCAGTGCAGAGAATTAATTGCAGACTTTTGTAATGATTCAGATAATACTTAGACGTCTTGATTTGAACTTTGGTTTCTCATTTAGGCCCGCTGTCAACTCTAAAGCCATTGTACCACTCCATAGCTTGGACTGCCGAGCAACTAACCATGAAGTATGAAGAGAATCTCAAAGCAGGTTTTCTTGAAAAATGAAATGTGAACGAAAACTTATCTATTCCATTTAGTCACTTCTTATTGATAGAGAAGTTTCCATCTGAATATCTGAATTAAACATTCATTAACAGATCTTTTGAAGTACTATGTGTTCATTGCCTTTACTTCTGGAGAGTTTCTAATTAAACAAAATTCCCTTCCTCCATTTCTCTCCTTCAAGGGCTGGTTTTTTGTTTTGTTTTCTGTTTGTTTTTTTTTTTAACCTACAGTAGGTGCCATGAAATTTAGCAGTTGGTAGTGCATTTCTTTGCTCTCTAGATATCATATAAGAAAAAGCATTGAAAGTGATACAGAAGGAGAGAACGGTGTGGTCCCTGGCTAGGACTCTAACCCAGGCCTGTGCCCACGGACCTAGGTGCGGCATTTTTATTTTCCTGCCCAAATGTTGCATCTCCCAAGACCACCGTGGCCTGCCATGCCCCTATCCCGTGCCTATAAAAATCCTGAGACCCTAGCAGGCAGACAAACTTTGAGAAGAGCACAACAGGGGAGGAACACACGGGTGGCTGGATGCCGAGAGGAATGCACTGACAGGCACCAGCAGGTCTGCAGGCCATCGACCTGGCAGAAGAGGCAGAGTTTGGCTGGGATGGTTGGAGGAGAACCCAGGCCGCTCAGTGTCCTGACTCCAGAGGAAAACCTTCCCGCTCCATCCCCCTCTGGCTTCCCCCATCTGCTCAGAAATACTTCCACTCAATAAAACCTTGTACTCATTCTCCAAGCTGAGGTGTGATTTGATTCTTCCGGTACACCAAGGCAAGAGCCCGGGATACAGAAAGCCCTCTGTCTTTGTGAAAAGGTAGAGGGTCTAATTGAGCTGGTTAACAAAAAGCCACCTATAGATGGCAAAACTAAAAGAGCACACAGTAGCACATGCTCAGTGGGACTTCAGGAGCTGTAAACATCCACCCCTAGACACTGCCCTGGGGTTGGAACCCCACAAGCTGGCATCTATATGGCTCTCCTAGAGGTTTGAACAGTGGGGCACTGAAGAAGCGAGCCACTCCCCCTGTCACACGCCCTGTGAGGGGGACAAGGGAACCTTTCCCATTTCAAAAGCACTTCAAAAAGTTAAAGCAGTATGCTCCTATAAAATGACCACGATCACATAGGGATGGCTAAATGATTGTCCCATTGCTACAGTATGGGTTACTGAGAAATAAGTGTCTGTCTTCTAATCTTGGTTCCCAGCCTATGCAAATAGAAGGAGCTTATTGACTTAGCAATATTTGATCACCATATGTAAATTTATTTATTTTTTGGTCCTGTCTCATGAATCTTACAAAATCAGTTCCTACTACTAATCATTTATTGTTCAAACACATCTGAACATGCCTGTAAAATAATTGGATGCTCTAAGATCAGGAAACTGTGAAACCTGGCCTCTCTTCCTTTTTTCTTTTTCCCCTTATAGAAATTGTATTTGACCCTGAGTACCCTTTTCTGATAAGCCTGAGTATGACTCCAAAATCCTTCTTAACACATACATCAGGATTTTCTGCCAGTCAGCTAGGGTTTCCTACCAATCAATCAGGACTCAGAGTGACATCTTTACCATCCTTCTCCTAGATACCAATTTTAGGTTTTAGGTTCATCTGGACTTCTGGGAAAGAAACTAGTTATGGCATCATAAAACCTGGGCATCTAGTCCTGACACTGCCATAAACAAGCTGTATTACCCCAGGCAAGTAAGTTAATATATTGGAACCTCCATTTTCTCATCCACCATGTAAGATATTTGAACCAGATGCTCTCTAAGGCACCTACTGCCAGTTGTGAGAATTTGTGATTTGGTAAATGGAAGCCAGACAATCACAACCTGGTTGGGCTCTTCGTAGTCATAAGAATCCAATAAAATATACTTCTTTTCCATTTGTCTACCAGAAAAAGATCATTTATGTCTAACATAACTGCTAGATGTTTGTCATGAGCTTGTGTTTGCAAATTCTTGATGATTCTTTAATTTTTATAGTCCTCTGTGAGGAGAGCAGTCACACTGCTTATAATGGAGGTAACTAAGCCTTGGACGCATACAGTATTTGGGAACAGTCTATGGTATAACTCAATTTTACAATAACCATTTCTGGGTCCCTCTGGAATGGCACTTTGAGGTAATAAATGTATCTATTCCTTAATTCTACTATGATAGCCATGCTCTAGCTCTCAAGCAAAAACTTGATGCCTTATCCCACTTCGAGAGGCTTTGGACAGTGATGTTATATGTCTGAATCATCAGGCTCCTACTATAGTAATAGGCCAGTCAACCCAGGATGCTGTGGTTATCAAAACCCCAGAAAGTTAGTTTTTCCGCGGTGTCTTGCTCTAGCCTTGAGCTCCAGGATGAGCTCCACAGTCCCATTAGGATCAGAGCCCAAAAGCCACCTGTGCCTCCTGGCGATTTCATCATCACCCCAAACAGATCTGCTGGTTACTATGAGCAGTATGCAATAGGGGGTGGGAGCATATGCAGTAGGGGGTGGGAAAACACCGTGTTAACTCTAAAGCAAAAGAATGGTGTTCTCTGAGAGAAGAGGAACATCCGGTAAACATGGCTGAAAATGACTTATGTCACGAAGACACATCCTGAGCAGTCAAATAGAAAGAAATGCAAATATTCCAAGATGTTTTGTAACTTCCTGATGAAAATGCAAGTAGAAACACAAACTTTTTTTTAAATCTATGATCAGTGTTCCCACCAACACTTAGGAAGATGGACTCATCTGAAGAAGCATCATTGTGTGCACATGTTTTCTTTCTGCCGCTGTTCACCTTCCCCTCCCATCATCATCTCCATCTCCTCCTCCTCCTCCTGATGGACTCATCTGAAGAAGCATCTGAAGAAAACATGAGTGCACATGTTTTCTTTCTGCTGCTGTTTACCTTCCACTCCCATCTCCTCCTCCTCCTCCTTTCTCTCTCTCTCTCTCTCTCTCTCTCTCTCTCTCTCTCACACACACACACACACACACACACACATACACACACACATACACATACTCCCCTCTATAACAACTTAAAGATTTTAAGTACAGGATGTTATCTCTGAGGACTTGAGCTTGGATCCAGTTGTTTTCTATAGTTTTCCAAAATGTTTCTTATCCTGGTGTTTTTCCAGTCTTAGAACAAAAAGAAAATCTATGACTCACTGCGAGGTCAAGAAATACTCAACATGACAGAGCTCTTTTTCTGTCTGTGCAGATTTCACTTTTGTGGTTGCAACCTTGTTGTTTGTGGATAGAAATCCTATTTATTTTGTATTTTACTGGAGATTTATTTATCCATATATTAAGTAGGTGTCAACAGTATACAAATCTTATCAGAGGCCTCACAATATACCTGGAAATTGTGTGGCCTCTGAGAATTTGCATAGTGTCCTCTGAAGTGTGACAAGAGTATTTAAAGGGTATTAGTTCTGCAGAAATCTAACACTGTTAAAAAAAAAAAAGAAGGAAATATGAGGACAGGCAGAAACATTTTTCCTGTAAAATAGTTTTTAAGGTCCCAATTTCTTTCTAGTCTATATATTTAAAATTTAAACTACCTGAACTTTCCAAAAATAAATTCACATAAAGTATAATTTCATGGATGAAGGAGTTAAGTGCCCAATAGAAGCTGCCCCTATGATTTCTTTTGTTAATGAACATGGCTTGTCATGATGACAGGTTATTATAATCATGAAAAATAGTAGATTTATAAGATATCTGTGAACGTTTTCTTTGGTTTAAGGTGAAATCAAAGTCTTCTGTGAAGTTCACAAAATGGACATCAGGAAAAATCACTAGTACCTAGATGCCCTTCATCAATATTTATTCTTGAATAGAAGTTAAACATTTTAAAATGGAAAGCAATATATCTTCTATCTTATTCTTAAACCCAAAGGGGACACAGCTAGGAGAGGTGTTCAAATCACTATTCAAAATCAGAAAGGGTCTGAAGACCTGCTGTGCCAGGCTAATCTTTTTATTGCTGGAAATTAAGGAGAGACTGGGGAAATCTGGGTTTGACACCTGGTAGTATGTGTTATTCAGTGCTCTGGGCAGCAGCTGTGTACGAACCATTATAGAAGAATGCTAGTATTTCAATAATGAGTAAGACCATGTTTACTGGGCACAATATGGGAGAGAAGTGGTCATAGCATCAATAACAACATTCTTCATTCGTCCCTCTTGGGAGTAAAGCAAAATGTAGAGATTGTGCAAGGTTGAAGCTTCTCATTCCCAGTCCTCAGCATTTTGTTTTCTCCTTGAAACTCCTGAGAGTGGAGGGCCTGGAAGATGCTCCTGGCTCGGTAGGTTTATGAGAGGGTGCTGATCTTGGAGCTGCTTTCTACGGGTTGTGCTGGTGCTCTGCCCACTGCAGGTCCCGGGAACACTGAGTTATGGCAGCCAATTCTGATGATGATAAATGATCACAGCACTTGGCCTTCAAGAAGAGACCAGAGCAACCAAACAGAAATGCATGTGTCTGAGCAGTTAGACTAATTCAGTTACAACTGCTGCCACTTTTGGTTTGCAAAAGGAGCTAAGAAATGTTATAGGCAAGCTAGAACTTGAATGGAAATGTTGATCTGGTTTCCTCATTCATAGGAAGAGCATCATGCAACTGAAGGACATTTCTCCATTATGACTAAACCAGGTGGATAATAACATCTATTTTTCAGTTTACAGACACATGTTGTTTTTACAATGCAACAAGTTAGATATTATTTAACAGTTAACCAAGTAGAACGTGGATGCAGACAAGCCTGGTGGTCATTGAGTTATTCAGGGCTTCTATTCATTCTAAGATGATTTTTGCTATACATGCTACTAGAATTCATTTTTCAGAGATCATACTCAACCTTTCTTTTTTTCTGATTTGATGGTTTGTGCTGTTACAAAATAAAAAATAGTGGTACCTTACCATTTGTAATTTTAAAAATTCGTATGAAAGATTATTAAATATAAATTACTTATAATTTGAGGGAAAGAGGGTTATCTTTGAGCTGGAGAGAAGAGCATATCTTTCAAGGAAAAGCTAAGTACCATTTATGTAGGAAAGTAATTTATATAGAAAAGATATCAACAATCATGTTTGGAGGGCATGGTAGATATATCCAAAACAATTTGTTTATTCTCTATCATCTGAAGAAATATTAACTAAAGTCCTTGGCTATTCTTTGATTATACTGAATGAAATAGCAGCTGCATTTGACCAGGAGTTAAGTATTTCAGACAGCATTATCTAAGTTTTTACAGCATGAGCTGAATAGTAGTGAATGAAGATGAATTTACTAAAAGTTTCTCTCCTAGGCAGGATAGAACTTGCTTGTTAGGCAGAAAAATTGTAGCAAATAGTAACAAATTGAAGAACACAGCTCTAGGGATTAAGGCAGTCAACGAAGAGATGGATCTTTGTTCTCGCTGACTTTTCTCTTAGGTTGTCACTTGCAGCTAGCTCTGTGCTGAACTGGACCAGACGATGCCTGTAGGGATGGAACCAAGTCATCCTGCTTAGAAAACCAGTCTCAGAGGTGGCTACATCTCTGCTTTC
Source organism: Homo sapiens (assembly GCF_000001405.40). Classification (NCBI taxonomy): domain Eukaryota; kingdom Metazoa; phylum Chordata; class Mammalia; order Primates; family Hominidae; genus Homo; species Homo sapiens. The sequence goes on along the minus strand of NC_000007.14, from coordinate 94,066,298 downwards.
ATAGTGGTTTTTAGTCCACCATCCTTGACCACACTAGGTCTTGTTGCTGCACGGCTTGTTTGCTGAATAGAGTATTTCATACACAACAATGTGTGGTGCTCTCTGGCCCCATCACAAAGTTGCCTTATATGCCTAGATGTCAACTGGAATCAGAAAGTCAGAAAAGACATCTTGAACAGGCTCTGTCTAGCACAGGAGTTCTCAGGAGGCATGAAAGGGCACACTCATGCTTATTTTTCTGCGACAGGGTTCTGGCTAATATACTCATCCATCATTTTCTTTTTCTGTGCACAGAATGAGGAGATACCTTTTTATTTGGTAAAGTCTATAATATTGAAAAGTTGTCACAGAGCACGGGCCCATCTGACAGTGAATCAATGGTGATTATGAAAGCACCTTAGCCATCTTATCTGACTATATGGTTAGGAATAAGAACATTTGATTCCTTGACCAGAAATTACCACCAACTCCAAAAATAGACATAAAGGATACACAGTTCTCCTAACAAGCAAAACATAGGTCTCTTGATTCTTCTTCTGATTTTTCATTCAGCTTCACAGTGATTTTAATTACTTCAGAGCACTGACCAATTACTTCAGAGCCCTGACCAAGTGATTTTAATTCCTTTAGAGCACTGACCAAGACAGCCAAACACTTAGAAGAAAACATAACTAAATGACAGGCCGTGAAAATAATAAGACATTTTTGAGGGATGTAGCAAAAACTAAACTGTAATAAAAGTGTCTGAAGAAGCAGAGCCTAGTAATTAAATGCAAAATGAGTGAAGCAAAAGCAAAAAGAGATTTTGGGTCATCATTTCTGACTTAAGAATGATGGATAACCAGTCACCCACCAGTAGTAGGCTGGTTGTTCACCCCCAAATCTGCCCCCCACCCCAACACCACTACCCACATCCTAAAACCTGGAGCCTGTGAATATTACTTTATTGGCCAAAAAGGACTTTGAAGATGTGGCAAAGGATCCTGAAATAGGAAGATTATCCTGCATTATCCTGGTGAGCCCTAAATGCAGTCATACGTGTCTTATAAAAGGGATGCAAATGCCAGAGAAGAGGAGAAAGCGTTATGACTATGGAGGAGGAGATGGGAATGATACGACCACAAGTCAAGGAATGCCAGCAGCCAGCAGAATCTGTTAGACACAAGGGACAGATTCTGTCCGAGAGCCTCCAGAGGGTGCTGCCAACACCTTGATTTCAGCCGCCAAATACTGATTTTGAGTTTCTGGCCTCCAGAACTGTGGGAGAAAAAATTTCTATTGTTTTAAGACACCAAGTTTTGATAATTTGGTATAGCAATCTCAGGAAACTAATGGTTTCCTTATACAAACCATTCTTTTTCCTTTATAGAAACCAAACCATTTCCTTTCATTCTGTTATCTGTTACACCATCAATGAATCAGCCAAAATAGGCAATAGGCACTACAGATAACACAGTCAGCAGGCGTTTTTTTTTTTTTTCCTGGTTTATGATAATCTTCATAAAAGACCTGCCAGACACCACTCAAGAAATTTCCAAATGGCTTTCAATCTTTTGGTCTCTGTTCCTTCTGGTTTTTTTTTTTTTTTTTTTTCCAGAGTATTAACTTCATTTAGCAGTTACAGCTGTTGACCTGAAAGTCCTTATCAGCAGCATAGCAGATGAGTGAGAACAAGAGTTATGGGTCCTGAATCTATAGGGAAGCCAAATCAAACACAGCTAGAAAAATGCCTCCACTGTGAGTAAAGACAACATATCTTCTTTCACATGTTGTACTAAGGATCAGGAGAGCTGAAATCTCATGTTGATTTCTGATGATTACCTTTGTCTTCTTGAGCAAATGACTTAGTTTCTCTAGGTCTTAGGGTCCTCATCTGTAAAATGAATCAATAAGATACACTGTGAAATTCCTTGAACCCTTAACATTCTATGAATTTATCCAGCCCTGAGTTGAAATTAAAATTTATAACAAGCTCAGCTTTATGGACAGAGTTTGTGGTCACCTCTATGGGTATCAGATATCTCATCATCCTAATCACAAATACCAGAAATTTCACCCATAGAAATGACACAGAGAGAAAGAAAGAGAATATATGTATATATATTCTTCTGTTCATTTAAAAACTTCTGGGTAAAATGACGTAACACATTAGAGTAAATTAACTTATCAATCTTTACTATAGATGTTTTCATTCTGTTATTGTTATAGACACATTACACTAGAACTATTAGCTTATATGTCTGTCTATCCCACTAAACAACAACCTTTCTGAGAGAAGGGACTAGATCTTATATACCACTGAATCCTCATGACCAAGTACTTAAATGCTGGTACAAAGCAAGTGCTTAGTAAATATTTGTTGTATAGATGCATGGCCAGCTGGGTGACTTCTCTCCCATGATAGGATATCAGAAGAGAAGTGGGCAGTAGAATGGCTGAGAAGGTCCCAGGAAGGGGAGCACAAAAACCAAAAACCAAAAACATCATCTACATCTCTTAGCTGTGATGGACAATACAGTTCCCAAATCACCTATCCCAGACTTTTCTCATAGCTTAAAACCTTCATCATGTTTCCTTGGAGAGAAAATTGGGTGCTCTTCATCAGAGGTTTGGTTTCTTTTTAAAACATTCTTTATCTCTCTGAAGCACCATTAGACTGTTAATTGAAATAAAAGAGACTTAATTTGTAACTGGGACTTGTGAAGTGGTAATTAGAAACATATGCTATATTGCATTTGAATGCTTTCCTTATTATTAGCATGTCTATTGATTCTTTTTAAACCACTCCGTTCAGTTGAATTTCAGTAGATGAATTTCAGGTATTTTTCCATTGAAAATGACAGTGAAGAAAATTGCCAAGCAATGAGACATTAAGCAAAGAAATGAGTATTTGGCTGGGCTATTTTTCATGATGTTTGCTATTTTTAAAATAATTAATACAGCTTGTAAGGAAAAAACTATGGTGAGTTATGCCCCACTCTACCTGCAAAATTAGTCTAAAAACACAATGTTATCAAGAGTGGGACTGAACTTGATTTGTAATAGATTACTCTTTAACACTTATGGCTTAAAAAAAATCAGAGAGTTCTTAATTTATAGCATCTTTAGGAAAGGGTGCTGATACTAAATTAAAAATATTCCACTCAGTTAGGTGACTCTGTGTTTAAAATCTCTTCTGTTACTAGGAACCAAGATATTTACAATGTTTTGTTTCTTTTTAGGCTGACTTGGGTACTAATATTGAGAGATATGGGACCTTTTTCCACATCCTTCTCAGACAAGCCATTCAAATCACTACAGTTATACTGTAAGGTACTTTCTATTACACTCTGGTACATTGTTATCTATAAAATATATACTCAAATAAATGAGTGACAAATACTCATCTTCATTACATAATTAAACTGGACATACTTTAGCTAATAAATAAGATTTCTCTTCGAAAACTAACTTTCTATCTCTGTTAAATCTAATCCCTGAGAAAGTTGGACCCTTAGCAACTGGTCTGTGGGTGCAAATAAGATCAAATCTAAACTACTCCTTCCTCCGCAGTCCCTGGCCCCCTTTTCCTTGTATTAGATGTCTTCGTTCACTGCCCAGAACTTCTGTTTTACCTCTAGTCTCCATGTGCCTCTTCCTGAATCATCTTCATAGTTCTCTGCTCTTCACCCTTCAATTGCTTTCTCTCTCCTTGCCTGTTTCTTAGGAAATGATATCACTCTCTGGCTTCACCAACCACAAACTAGAGTGTGTCTGATTAGTAGCAGACACTAGAGTAGTCTGCTACTAGTTAAGATCTGGCTCATTATGAAATGATTATTCCACAAGATCTATATCAATAGTGAAAATAATACACTTTTAAAACCCTTATCATTGGGCTGAGTTTTTGAACATCAGCCAGCGATAGCAGAATGTGAACATAGCTGCATGCAGAGTTAGATGAAGAGTGGCATGCAGTTCCTGAGTTCTCTTTATCCAAGTCACCATTTTTGGATGAGGTCTCAAAAGAATTGGGAGATCCTGGACAAAGTTCCCTACGGAACTGAGATTCTCTGAGGAGAGTTCTCATAATCAGAATCATAGGGGAATTTATGACATTATCATTCACATTTACTCCTTCACTAAACCCCTCCTCACCATCCCCACTCACTTCAAAACAAAACAACCACTAGGCGTGATCTCCCCAAACAGTGTAACAATGTTGTCTTTCAAGACTTAGTTTCTGTCACAGGATGGAAAGTGTCATTGTGGTGCTGACAAGGACACACTTTCCCTGGAAGACACACAGAAGAAATAGAAGAATATAGTGGCTTGGCTCTGGGAATTCAGAATTCAGAAGGATTCCTTTTCCTCCAGAGTAAACCAAGAGCAAATCAAATTGCTTGGTGTCCCTTCAGCTCTCTCATTTTCTTTTCGCATATTTGAAGTGCTTACCTGGCCTTGCTTCTAAATTCCACCGCTGTTCCAGATTCGCTGGATTACTTCCTGTTTGGTTGTTCGGTGTTATCTTCCTTTATACAAATCAGTAGTCTGAAAGTCATAAGCATAGTTTAAAAAATAAAAGAGCAGACATAACTAAATGAGACAGTGAGACTTGTGCAAATTTAATATCCAGGTCAAACTGAATTCACCCAACAAAAGGAACAATAATTTATTTTGTTGTACCCAGTTACCTCCAAACAGATTTTGATTATGTTGATTGCTGAGGATACATGACGAAGAAAAACAGCTGGAACTGGCGGTCATAAATCTTAGGTTCTTGTTCTGGGTTTGCTGCTAACAGGCTTTGTGACCACAGGCAAATCACTTAACTTCTCCGTGCCTTTTCTATGTGTTACCCCATCTGTAAAACATAAATAACAGTGCTTGCCCTAACCTGACTTCTATGACCCCTTTAATACAGCTCATGTTACTAAAATAATTAATCCAGCTTGTGAGGAAAAAAATATGTTGAGTTATGCCCCACTCTACCCGCAAAATTAATCTAAAAACACAAAATATATAAACTAAATAAAAAATAAGATGTACCATAGTGAGTTAGCCTAATCCGACTCTCTTCCTTGTTCCTTTATATCAGGATGAAGTCACAGAGTGACTTTAGGTAACTAACCTAAAGTTACCTAAGATTTAGGTAACTAACCTGACACTGTGAAAGTCTTTCTAAAAGGCTGTCTTATTTAGGAAGAAGCTGAAATTAAAAAGACAAACAAATGGCTCTTTCTCTCAGGCGTCACTTTCCTTGGGAGTAAAATTAACCCAGCATCCTAACCACTGACTGATGTGGCTATGGTATTACGTGTTAGTGAGAGGAGTGGGAGGGACACACAGGAAATGAAGAGGATGACTATGATTTGAGCTGTTTGCAGAGTCAGTCTCCTTTGGGGTCAATGGTGGGGGCAGCATGTAATAAATCTTCTGAGATGGGTGCCTGAGACCTTGTTACTGGAAAGGACTGTTTGACTAGCCACCATTCTTTCCCCTCTCCCCGCTACCCCCGAGATGGAGTCTTGCTCTGTCACCCAGGCTGGAGTGCAGTGGCGCAGTCCCAGCACACTGCAACCTCCATCTCCCAGGTTCAAGCAATTCTCCTGCCTCAGCCTCCTGAGTTGCTGGGATTACAGGCGCCCACCATCCTGCCCGGCTAATTTTTGTATTTTTAGTAGAGACGGGGTTTCACTATGCTGGCCAGGCTGCTCTCAAACTCCTAACCTCGTGATCCACCCATTTCGGCTTCCCAAAGTGCTGTGATTACAGGCGTGAGCCACCGCACCTGGCCCATTGTTTTATATGTTACACATTCACTTTCATTGAAGAGTATGGAAATTATTTATGTCCTCTCCCTTGTGTATGTGTCAGACTTGCCAAAGGAAGTGCCTGGATGTTCTTAATTTCTAAAAGGTTTTAGAAAGGAAAAGGCAGAAAGCTTAGTCAATAAAGGCTCACAAAAGACAGGCTTGGGATCCCACTGCATGTCTTTCCCCACTAAAAATATAAATGGGCGTATCTGATCCGTAGGTGCTCTAATTTCTAAATACCCAACCTACAGTCTGCAACTTAGTCAAAGATAAGTATGATTTGCTAAATTATATACTTAAAACCAGCCAAAGTGGCAACGTTTTCCCTGTCAGATTAAGAAAGTTTAATTAACTTGTCTGTTACGTAGATAGCAAGGATTGGGGTCAGAATTTGAATGCAGCTCTCTCTGACAGTCAAACTGGCAAAGCTAGTAAGTTTTTCACTTCTCCACCCCGAGGTGATAGCTGTGGATCACATCCCTAGTACTTATTTTAGTCTGAAAGGGTTTGAAGTGATTTAGAAGTGGAAGGAGGAGTACCTCATTTCCGATTGCATTTGTGAACTTTCTTCTCACGCACAGATTGTGAAACCCTTGCTGCTGTTGTCATTACTGACACTCATTTGCAACATATGGGTTCACTGGGCTTTCACTGATGGAGCTCTGGCTGCTTTTGTTGACTGGTAGGTGGAAATTCGTCATGGGGACCCTTGGAAAGTGAGCAAGGAAAATACCATGCAGGAAAATGTTGTCACCTGAAAAAGTTACTCAATTTACAGAGTATGAATGTGCTTTCTTAAGAACTCCCGGGTCTTAAAGAAGTTTTTAATACTTTTACTCAACACACACTTATATAGCCCTTACTATGGGCTGACAGTGTTAGTGCTTAACAATTATTAACTCATCCAATTTTCATGAAAACTTGATGGGGCAAATACTATTATCATCTCCGTTTTGTAGATGAGAGAGCTGCGGCATACAGAGATTTAGTAATTTTTGCCCAAAGTCACAAATACAATTTATGGCAAATCTAGGATTCAAATCCAGGTATTTCTGCTCTAAACTCCATGCTCTTGAGCATTCTGCTATACTGCTTCCAGAAGACAGTTGGTGCAGATGTGATGTAAACAAAAATTCAGTAAAGTGAATACTAAGTAGTATGAGCCTGAATATTTTCTCCTTTGGTTTTTAGGTTTTTATTAGCTTCCCATGTAAAAATATCTTTAAAGCATTGAAGTTAGGAGTTTGACATCTAACATACACTTATTTTAAAAGAAATGGAAATAATTTTCAATTAGTGAGGACGCCTTAGAGGACTTGGCCCTCCATGTGTACTTGCTGGGACCAACTCTACTTCACTGTGCACTGGAGGATGGAGGCAGCCCATTGCTTGTTCATGTGTATCCAGGAGTAGCACGTGCTTGGGATATGGTGGGCCTTCAAGGTTGAATGAATGAATGCCAAACCTTATCCTGCCTTCTGGTGATGGGGGCTTGACTCAAGTGCTGAGAGAAGACATTTTCTCCTTCCTACCTTCAGTGGACCTTGAGATACATTCCTTAGTCTCCCTGAAGAGATTCCATTCTCTGTTCCCTTGGGACTTTTCTATTTCAGCCCTACTTCTTTAAGCCTTTTCCTTCTTGTTAAATCTTCTGTTTTCACCACTGTTTTATTGTTTAATATATATCTTAGTTAACTAATATTTATTGAGCAATTATTACACGCAAACTCTCTATTGATGGTTTCATTTTAACCATCATAAAATTGTGGCAAACTCTTAAGTCAATGCAACTTCTGTCATGTGCAAACAACTGCATGACCTTCATGTGTCCCATGAACCTCCTAATAGGAGGCTGCATCAGTTTCCTGTGGCTGCTGTAACAAATTACATCCAACTTGGCATAACAAACACAGATTTATTTTCTTACATTTCCAGAGGCCAGAAGTCTGAAATCAGTTGCACTAGGCTAAAATGAAGGTACAGGCGGGTCTGGAGACTCTGAGGGGTGAATCCTTTCCTCGGCTTTTCTGGCTTCTGGGGCCACCCACAATCCTTGACTTATGACCCTATCCTTACATTACTCCAACCTCTTGCTTTTTTTAGTCACATCCCCTCCTTCCTCTTCTGTGGTGAAATCTTCTTCTGCCTCCATCTTTTAAGGAAACTTGTGATTACTTGTAGGGCCCACCTGGCTAATTCAGGCTAACATCCCAGTCTCAAGATCCTTAACTTAGGCACACCTTCAAAGTCTCTTTTGCCATATAAGGCAATTGTAATGGTTAGTTTTTGTGTTAACTTGACTGGGCCATGGATTGCCAAGATATCTGGCTAAACATTATCCTGGGTATGTCGGTGAGGGTTTTTCAAGATGAGAATAACATATGAATCGGTAGACCAAGTAAAGCAGACTGCCCTCTCCGGTGTGAGTGGGTCTCAACCAATCCCTCGAGAGCCTGAATAGAATAAAAGGTGCAGTAAGGGAGAATTCAATCTCTTTGCCTGACTGTCTTCAAGCTGGGACATTGGTCTTTTCCTCCCTTCAGACTCAGATTGGAACTTACACCATTGACTCTCCTCTCTCAGGCCATTGCATTTGGACTGGAACAATACCATCAGCATTCCTAGCTTTCTAGCTTGCCAAATATAGAGTGCAGGGCTCCATGGCTCCATAACTGTGTAAACCAATTCCTTCTAAAAAAAATCTCTTTCTATATGTGGTGTATGTGTGGCGGGGGGTGGAGGGGTGGCAGGGGGGCGGCGGATTGTATCTCCTCTTTGTTCTTGTTTCCTGGAGAACCCAGACTAACATAACATCCACAGGTTCTGGTATATGAACATTTTTGGGGGCCATTCTTCAGCATACCTAGATGCTCAAAGACATTTATACAGTATTTCTAAGAATCAGATAATCATTTTTATGTTCATCAGACAAACCAAAAACACAAAATACCAAATATGTTTCTTCTTTTTAGTAAAACAGTCTGAATGCAACTAAGCACAGTCATAATTGAATTTTATAAGGAGCCATTCTCTCTCTTCAGCACCATCCCAAAACACTTTTAAAAATTATTGTGTGACTACTATTTTCTTTTTCAACCAAACTTTTGGAATCACTCAAATTCTTATAAAACTTAAAAATCCCTTATTGCAACAAATGGTCTCTTGACTCTTTGCTCATTTCTTAGAGAGTATGGTAGCTTTAGAACATGTCCATAAATTGTTTAACAATTCCCCACAAGAAAGAGGCAAACTTTTCTTCCTGTCCCTCCCCTTGCACCTGGGTGGACATTTGTGATGATTTCAACAAATAGAATATGGTATGTGTGATGCCAAATGATTTCAAAACGTAAGTTGCAAAAGGCCATGAAGATTTTGTCATTTCCTCTTGGGTAATTCACTTTCAAGACCTCAGCTGCCATTTTAAAAGGGTGACTAACTCGAAGCTGCTATGCATGAGTGATCATGTGGAGAGATCCCATTGAAATAGAAAGAAATACCTGAGGAGCTGCAGAATTCCAGCCTCTAGCTGTCATGTCTCCCCAGTGTTCACGTCTTCCAGATGAGGCCTCAGACATTCCAGCAACTCCAGCTGGAGTTTGCAAACTGCAGCCTGCAGGCCAAATCTGGTTCACTGCCTATTTTTGTAAATAAAGTTTTATTGGAACACAGCCATGCTCTTTTCTTGTATGCATGGTCTATGGCAGTGTGCTATAATCGACTATTTGAATAATTTGACAGTGACCATTGGCCCTGCAAAGCCTAAGAATATTTGCTATCTGGGCCTGTACACGTTTGCCAATACCTACTCTAGAGTGTAGACACATTCTCCTCACTGTGCCCATCTAAATTTCTGAAAATCTAATAGCATAATAAATGCTTGTTTTATACAAGTTAGTTTTAGAGTAATTTGTTATGCAGCATTGGATAGCTGATACAGAGTTAGGGTGATATCACTAGGACATTTCTAGGAGTCTTTTTGTTTTTGAAGTATATTCAAGCTCACTGAATATTACTGATTTTGAAGAACATCTCTGTTAGCTATCACCTTATTTCTCTGCTTCCTTCACTGAAAACTCCTGTGAAGGGTGTATTTGCTATTTTTCTCAGCTTATTTCAACCAGGTTTTTGGCCGTTATCATTACCATTTCACTACAATAACTATTATCAGTGTCATCAAGGGCACTTGCCAAAGCCAATGTGTTCAGCTTGCTGAAACTCTGTGGAGTTTTCTTTTTTTTTTTTTCTTTAAATCTTGGTTGATGATTATTTCTTCCTGGTCTCCTTAGTTGACCACTCTTTCCTTTCTTCTGTGAGTTGCCAAGATCCCACACCTCTCTGAGTTTTTATGTTACATGACTCAGCATGTTTTGCCCATTTGTCTGTGACCCTTCTTCTTCTGTTAAGCTTCTAGTTGTTAAATTACTTCAGGGAGATTGCTTCTGAGTCCTCAACTTTTCTTCATCTACTTTTTTCTCCTCTTTTCCTCAGAGAGTAGATCCAGCTCTGTGGCCATAAATGGCACTCCTGTATTGGGTGCATATATATATTTAGGATAGTTAGCTCTTCTTGTTGCATTGATCCCTTTACCATTATGTAATGCCCTTATTTGTCTTTTCTTGATCTTTGTTGGCTTAAAGTCTTTTTTATCAGAGACTAAGATTGGAACCCCTGCTTTTCTTTGCTTTCCATTTGCTTGGTAAATCTTCCTCCATCCCTTTATTTTGAGCCTATGTGTGTCTTTGCATGTTAGATGGGTCTCCTGAATACAGCACACCAATGGGTCTTGAGTCTATCAAATTTGCCAGTCTGCATGTGGCATTTAGCCTGTTTACATTTGGGGATAATATTGTTATTTGTGAATTTGATCCTGTCATGATGCTAGCTGGTTATTTTGCCCATTAGTTGATGCAGTTTCTTCATAGTATCGATGGTCTTTACAATACATATAAATACATACATATAAGTAAAAACACAGCAAAATTGAGAAAGGTGCAAGGATGTCTTATATGTCCCCTGCCCGCTATATGCATAGCCTCCACCATTATCAACATCCCCCAAGAATAGATGTTTTATTATATTAAAAATTATTTCAAAAATCCCAATATTTTAAACTGCAGATTTGATAAAGAAGATGATGAATAAGCAAGTAACCCGAAGCTCTAAAGACTTGATAAAGACAATTCATATAAAACCCATAAATAATACAAGTACTTCTAATTGACAGAACCAGGGTCAATTAAGTTTAATGTCAAAGGATATTAAGGAGAGATATAATTGGTGAATATTAAAAATTTGAAAGAAGAAACATCTGTGATTCAGTGTTCATTTAATATAAAATTTATGGCATATGTTTTAGAATAGAGTAATTTTCCATATCCTGAGGGGGTTACATATTTTTAACTTTTTCTTTTGCTTGTAGAGATAATTTTATATTTAACTTAAATTCCTGTTCTATCTATCCAAATTGAAGATCAATTAAAATATTAAGGATTAAAATGTTAAATTGATTATATGAGAAAAAACTATTAGGTAAAATATTAATGGAAAGAATATTAAAATGTTTGGGGCTGTATTAAATATTTACTAGCTATAGCCTTTAATAAATTAACAGTATTGCCAAAGTTTTTATTGCTGCTGCAGCTATTAAAAGTAGACACCAAAATAGCCATTGCGTTGAGTATGAATAATTAACCTTTTGAAAGAATATTATTCCATTTAATGAGTTTTATCTTGCCATCTTGAATATTTGCATTAAATATTAACTTTTAGCTAACTCAACGTGCATAGCATGGTGGCCTATGAATTTGGATAATATGAGGACTAGGGTTGTATTTTAAAGATGTTCTTTGCTCTTATTCTAAGACAATGGCATATTTTTACCCAAGTGAAATGAACTAGTTCAAATACATGTATATGCTATTTGTACCAGCAGGTTGCACTTTTTTTTTTTTTTTTTAGCATACATTCTCTCTGTGTGTGGTAACAGCAGGCTTTTTCTCTTTGAGCTTTTGAGAAGTCATTTTCCCCTCCTGCTCTCTTCCCCCCACTACCAGACATTATATGCAGTGGCTTACGTGGAGCTTTCAATCAAAGTTCACCTCCTTAACAAAAGGTGAGCACTTGACCTACTGTAGACCAGATGGCTAGACTCTTCCCTTTTTAGCAGAATGATTCACAGATGGAAAAGCAATTGGAGCTCCGGGAATAGTCCAACTGCTGGCCAGGATGTCTGAGCAATTCCACTTCTTGTTCCCTCCTGTTCTGGTCATCTACCTTTTTTAGTTTGGTGACTTCCCCATACCCTTGCCAATCAACTTCGCTTTTGTTTTTTGCTCCTCCGAACACATACACACACCTGGTTTTATGTTAAGTTAACCAGAATCGCTTCCTTTTGTTTTCAATGCCCCATCTGAACAAATTCATTTGGGTTCACGTGAATATGAAACTAACATCTGAGGGTATGTATAACATTATGAACTGCATTTAAAAGATAAAAGCAGATAAAAATTGTTACAAATAATTTCACTATAATATAGTGAATATATATGGTGTTTGTATGTGTGTGTGTGTGTGTGTGTGTGTATACATACATAATCTCCATGTTTGCCTCATCTAAGTTGCAAATACTTTTATATCGTGAATATTTTGTGTTAGTAGCAAGATTTGTTATCCAAATCGGTTTTTGTGTATTGATGTTAACCTAGCATTCCAGCATGACCTACTTGGCTGGAGAAAAGTCCTTTCCAGTCCACTGATATTTATTTGAACTGTGTGAATTCTGTTAGCTAATGCTGGTTCAAACAAACACCATTGAAATAAGAGTAAACACTAAGCAAACACACCTACTTTATCATAAAAAGTGAAAATCCTGTTTCAATAACAGCACTTTCTCCTAATACTGAGTGCATGTAAATTTTCTCTAACTTTCCATGGACCCTTTTATTTTCCACTATAAAAATTAAGAGGTTGCAGAGAGTGCTAAAACTTTTAGAAAAAAGATAATCTTTAAGAAACAGTAACACTTCTTTTATAATGCTTATTATTACTCATGTCTTCTAAATCAGCCCTTGCAACAACTTAAAGGAAGGCATTATCTCTGTTATTCAGGTGAAGAAACTGAGACTCACAGAGGAAAAATTAACTTGTCTGAGATTACCCTTAATTTATGAAGCGACAGGGCTGAAATTTGAACAGAGGTATCTCTGTCAGCAAAGCCCATGCTTTTAACCACGGTACTATTTAATTTCTGTAACAGATTTTATACTCTGTTTATCAGCCCATGAAAGAATATCTACAAGGCACAAGAAAGAAATTGGATACAATTTGTCACACAGAATAGCTTTCTAAAATCGACTCAGATAAGACACTTGGGTAGGTTGTATTTGAAGAAAATAAAATGATTGGAATATGTATCTCAGAGATTCCAATCTCTGCTTTCTTAACCTGATCAGTAATGCAGAACTCTCAAGTTCACTGTGTGATACTTACGGCTGCTAGAGAGACAAGTTCAGTGTTCTCTTTAACAGTAAAAATAGAAAAACACAAATAAAAAACATGTAGCACTAAGAAGTGAAACAAAAGTGCCAAATTGTTATCTAGTGATGTCACCACTTCTATTGTGAATATTGGGTGTTAAAAAGAGAACTTTATTGAAACCCACTTGCACAATTATGCTTAGAGGAGAATGTGGAGGGTGGGTGTAGGGGAAAAAAGTTCTGAAACAAGAATGTAAATTCATGCCACATGGGTAAGAAATTTTCACTAAAAATTAGATTGAATGAAAATTCATACCAAGTCTCTGTAAAATTGTCTTCTACAGCTGTTGTTATCAAAGTGGAATTCCTGTACCAACAGCATCAGCATCACCTGGAAACTAATTAGAAATGCAAATTTTCTGGCAACGCTAGACTCACTAGACCAGAAACGCTGGGAGTAAACCTCAGCAATCTGTGCTTTAACAAAGCCTCCAGGTGACTCTGATGCATGCTCAAGTGTGAGAAGCACTGTGCTAGAGATACAAACTGAGTTCCATTTCTTAGATTTATGGTTGAAGCACATAACTCCCTGCCATTAGACGAGACCCAGTGGGGCTTCTCAGGAAGGTAGAGGGAATCCCAAATAGTGCAGCTTTTGATTTATCATAAATGTCCAATTTCAACAAGCAATTTCAATGACTGTCTGGTTAACACATGTTGCAAATATAAGTCTTACTCTAGACTTCGGTGTGCAAAGAATATTATTATATATCTTTTGTTCATTCCACATCCCATCAAGTTGGCAAGGAATCTAATCATTGGCTATCATGGAGCCTCCCCTCCCCACTGTTTTAAGTGGGTCCTTGATTGTAGGGGAAAGTTAAGTCTACAAAGCTTGGGGGTATCAGCAAGTCATCTTAGGTTTTCAGTTCACACTGGTTACCACTGAGAAATCCACTGTGTAAGCCAACAGGGCTCATTTAGGTCTCGCAATTTTACTATTTCATGGCAGACTTGGGATGCAATACCATTGCTGAGATTAGGGTCCTTTGTTCCTACAGTCTGGCTCCTCTAGAAATACCAGGCAGGCATGCTTGTTGAGGTCTTGCCAGTACACTTAGGAGATTTCAGGAGGCTGAGAACAGGTTCCAGTATTTTTGGGACCACAGTTTCCATCCTCTTCTCAGTCTGAAGGAATTTCTTTCTCTGTGTAGGTGCCCAGAGAAACAGTCTCCCCTAATAGGAACTACATCTGTGGGCCCAAACTTTCAAAGAAAACTGGAATAGGGTTGTCTTTAGACGCAGCCCCTGCTTTGTACTTTCCCAAAGCCTCAACACTTTTGGTTCAATGAAAGAAAAAATAAATGATTATGGTCACCCAAACCAGTTGGCTCTATATGCTACTCACTTACACAGTAGCCTGACCAGAGTTCATACTTTTATAACCTCTCTCCATGCTGGCCACTGAGTCGTAGGATTACACCATCCTATCTAGGGTGTTTACAATGTTATCATTGGTAGCTAGTCTTAATAATAAAACTAATCATGATAATTAATTTTTATTTACTGAGCAACTGTTGTGTGGCAGACAGTGTGCTGGAACCTTTCTATAGGTCCTCTTGTTTTCTTTTCCAAAATAACCCTATGAGGTACTTCTAGCTTCAGCACTTGAAGTAGCTTTCCCAGGATCACTCAACTCTTAAGTGGAGGGAAAGAGATCAGGATTCAGCTCCAGCTCTGTTTCCTCTCCCAAGCACCTGAAAGAGCTTTGGCTCTTTTCCTATGCCACACTGCTTCTTGCTCTACCTCTCTGGGAGCAACCAACCAATGGAACTCATATTTGGATCAGTTACCCAAAGCTCCTCAAAACCAACCAAAGCACCCACTATGTGTCCCTCGGAAGTAGTCAAAATGACTGATTAGTACTGTTTTCAGAAAAAAACTTCTTCTTGGTTGTGGTGCTTTCTGGTCCTGCCCAGTGTAATGAGAGTCATATACTGTGGAGATAATAGGTTCTATCTCCTGGAACTAACTTTAGAAGCTCCATGCATTCTTCCTTTGAAGTATGAAGAGTGAGCCCAGTCTGCATTTGGACAATGCATTTTTTTTTTTTTTTTGAAATAGAGTCTCACTGTGTTGTCCAGGCTGGAGGGCAATGGCAAGATCTTGGCTCACTGCAACCTCACCCTCCCGGGTTCAAGCAATTCTCATGCCTCAGCCTCCTGAGTAGCTGGGATTACAGGAGTGTGCCACCATGCCTGGCTAATTTTTGTATTTGTAGTAGAGATGGTGTTTCATCATGTTGCCCAGGCTGATCTTGAACTCCTGGCTTCAAACGATCCGCCTGCCTTGGCCTCCCGAAGTGCTGGGATTACAGGCATGAGCCACTGTGCCCAGACAATGTATCTTAATGAATTAGCTGGCCCAAGGGCCCACACCAAAGGGGCTGTGAATTTTGAAATGATTATCAGAAAGGGCTTAAAAAGGAAAAATAAGGCTAATTTAATAAATTCATAATAGGAGTCTTCAGCATTTATAAATATTAAGGTCTGTGTTAAGCACTCCAAACATTATCATAGTTAGTGCCGTCAAAATCTCTCTGAAGTAGTTCTCTGTCCCCCAACTTCATCACCTGTTAAACGGGCATACTGTCCTCTCCATTGCAGAGGTATTGGGAGGACTCAGTGAGAGGGGACCTGGCACATGACAGGCACTCAGTAAATGTTAGTTATTTTTACTTCCTCAATTTCAGAATGAGGAAATTGTGGCTTGGCTACACTGAATGCCCCAGCTGGCATGGTAAGCGAGAGTCGAATCTGTACCTGCCTGGTTCTGGGAGCCACATTGGAAACCCCAGTGCTTGCCAGCCTCCCTGTTCCTCCTTTCAAATGCCAGGGAACAAAGCTTCTGTACCTCTCCCTTCCCACCCCTCAAAAAATATACTTGGTCCTCTTAGACCTGATTACCTTTGCCTACTTAGAAATTAAGAAAGACTATTTATTGAGAGAAGATGGGATGTTTATTATCAAGAGAGTTAAGAGGAGTCCAGATAAACTTGTCTGTGAAAGCCATTGGCACTTTCATTAAGTACTGATCTGCCCACTGAAAAGTTCTCCTTTGATGGATGTCTCTGGTATGGCTCCTACAGAAGTCACCCACCTGCCTGCCACGGTAATGTAATCAGGTAACCTTTGTCTGTGACAAGCCCCAGGCTGGCGAATGTTAAAACGCAAACAAAAGGAAATGACTTTTTGATTGACATGACTGTTTTGTGGATTGGCCTCACAGATAAAATCAGTCAAAACAAATCAGTTTATGCATCAACACATACTTAAGAAAGACTATTTGGAAATTTCATGGCAGATGTGATCTTTTCTGTTTTCGCTTTTGAAGTTCTCAGTGTCTATCTTACGATAAGGGGCAATGTTAAGAAAGAGAAAGTCAGCTATAGTTCTCAATTTTAATTACAAAAGATCACATTGGGAGTCTGCTAAAAAAGCAACTTTCTGGGCCTCAAAAGCGGAAATTCTGGTTCTATAAGTTTAGAATTGAGCCAAATATTTATTATTATTATTAATTTCTTAAAAATACTGCCAGAGATGACCTTGGGCTTTGAGAAATCAGAAGATGAAAAATAATGGGTGACATATGCTTTTACATTAATGAGAAAGAATACTTAGAACATAAATTTCACATATTCTTATTTTTAATTTTTTGTGAGTACATAGTAGGTGTATATATTTGTGGGGCATTCGAGGTGAAATAATCACATCATGAAGAATGGGGTATCCACCCCCTCAAGCATTTATCCTTTGTGTTACAAACAATCCAAATTATACTCTTTTATTTATTTAAAATGTACAATTATTATTGACTATAGTCACCGTGTTGCGAGATCAAATAGTATGTCTTATTCATTCTTGCTCTCTATTTTATTGTACCCATTAATGATGCCCTCTTCTCCCCTCAGCCCTCCACTACCCTTCCTAGCCTCTGCTCACCATCCTTCTACTCTCTATGTCCTCATTATGTTAAGTGAAATAAGCCAGGCACAGAAAGACAAACATTGCATATTCATACATGCTTTTAAAAAGTGAATGACTATGTCTTATACTGTCTTAGGCAGAATACATATTCCTGGGGGCAGACACTGGGCTTTTCATTTTATATTCTCAGTGCCTGGGACATGTTAAATATTGCTGAAAGAATGAGGAACAGATAAATGATAATTTTAGAGTCTTGCCTTGTTTTGGTGTTCTTGGTTTCCTTGGCACTCAGGACAAAATCATTAATAGAAGAATTTCATATTTGCACAAATAATTTAAATTTCATATTTGCACAAATAATTTAAATTAATTGCAAATAATTTAAATATCATTGAAAAATTGCTCTTTAAGTAGTCCCCACATTACAAACTCCCAGCCTGCAAAGAGCCCTTATCTATGAAGCGCCTGAGTGGAAGAAGTTTCCATTACCACTGCTCTGGAGATCACTTCCCTGTCACCACCATTTTGTCCCGTTTCACTTCCACACTACAGTTACCCTCAGATACCAGACAGACACAGATGACAGGACAGCAATGAAGTCCCTGGCCCCAACTGTCTCCACATATTTCCAGAGATTCTTCTGCAGTCATCCTATTTGTCCCTTAATGCTTTACTCCACCACAACGCCTGGGAGCCCCTGACTGGACCCCTCATGCACCCTCCTGCCCTACTCTTTGTAGAGTTACTCAAGTTAGCACTTTGGGATAGCACTTATATTTAATACTTTTTACTCAGCTTCACCCAGTAGAGAAAACAGAAGCAATCTAAGGCAATTTCCAGGCCTGGTACATTAGGCAAGAGCCACATATGAGATGTACTCTGCGTTGTCAGTGTAGACTTCTTCCCAGCCTGTATGACAGCATCATTGTGAAAGAACTAGAGGAAAAGTTAGCTCTTGAGCAGCAAACCTGAGAGCATATCTCCCATTCCCCCTCCTTTTTTAAACTTATATCTAAGTGATTATGACAGAATTTTAGGTGATAGGAACAATGAAGAGAGGGTACCATCTAGTCAGGCATGGAGAGGAAGGTTTTTGCCACCACACTTTTTTAATTTATGGCAATATTTGAGGTAAATATTGGTTTCCTCCTTTTAAATATGAGTAAATCTCAGAGAGTTTAGGCCACTTCTCCCAAGTGACACTGTCAATGAGAGGCTGAGATGAGTTTGAATCCCAGGCTGATGTGACAGCATGTGCGCTTCCTTCTCAAACTATTTCTCTCCAGTGTCAGGGAAGAATAAACACAGACCCCGTGGGCTGTCAGAAATATGCACCAAAGGGGCTCCCTTTCTTAAGTTTCTGATTTTATCTTTAAGTTCATGTATCCTTTTGCATTTTCACAGTATGTCTGTGTGGGATGGAAGCTAAAAGGAATCATTATTTCTTCCAAACTTCAAGTAAGATGGCAGCCCAGAAGATGAACCATGGCTGCCCCTTGGCATTGATGACCTCTAGTAGATTAGGGATGTGTGTCACCCAGGGGTGAAGCTTGCATCTTGTGCTGCTGATTGACTACATTTTAATATGTAGTGAAAATTTACAATCCCAATCTAAAAGTGATCTCAAATTGGAGCTGAAACTTTGAGCCAATGAGTAAAGAGAAAAACAATGCCACCTCAGTTGCGTCAACCTAAAGTCTTCACTTTGGTCAACATGCTCAGCATCCGATTCAACTGGTTAGTTCATTCGGCTATCTTTGAAGGTACTTTGTCTGCTATTGCTCTCAGATATTGCCCCTTCAGTTAACTTGATTTGAAGCCCAAAGCAATACATTCTCCTTGGAGACCGAAATTAGGAAAAGTTTGATTTTATTAGACAATAAAAGGTATATACTACAATGTATCCACCTGGAAATTAGCATTAGAATTCCTGAAGTCAAAGGTAAAAAAGTGGAAGAGGAAAAGATTTTTTTTCTTCTAAAACATGTAGTAAGATATTATTCCAACAGAGAAAAAGCAAATGTTTTAGTTTGCTTGTGAGTTGTCAGGCCTCAATTTCCAAGTAAAACTTTATTTTTTTAATGAAGAGCATATCGTTTTATAAAAATGTGTGTCAAAATTACAAAAAGGTCATGGCATTTTTATCTATCACTGTCTGCATGGGTTCCATTTTCCTGCACCACAGTCCAGAAATTGTTTCCAGAAAACAAAAAACAACGACAACAAAAAAAACAAAAAAACCTTAGTGAATGTGAGGGTTACCTTCAGTGCCCCCTTTCTCTTAAGGATTGTAGCTCTGCCTGGGCTCCAGTCTCATAACTGCAAATAGTTATTTTATATGTTTTCTGCAGGTTTTAAAGTTTAAGGTGGGAAAGTAAGTACAATACTAGCTATTCATTATGTCTGAAACCATAAATTTCCTCACATGGTCTTTGAGCAACACAAGTCAAATTTTGATAGCTATTTTTTTAATTACCATTAATTTCCAGAGTTTTGAAAGAAAAAAATTTCAGGGGCAACTTTATAAACATTTCATAGATTTTCCTGTGGATTTATCAATTTAATTAAAATCTTATTTGAGAACAGTCAACTGACTTCAGTCATCACAGAGAATGATTATTACAAAAGAAAAACTAACAGACCAAAATAAGCCTAGGTGATCATTATTCCCAAAAGCTTCCATGTAATTGAGTTTTTAGAAATTCAGAATCCGTTGTCCTATATAAACAACATTGACCTTGACTAGCTTATTTTACCAAAAAGTTAACTTAGATTTAATAGACTACTTTTAGGATATATCACTGTAATTTCTTTGAGAAAATAATGTCTAACGTACCAACTGGAAATTAAGAACTTTCATAAAAGATTCTTGATCTCTACCCTCTCCCCCAACCAGATTTAAATCACTGAGAAAAAATTTTCACATTGCCTAACTCATGTACACACTTATCCACCCAATAATAGAAGGGATTATCCCCTTCACCTTAGCAATTTATACGGAAATCTTTCTCCCCTCTTCTTTATTTCACCTACTTCTGAAAACAATCTTAGGCATCTCAAAATCGAGGCACAAATGCAAGATAGCCATTTAGATATGAATAAGAGGATGTTTTTAGAAACATCACTGGTAGAATGTATTTGTAAGGAAATGCAAATATCATTTTAGCAAATGACCCTGAGTTGTACTGTTGAAGCCCTTAAATGAGGAAATAGCTCAGGAATATGGTAACACATGGCACTTCCATCATGGTGATAATGACTCAGACTTGGTTAGATGCTTCCAGAGACACCTACTTCAGCTTTTAATTATTGCCTAACTTTAAATCCTCCCAAAGTGGTTGTATGCCTGTGCACATGAGAACTGATCTGAAAGAATCCATTACTTTCCTGTTCCTTCCAGGAAACTGTGTGTGTACAAGTGTGTATCTACGTAAACATCATAACCAGATGGGCAGAACCTCATATGGAGTGGGGCAGAATATCCCGGTTATGTATTTCCCTTGTGGAGACCAAGACTTGGAGTTTCTAAACTGAGGTTAGAAACAAATAACCTGTGATCACACATTACACCTATGTCCAGTGCATAAACAGTACCTACGATCAGAGTTTTCTGCCCCCCACTGATAACCAAGATAGAAAACCAATTTTGTTTCAACCTGAATTCAAAATTATCATATTGTATATCACACCAAAATAGTTTTCAGGCTATTTTTCAAAATACAGTCAAAACAACAGTTCTTTGCCTTGTTTTTGTAGTATTTCTTCTGGCATTTTCCCTACAACATATACTTATATAAAGGGCAACCCAGTCAGGTTCCTATAAGTGGTGTCGGTATTGGTTTGCTGGAAGAGGGGAAATTTCTGAGATGTTCTCTTGTTAGTGTACATTATTTCTTTTATCTTTTATCTTTTGACTGCTCTCTGTAACACACTAGTGCTGGTCCTTACTGATTGTTGCAGAAACAGCAGTCATAATAGCACATTTGGGTTGCATGAGCTGTTAAGAGTAATCAAGTAGGGCATGGGAAAGTCCTGGGTGAGCCTCTAATTAGTGTGTGACCTTGGGCTACTCACTCAAGTACATAGACTTGGTTTCTTCACATGTAAAATGAGGTCTTTTAGGTACCTTCCAGCTGTAACTTTTTATATTCAAAACTAGAATCTGTCTATTCAATATATCAGTTCTGAAGGAATTAAATTTTTCAGATACTATGTCAAGGACTAAGAACAAAGGCCTAATGTTTTGAGTCTTTTCATCATAAATATCTAAAAATATCTTATTTAATAGAGTTGGTGATTCTACAGGCCAGATTAAATCAGTCCCATCCTGGCCCTAACACAAATGTGCACATACAGCACCCCCAAACATGCACATATGCATGCTAAAATATCTATATCAGTAATAATGACTAGATTATAGTGTATTAATAAGGAAATTAAAAATCCAATTAAGAAGAAAATTAATACATAATGGCATGATTAGCATTTTAAAATTTATATAGCTACCCTTTTCAGGGAAAGCTAATATTGGGTGTTTTTTGATGATTCACAAAGAAATAAACAATTAATTGAATGTGGGTATGTTAATTTTATAATGATTCAAAGGAGATGTATACTTAAGATTTGTGTACTTTTTTGTTTGTCTCATTCAATAAAAAATTTAAAAATATTTCTAAGTGTTGGAACTGAGACTGCATCTCAGTTTGTTGATAAATAAGATCTTTGTTCAGGGGCCACTTAAATGTCAACTATATCTAAAATATTATATAGGAAACTTGAAAAACATATTTGGGTAGATATAAGAAGGCTATAGATCATACAAAAGAGCAATGGAATTATTAAATTACTCTCTTGGTATTGGTAGTTATGTTTTATATGCAGAATCATGCTGAGAAATCTAGGGTGTGGTTATTGGAAATATGAACATTTAAAAAAGTTGCAAAGATTTCTACAAAATCCTCATTATATACCGTATTGCAAAATCACTGCCATACTTTAGATTAATAAAAATTACTTTGTGTTGATGCTACTTCAAACAAGAAAAATTAAAAGATCAAGACACTTTGGGTTGGGTTGGTCCTTGGCAAATTAAAGAGTCTCTCTATTGGGCAGCTTCTCTCTGTTTTAAAGGAGGCTTGAAGAGGGGAGGAAGAGGCCCATAAACAATTTTCAGGTACTACCACTGGTCTCTGAAGGGCATTCTACCAGGGGTAATAATCTCGGTTGGGAACATAGAGAGTAAAAAATTATGCATTCCTACTTTTGAGCCAATCTGTGGGCTATACAAATGAGAAGTCACCAAAAATATGCACTATTTAAAATGACAGATGCATTTAAAGTGGGTCAAACATCTGCATTTCTCCAGTTCCTCTGGTTAGTGAAGTCAGACTAGTTTGGAGATTTGAGGTCATCTCAGTAGCTGTCAGTAGACTTGCTATTGCCTGGTCCTATGAAGGAATCTTCCTCTTCATCCTCTGTGTCTAAATGTAGAGCAATAGGGCTTTGGATTGTTCTGAGGATGGCAAGAGACTGCCTGAAGTTAGTTAAGCAATAAAACATGACTGAGAATGAATCAGCAGTGATTAATCAACATCTCAAACTTCTTTTGGGAAACTAGAGATGAGGAAGATGGGCTCAATATGCTGAAAGTGAGTTAAAACCAGTAGAGACCTGAGGCCTGACGCCTGAAGTGCCTCCTCAAAGTTAGTAAAACCTCCAGAGTAATGCTCTTTGGTGGCTCTTTGATTTTTATGTATGTGTATGCAGGAGGTGCAACATACATGGCTCAGGCTTCTTGTAAATAGGATAAGTTTGTCACAATGAACAATTGAACTTTTATTATGCTTTCCCTGCACAGTGGGAAGGAGTAGGTATTTATTAATATGTACAATATATTGGTGTGAAAACTAAGGATAATAGAAATTAAGTGACTCAACCAAACATCACAAGCCATGAAAAAATAAACTAAGGAGAAGAAGAATTTGCAGGGAGCAGAGTTTCACTTTCACGTAGGTAGCAAGGTGGCACTTCAAGGTAGAAACCCCTAATATATGGCCCAAAAATTGCAAGTGTATTTTGAAAGTAATGGGAATCCATGAATGTAATTTGATAAGGAAAGTGATACTGTGGTGTTTAATGGCGATTATTCTCATAGCAAAGAACAGGATTCAGAGAGAGAAATTATCATCTATATGGATATACTCTAAATAATAATAATAATAAAAACTGTCAATTGCTATGCTCTAACACCTTTACTATGGACTTTACATGCATCTCTCATGTAATCTAAGAGGGAAGTAATATTAGTGGCTCCATCATTTGAATAAAACAACCCTTGCTATAGAGAGGCGCTACAAGATCCTCTATAATCAAATAGCAAACCCTGGATTCAAAGCTACCTCTACTGCTTTCCAGTGGTCATATCTGATACCCATGGTGTGTGCTTAGAAAGAGGAAGTGAAGATGTACTTGAGTAGCATTCACTTTAAGTTAAGGCATCATTATCTGTTTGGGCTGCTGTGGAAACATCCTACTAATATCTGTTTTTACCTTCTATATTTAGTATCTATTGCTGCACAACAAATCATTCCAACATTTAGCTGCTTAAAATAACAAATAATTATATTCTCACACAGTTTCTGAACGTCGGGAGGCCAGGAGCCATTAAGCTGGTTTGTTCTAACTTGGAGTCTGTCAAGATGTTGACAGAGGCTACCATCATCTGAAGGCTTGACTGTGGCTAGAGGATTTGCTCCCTAGTTGGATCACATGGCTGTTGGAGTTCCAAGCTTCTTGCTAGAAGTTTTTAGTTTCTCATCACAGGGCAGCTAGCTTCCTCCAGAACAAATGATTAAAGAGAATGTGGTAGGGGCTGCATTGTCCGTTTTTATTAGGAGTGAATCACTGAACCCATCCACACTCAAGAGAAGAATTATACTCCAACTATTGAAACAAAGAATATAAGAGAATTTGTGATCATACTTTAAAACCACCACACCCTCTCTTTAATCAGCTCTACATGCTGCAGTTATTTTAATATTTTATAAACAAATCTGATCATATCTCTTTTTATTAAACGTTAAATGTATCTCATTGGTTTGTAGATTAAAAACCCAATGTCTTTGGTCCTACTTGATGTGGCCACTGCTTCCCAACCCTGCCTTTGTCATCTTCCACTCATCTTTGGCTTTCTGGCAACACTCTCTTGCTTTCAGTTCCACCAATATGCCAAATTCCTTTTGGTTCAGGACCTTTGCACCTGCTGCTTCTGTGGCCCAGAATTATCTTGCTTTTGCTTTTACTTATTCATCAGGTCTTGATCCAAAAAAAACCATCCCTCAGGAAAGCTTCTGTGACTCATAAGCCTTTATCAGATCCCCAGCTACAAGTTCTTCTTGTAGCTTGTACTTCTCCTCTGTGCCACTGATTATAGTTTACAGTGTTATATTTCTTTGATTTTTTGGTTATGGTTTTAAGTTTCTGTTTTGCTCACTATTGAATCCTAGTGCATGGTACAGGATATGGCTGGTATTAGTGTTTAATAAATGTATCTGTACTGAATATGCTACTATGAACGGAGGATGAGTTGATGGAACAAACACATCTGCTTTAAGATCCACTTTAAGAGTAGGCAAGTACATCTTTCTCTCTTATTTTTAATAACGACCTAAAGAAAAACAAACCTTGATAAGATATGCCAACAATGGGGGAATCAACAGAGGAAAAAAAATTAGAGGAAGATAAGGAAGGGATGTATGTAATCAGAACTCTGCTGTGGTATCTCAGAGCTGGCTAGCTCAGTGAAGAGATGCAGCCCTAATCTTAATGGCATTGATCTGGAACAGCTTGGACTCAAACTTTAGAATATATCTGCACATCAGGGTGGCTCCACAGGTGGAGGCTTACTATGCTTTAGAACTTTTATTCTGATGTTTTTCTTCATCAGCTGCCCATGATCCCATCATCCACAAATAATCTTAAAAAATGCACACATGGCAGTGTCTGGGCAATAGCCCATGGGTAAAAGCAGTACCTAGAGAATTACTTCTTTAGTTTCATCCTCTTTGTTAACATTTCCCTAGGGAGGCTCCTGGATCAGAACCATCCTAGGATTTGGCGACTCTCTTCCAATAGGTACAGGCTTCCGGGTGAGAGTTGGAAATTGTCCACAGCTACTCATTGTGTCGTCAAACTCTTTGCACTTGCAGGGACTAAGATGCCTGCATTTCTGAGGTTATTCACATAACAAGTGAGAAACAAAAACAGTTTGTTGGGAAATGAGTTCAGTTCCAGCAGCACAGCTCTGAGCCTAGAGATAAAACAAAGCTGCTTCTAAGAATAAAAGCAAATTCCGTGTTTTTCTCATTATGGTTTCTCCTGCATGAGTCCCTTAAAACCTCTTCTGTTGTGTCCAGGACTGAAAGCTTCTAGTGATCCGACTGAGTCTCTCTAATTGGGTGGTTGTAGTTCATCCTATTTTTCTTTAAAAAAATAAACTCATCAGCACTATAGCCTCAGGGGTCCATAAGGAACATGTTTATAGAGAAGAAGTTTTTGTGTTTATTAGCATGAAACAAAGCCCATTACACAAAAGCCTCAGAAACCCACTCTAGCCTCAGCAAGCTGTGGTTTCAAACATGAGCACGTGCTGTCACAAGCCATAAATCATTGCTTGTGACAGGCCCACAGGGCCCTGAGAAGGCTGTCCCTTCACTCAGCTAGGCTATTTGAGTCAGGGGAGCTTTAAAAAGACTACCTCCAAAAAATCACAACCATTCATTTTGGATTGAGGCTGTAGAAAGGACATTTCCTTCCAAGAAGGAATTTTTGAAGCACTTACTAACTTACTATCTGTCTGGCATATGATAGGTAATACATATGTATGTATGTATATATGGGGTTGAAATGAGTTTCTTGTTTTACGGATGAAGTCACTAGGTACCGAGAGATTAAATGGCTTGTCCCGGGTCACACAAGTAAGGGGTGGAATCAAAGTGTAAAAAAGGGGCTATCTAAACCCAAAGCCTCTCGTTTTCCTACCACAGTGTATATCCTCTTAATATAAGTCGAAGTTTGCACAAAAGCCTCTTTAGAGTCTCACTCTAAATACGCAGATGGAGAAGGAGAAAGGGGGCAAAGGAGCAGCCGACCTGGGTTTGGGTTCAGTGTCTGCTGCTGTGACAGCCTGGGTTGCCTGCCGGGCCATTTTCTTTGTGGGGATTAGGTTGGCTGCCCTGCTAGAGGAAGTCTTTATGTCAAGAACTAAGAAGAAATAATGTTGCACAGGGATAAGCCAGCAGGAAGAACACCAAATTAATTTCAACTGCTGCCAGAGGAAGAAAAGACGTTTTAGCAATTGATACCAAATGCCGACTGTTATGAGACACAGTATAAAAGCAAGTGACTTCAAGTTAAACCTGACCTGATCTATTAACAGAAACCATCAAGTAATTGCCTACTAATAGCAGTTGCCTGAAAGGTGCTGGAACCTATGTGAGGAAGTCTCAACTCTATCCAACCCACGCATTTCACAGCACTTGAAAGAACAGGGCCAGTGACTATATTAATATATATAAACTATCATCTTTAATTACTGCACTTAAAGGTGGCTGATTTGCGTATGCTTCATAGTTTTAACCTCCTCTTCCTCCTCCTCAAATAGGCATCTAATAAATGTTGAAGCGAGAAAGAAATGAAATGCAAGTAGGCAAAGATAGTGCAACAGGCTGACTTGATTGTGCTTTCTGAGTCAAACTAAGGTGCATTTCACTAAGACAAGTGAGAAATGAGACATAAATAGGTATCTGATTAACCCCATATTTAGCAAAAATTTTATATAGTAGAAGCCAATTTCTCATATTCAATTTTTTGCTAAATTGAAGTTTGACTTTTCAGTTTCCAAGTGAATTTTTAAATAAAATGATTATTTGAGTTAATCATTACCATAAATCAGCTGTCTATAATGGAAATAATTGCTATGGAGTTACTTACGTCCTGAGCCAAAATAGACCCCTTTCTCAAATTCAGTATGCTTGTTGTATGTCAGGAGACCATCTACAAATACCTGACTTGTGTCTCATTCTGAGGGAAAAGATCCTGAAGGCAGTTCAGGATCTTTTATCATTTATTCCAGTCTATCAGTAAGGGTTCAAGAACTCAGACAGAAAGATGACAAAAAACCTAGGCCATTGAGATTTAAATTTGGATTGTGGCAAAACAGTAACATGTTGAGACCAGTAGGGTAATCACTGAGCACATTCCTGCCCTGGTCCGCTTCACATGTCAATATTTAGAGCCCTAGAATTATTGCTCTTTGAATGATAGCTTTATTATTAGAAAATTGCTTATACCCAAGCAGGATATGACCAATACTTCATTTGATGTTTGTCATTGTGCTATGGACGTATTTTTCTATAATCTGTTGATTGCGTATTTATGAGAAGAAAAGGGCTCTTGTTAGTTCTCTTAGAAAAGAAACATTAGATATTTAAAAGTTGGCGAGTTTTCTGGCAGTATTCTACACAGGTTCATGACATTTCCATGAAGCCGTCTATAACACATCACCTATCAACCTCTTTGACACTATCTACACCAAAACATCCCAAAGGCAGTCAGAGGTGAAGGCTCCAGAGTCTAATTAACCTGGAAGTGTCAAGTTTTCTCCAATTCACTCGAGCTTGAAGATTCTAGGAAATTTCATATGTTCATTAATTCAACAAATATTTATCAAGTTTAAGGCAATGTTCAGGATACAAAAGTGAGTAAGAACAGGTCCTTGCCTCAAAGCGACTCAAAATTTATCTGTGCCATAAGAGAGTGGGAGTTTGAGCTGTAAGTAAGCCGGAAAATTCCTAACAAAAAGTTCTGAGCTTTTCTGAAATCAATCAAATCTAGCCTATCAGAAAATCAGTTCCTAGCTGAAAAGGATTTTGCTAGAGGGAAGGAGATTGTAGGTGTCTAGAAATGGTTGTAGTTTTTAACCCATTTTCCTGATGCTCAAGCTTAAAATTCCACACAGTACATTTCTTACTGCTTTAAAGCAGCCAGCAGATTTAATGCAGAAGTTTAACATATTTTTTTTAAAAAAA
Source organism: Homo sapiens (assembly GCF_000001405.40). NCBI lineage: Eukaryota > Metazoa > Chordata > Mammalia > Primates > Hominidae > Homo > Homo sapiens. The sequence continues at coordinate 94,037,955 of NC_000007.14, read as the reverse complement.
CTATGAAGCTATTAGTTGCCTTTGATGATCTTGAAAGAGCAAAGCTCTTAAAAGTAGTAATGCTATATCTATTGTAGTATTTGAAGAGAATAAGAGGAAAGAAAAAATGCAAGAATGCAGTTAGATCCGGGAACAGAAAAAAGGTTGAAATAACTTGGGAAATATGAATGAAGTCTGTAGTTTAATAGTATTATAGCAATGTTAATTTCTTAGTTTTGATAAATGTACTATGAATATGAAAATGCTAACATTAGGGAAATCAGACAAAAAGAATATATGGGAACTCTCTGCTCTATTTTTGCAATTCTTATGTAAATTTAAAATCCTTTCAAAACAAAACTACTGAAGAATAAGCCATCCCTAGTTATTGTTGAAAACTACTTTGCTTTTATCTTATCTTAGTATGTATGTGAAATATCTCAAATGAAAACATCTGAAATTGGCCACATAGATAAGGCATTATTAGGATTTATCTATTTCTAAGTGAGGATATGCAAGTAGAGATTTCCAGTGGGTCTTTCAAACATGAAATGCCCCCTTTGTTATGAGAATTAGAGACAAAAGTGTATAACTATCTGTAAAAGTAGAGCTGAAGGATTTTATGTGTCTTTTTCCCAGTGCTTCTCAATTTATTCATTAATATATCTCTTATGGTCAGAGAATTAAGGTGCACTCCAGAGCATGCTGAGGTTTACCAGAAGTGACACACCTATAGATGGAAACCATCTTTCCAGTCTCAAGGTTGAACTTTACAGATTCACACAATATATTATGTTGTATATTATGTACTTACTTAACTTTTTCCAAAATTTTCTTGCAAAATTGATGCTTTAAAAAAAGTTGATGATCTTAGTAATTGCTTGAAAAAATGTTAGCTGATTATTCCATGTTGATCCAAGGGAATTTAATCTTTGGCACAGGACTGCAAAATTTGGTAAAGTAGCAGGAGGGAAAAGAAGGGCAGACAGTCATTTGAGAAGTATAGAGTTCCTGGTCTAAAGGATTTGATGTCTTGGGCTCAAGATCTCTATCAACTGATGGAAGTCCTATCACTGTTGTGCTGGATCTTGAACATGTGGAATGCCACTCTCGCTTTCCCAGCCACAGGATCATTCAGTCAGTCAGGGCAGCTTTCATCTTAGACAATTCTGGAGGAACTTTCCCCTTTTTATATTCCCTGATCTTATTATTTTTCTTTTTTTTATTTGGGCATTCTCTGTTTTTTTTTCTCTATATGGAAGTGGGAAGAACCTTTTTCTATATTCCAAATTCAGTAAATTTAGAAACCCAAGGGGCTGGCATACATTTTATGGTGCCTTTTCTTGCAGCTACCATTAAGCTTTTTACAGTGATGAGGCCATCATCATGGAGTGTGAAATACTGAATGAGAATATGTGCCCTCAGAGTGCCCTTTCTGTCAGGGCCACAGAACACAAGGTGGAATGAACTCAATCTGATGAGGTCAGGCAGTACAGATCAGAGTGCAACTTTGATTTGAGAAATGCCAACCCCAAATTCCATTTATATAATTAAAGTCCAGTTTGAATTTTTTAGATAATTCCTCAATTTATGGATTTGTTTGGTCTAACTAACAGAGCCTGACCTGACATTTATTACTCAGATATCACTTTCTATAACCATTCAGGAAGTTCATTTGCCTGTTTCTTTTTCTCTTTTTTTTTTTATATACTTTAAGTTTTAGGGTACATGTGTACAACGTGCAGGTTAGTTACATATGTATACATGTGCCATGTTGGTGTGCTGCACCCATTAATTCGTCATTAACATTAGGTATATCTCCTAATGCTATCCCTCCCCCCTCCGGGCCCCACCCCACAACAGGCCCTGCTGTGTGATGTTCCCCTTCCTGTGATGACCAAAGTTAGTATGGTTAAAAACTGTTCTACCCAGTATTCTATCAATTAATTAGAACTGCAATGTAATGTACACCTAAAAATTGTAATTAGTGTGAGGAACTAAAATCACAATTATTACATTGCACAGCCATGTTCTAAGAATTGGAACAGAAAATCTAAGACCCTAATGTTTCTGATATATGGTTAATTTTCTTACTGTGGCTCCAAAAAGCATGCTTGGTTTTTATCTCCTAAAAGGGAGGCAATACAAAAAAATTAAGCATCCTCTCTGAAAAAACAAACTAAAATAAAACAAAATTTAAGCAGACTCAGCCAGCTCCTGGATTATTTTAGAATGACATTACATCTGATCCTCAGATCTCCAGCTTCCAAGAAACTTTATATAGATGCACTCATTGGGGCATGTGAATAAAAGGCATGAAAGAGATTTTGGTAATATGGCACTATGACATTTTAGAATTGTCATTTATCTCCTGTTTTTCACAAGGTAAGAGTATTTCCTCTATTTTTCCACTGATGCCCTTTTGAATTCATTTCTAAACATGTTTTTGAGAAATTGGAAAATGTACTTTGCCAAGCTTGGAATGTATGTATTTTCATGAGTTATAAGTATAAACCAGAATTGTCTTTTCTACATGATATTATTCCAATCCTCGCGTGTAGTTGAAAGAAAATTGCTAGATTTACTGATCCCCAGTATTCATGGAATATTAATGCACGAATTTTTCTCCTCTGGGTTTATCTTGAGTTCTTATGAAAGGAAATATGAATTTTAATCAGACCATAACATATAAAATGTATGAAAATTTTTAAAGATTTTATGTTATTTGGTGGAGTGTATTCTTTTGCCTGGTATAATATCTAAAATTACATTTGGAAGGCATGAATTTACAAAACAAAAATCTCTCACTTTGATATTTAATAATCATCTTACAGCAGGTAACAGTATAACAGCGTAGTAACTTTTGAAATCTGAAGGTCAGAAAAAAAATCCCGTGACAGAAAACTGAAGCTAAACAATAAGTCATCAACTTTGATTTTATAGTCCAGATACACTTTCTTTTCTCTGCCATCCAAATATCCCCAATCAAACTACAATAGGATAATGGTTGTCAGATAGCTTATGAGATTTTAGCATTTGTCTTGGTTCATTTGGGCTGCTATTACAAAATACCTTAGGCTGAGTAGCTTATAAATAACAGAAATTTATTTCTCACAGCTCTGGAGGCTGGGAAGTCCAAGATCAAGGCACCAGCTGATTCAGTGTCTAGAGAGGACCTGCTTCTTCATAGATGAACACCTTTCCATTATAACCATTATAACCCATAATGAAAGGAGCTAGCTAGCTCTCTGCAGTCTCTTTCATAATGGTGCTAATATTGTTCATGAGGGTTCTTCTCTCATGACTTAATCACCTCTCAAAGGCCCTGCACTCTAACACATCACTTTGGGGATTACGTTTCAACATATTAATTTTGGGAGGACAAAAACATTTAGACCATAGCAGTATTCAACCTCAGAAGAGTTACTAACAGGAAACAACTTATGTGCCAAACTGTAGCAATCGTAATTTCTATTATGTAGCACATTTCCCTTCTCCTATACTCTGAATTTTTTAAAGAAAATACTTCCTCCATTCTATATGCTTTTGATGGGGTATCAGTTTTGCTTCTTTATCTCTGTAACTGGGCTGAGCAGATGGCCTAGGCCTAGTCAATCACAGTACTCCATTCCCCCGAATATACTGAGTACAGCAAACATAAGCACGTGCTGCATGTAATGTCAATAAGAGTCTTGTCTCAGATTGATACAGAGCTACAGAGAAGAGTGCTGTTTTCTTTCTGCTTGTTGTCAAGGTGAGACGTTGTATAGTTGGGGTTACAAGTGGCCATCTTCTCTGGCCACATGGAAAGAGCTGCCAGCAGCAAGAAGTTAAGAGACCATCATGCAGAGAAAAGAGACAGACAAACAACATGGGGAGTAAGAGATACTGTTAAAGAGAGAATATGAATGCAGATTCAGTCATGCCTGAAGGCATCATTTCTGGGCTTCCCAGTTAAGTGAACCAATAAATTACTTTTTTGCTTAAATTTATTTGAATTGTAACCAAGAGAACCCTGACTAATACAGACTGTGTGTCTACGTTAAATAATGTATTGATGGTTCTACTTACATACTAAAGGGTGTCTGTTGTATAGGTAGATTTTCCTTGTTGGCCAAATGGACAGCTTTGGGGAGCATCACACAGAGCCATGAAAAAGGATTAGAATAATTGGCCTTCCAGTTGAACCAGTCCTGGAGAACCGTAGGTTGGAAATACTATAGCCAAATGACCTATCGGAGAGTCAGGCAACAAGATGGTAGAAAGGTTAAGTCTGTAACGAACACAGCTTGCACTGCAGACTTTTAAAAGCTGTAAGTCAATGAAAACTACATTTAAGCTACAAGAGGAATGATATAGGATCATTCCTTCTCAAGTAGCAGTTCTAGGTCGCAAAATACTAACTAGAAATCCAGTAAGTCTCTTCCTTACCAGATGTCTAAAAGAATAACACAGAACATCTGCAAAGTATAATGAAAGACAAAATGTGAAATATGAGCTGGAACAAACAAAATCTAGGGCACTGTGAAGACCTCTATGAATTAACACCTTAGTCAACTTTTAATTTCACAGATACTACATGAGTATGTGTTTAGTAAGAAAAGCTGTCACGACATTTCTTTTACTAACTAAGAAAGAAAACGGGGGGTCCAAAAAGCATAGAATAGTATCTGGGTCCCAGGGATGGGTGATACTTCTTGCTCTCTGCCCCACATATCCTACGTGACAGCGTGGCCTTCCATTATAGCATAGCTTTCTCAAATTCCTACTGTAACATCACAGATCACAATATCCTGCAGATGGGGGATGGGTTGGATTGTACTTACCAGAAATGTAATAGAATAAGAAAACTGAGAAGACAGAGGAATAGCTGCAAAATCTGAATAAGAAGTCATATTTTCTTCTGCCATAGTGTAAAAAACTGAAAAGTACTATTGAGTTAGAGATTAAAAATTAAAAAAAAATGAGGAGCCTCACCTCATGAAATGACCAACCACGCATTATACATCATGCCATCTTTCATCTTTTTCATGTTATCCCATGTCTCTGCTCAGAAGCTCCCTGTGTAGCCCCACAAAGGAAGTCTCAGCTTTTCCACCCTCTAGCCAATCCTAGTCAATATAATATACTAACATGAAGAGAGATATCATGAAAAGTCAGATTCTGGCCAAAACTTTTTTCTGTAACTAATATATTTTCTTGGGTTCTCTGGATCCACAGAATGACTAACCAAAACACTAAGTTTCTTAGCCATGCCTTTCAAATGGTACCAGCAAAATGAACAATGATAATCTCACATTTTGTATTATCAACTTCCTGATCCTTCATATACAGGTGCCATGCTGAACAACTGCCTTATACCTGCAATAGAAGCTCTTCATTCACAACGAGGGGTTGCAGTGTTCAATCCTTCCATGAAATCCCTCAGCAAAGCCACAGGCCTGAACCAACACATACAATCTGCCAGACTATGACTTGGAAGCAATGCTTCTTTAGGGATTTTAGATGATTTTAGACATTCCTTGTGAAATCTAACCGAAATTCTACATTTCCACCAAAAGGGAGGTTTAGTTACAAGAGACTTGGTCTTCCTTTTTCTACACTTTCTCAGGATTTTTGTGTGAAAATAGTCCACACAGATTTAATGTTCTTAGCATTTACTCATGTTTGCGGCTTTCCTTCAAACTTCCACACACATTTCCCATATCCTGCTTTCCTTGAAAAGTAGAATATTCCAGGTCTGCTCAGTGTAAAGCATAACAAAATAATTGTTTCACAGTCCCTGCAACTCTGCTTTCAAGTGGGTCCCCCAGACTCTCCCCCATATGGTGCAGTGGTTTGCAGTCACCTTGTACAACCAGGCTCTGAGATTCTTCCTTGCCCTTGTCTCACATGGCCAGTTCTCACCCCCTGACCTCTCTCATATGTGGCTTCTCTTTCTCTTTTCTTATGCTTTCGAATTGGTCCTTACACTATGTATTCTGACCATTTTGCTAACTCATTAACGTGTGGTTGAATTGTAATCTCCTCCAGAGTGAAACTAATAAACATGTTCTCTCTTTCATCACAGAGGATAATTTTTTACCTTGACATCAAATGTCTTAAATCACTAGCTATCCCAGAAATCCAAATAAATAGAGGAAAACACAGATGCCACAAAAAGCAAAAAACAAACACACTGATACAAATAGCAAGGATCAAAAAGTTGACCTTCTTCTATTCAAACATCTCATCTTTCTCCCTGCTTTTCTACCTATTTGAATCTAATTTATTTTCCCTTAAAAGGTGGTAGAGCTTTTTACACTTAATGGAATTTACTTCTAAGGTATCAAAGTCAATATTCCCAAACATCGTAAACCCTGCTTCACAATATTTCATTTACAGTATTTCATTTACAGTGCTTACATTAGTTTATTTGACATTCAAAACTACTTAAATAGACCTCAGGCAAGTAGGCATTTATTTTAAAAAATGCATTGAAAATCTGTGATATGCCAGAGGAAGGGACAGTGATAAAAGGCCAACAGTTCAGGATTCTCTATGGAAAATTGATTATAGGATGTGAGAATGGATAGGGGAAAAATAGTTGAAAAGCTTTTATGGCGTAGGTGTGAAATGATTACGGCATGAATTAGACTATGTTTGTAGTGGTGGTGGAGGAAGAGAGGAAAGGGCAATTTGAGAGATATTTAATATGTAAAATCCACAGTCTATGTTGCTGGATTGCATTTTGGATGTGAGCAGGATTTAACTGTCAACGCAGGAGATGTCAAGGAACTCTTAGATTTCTGGGTGTGCAACTGGAAGGATGAAGGTGCTATTCATGAAATCAAGAAACAGTGGAAGAAAAAATTTGGGGGAAATAGATCATGAGTTTGGGTTTAGATAGGTTGAGTTTGAAGCACACCTGAATAATCCAAAAAAATATTTCAAAAAGGCAGTTAGACATACAGGTCTGGAAGTCACAGGCATGATCTGTGCTGGAAATATGAATGTGGAGTTGCTTGCTTGTGGCTCTTCACGCCAGGAAAATAATTGTAGTCATCTGGTGTGAAGCTGTAGAATGATGAGTCTCTAGGAAAGTGCTTCTAGGAGGAGAAACCATCAAAAGAGACTGAGAAGATGTGGTCATAGTGATAGAAACCAGTGCCAAAGATTGTGATAAAACAGACACTATGAACATGAAGAAAAGAATAAAGTTGGGGCTAATGTTGCTGAGAAGTCGTGTAAGAAATAATGTGTCAAGCACCTCCCAAGTGGTTTAAGATATAATCTCATTAAGTTCTCACAGTAACTCTTATAGACGGGGAAACTAAAGTTCACAGAAGATGAGATGACTTGCCCAAGCTCATGCAATTCTGTGAGGCAGATCTAGAACTCAACACCCAAATGTTAAAGATATCTGATTGAGTCTTCTTGCTGATGATATATATATTTTAAATTACAGATGAAATGTTTCCTCAAAATGAAAATGGAATAAATTTGTAAACCACTTTTTAAGTTGTCAAAAAAATCACCATAGTCTTTCTTTTTAGGTGTTACCTGTTTCATTTTATCAGTAATACATGAACATATTTAAAAGGGGTTATTATAAAAAGCACCTCAACTCTGCCCCATTCCCACACTATTTCTGCTTTGGAAAGAAATCACTTTTAATACGTTTAGCTGTGTAGTTGTTCTTGGTTATGTCATTGTACTTATTCTCATATTTCTAAATAAATGGTTTATGCTGCTATTTCTAAATTTGTAATTTTTGGATACTAACTGTGTACTTCCTGTTATGGTAGATGCAGCCTCATTGCACATGACCATTTCCCTGTCTCTTCCTACCCAGTCTAATTATATCATCATTTCAGTTATAGAAAATCACATTATACATTAATGTAACTTGGTAAATATATTGTTCATTAGAGACAGATGTTTTATTATGTTTATATTTTCTCACGTTAATAATCGCCCCATTTTAACTTACATGGTTTTAAATAAACCTATTCTTAATTTTCCTTCTTAATTACCTCATTACAGTCACCATAAACCAACTGCTAGTTGTTTCAAAATGCTCAAATTTGTCAACTAAGTCCTCTCACTCCCCAGCATTTTCATGCCTCGTTATGTTTTTATTCTCCCTCCATCTGCTTTCTGTCTTCTGGCTTTCAGCTTCCCCTGGAGGTGTGTTCCCCTCTTTGGCTCTCATCCTTATCTTCTTTTAATAATGGAATCTATTATAAGAGAATGGAAAGCAATGTGATACCTGTCCCAGGTCATTGATACTTCAAGTGTTGTATCTCTCAACTGTGAAATGTAAGGATTTGTTCTCTACAGAAGGCAAATGGATAAAAAGCAGATTCTATTTGCACCTTAAAATCAGCTTAAGAGGCCACCATTTGTCACTGTGTGTGTTGAAATATGTTGCCTTATCAGCATCACAAGCATCGGGCATATTGATTTAAGACAATAACTTAACTTTCCATGAGAACCCTCCCTGCACAAGAGTGGTGCCATAATCATTCTTAGTTACAGAAACATTTGAGTGAAAGCTGATTTCAAAACGATTTATAAACTGCATACATCGTCAATCTTGCATTAAACCAAATCATTATTTAAAATGTAATTTATGTTCTGCATGTTATATTTCCTAGTTTTTAAAGCATGCTATTAAATATTTTATAAGCAATTGTTGTCACTTTGTCAGAAATATAATAACATTGGGGAATTTTACATTCATTTTTTAGGAAAAGAATCATACAGTAGGTTGTAAAGCAAAGCAAACTGGTTTACAATCACTTTTAATCCATTTTTGCAAAGACTGTTGTTTCAGAAAATCATGCAATCTTGAATATGTATGATTAAAAACTAGATAGTCTTAGATATATTAATTGGATTGCTCAACCTAACTGCCATTTGCTATAATATAGATGTAAGCTGAATTTCATAAAGGGCCATAATAATCTTGCTGTAAAAATAAATATAGACTTCTGGTTTAGGATGACACATAAACCACAAAGTGCTAAGTCATAAAAAACTCATAAGCTGTGAGGTTTTGTTGACAAAATTCCACTAGAAGTCCCCTGGCCTAACATTGTTTAGGTCAGTTATTCTTCAAGTAAAGTCCCAGGAACAGCAGCATCAGAATCACTTAGAATTTTTAGAAATGCAAATTCTTAGGCCCTACTCCACACATACTAAGTCAGAAATGCTGTGCGTGGGGCCCAACAATCCGGACTAAAGCAGTAATTCTCGAACTTCAGTGTGCATCATCAGATCACGGAGACAGCTTATTAAAATACAAATCCTAGGATCCACCCCTAATTTAGTAGCTCCCAGGTGATACTAATGCTGTTGGTCAGGGGGTTACTCTCTGAGAATTAATGACCTAGGAAAGCTAAGCACTATGGGAATTAAATGGGTTACTATATGGAATCTGATGATCTTTGCCCTATGAGGATTTTGTTTGGGCGATTTTCTCTGATTTCCTTTGGAAGCATATGTATGTAAGGAAGAGAAAGGGGAGAGCCAATCCCTGAATAAACATTTATTGACACTGTGGAAAGCACAGACAGACAAGAACTATACTCTTGGAGTTTACAGACTAGCAGGGGAAAATAGCCATAAACACCTAAGTTAAATTTTAGTTATGGCTATTTTACATACTTTAAAGTTTTTTAAAGTAAGTACTGTGCTTAAAGGTCTCCAAACATGGATATCTGGAGAAATTAATAAGTGATTTTTAACTTGCAATCTGAAGGATGATGTAATAGTTTTCTATTGTGGCTGTGTGAAGATCACAAACTTAGTGGTCTTGAGAACACAAATGTTTTCGTTTACAATTCCATAGCATCAAATTCTGACATCAAGATCACCGCATTGAATTCTGACATTGACATGCCTGTACTAAAATCAAGGTGTCAGCAGGACTGCATTCCTTCCTGGAGGTTCTAGGTGAGAATCTGTTTCCCTGTCTTTTCCAGCTTCCAGGACCTGCCCTCATTCCTTGGCTCATGGTCCTCTTCCTCTGTCTTCAACACCAGCAACATAATCTCTCTCTGTGCCTTGTTCCCATAGTCACACCATCCTGTGACTCTCCTCTTCTACCTCCCTCTTCTATTTGTAAGGACGCTTCTGATTAAATTGGGCCCAGCTGTATAATCCAGGCTACTTTCCCTATTTTAAGGTGAGTTGATTGGCAACTGTAATACTATCTGCAACCGTAATTATCTTTTACCATGTACACATCCACAGGCTCTGGAGACTAAGATGTGAACATCATTGGAGTATTCTGCCTACTACAGAGGTTATGAATTTAACAGAGTATAAAGAAGGGAAAGAATATTCCAAGCATGTGTTGTTCCATGAACAACATACATAGAGACCCAGGGAATGACAAGACCAAGGCAATTAAAAATATGTACAGAGGCCAGTATTCCCTGAGGTTTGAGAAAAAAGATAAGGATGGTGATTTGGAGATGGGGTCTCCAGAAGAAATAAATGTACAAACAAATTAAATGAGGTCATAATTTTGGCAGAAGAGATGAATGGAAAAAAAAGCCACCAAAGTTTTTGCAATCTATCCATCTGACAATGGTCTAATATCCAGAATCTACAAGGAACTTAAACAATTTTACAAGACAAAAAAAAACCATCAAAAAGTGGGCAAAGGATATGAACAGACACTTCCCAAAAGAAGACATTTATGAAGCCAACAAACATATGAAAAAAAACTCATCATCACTGGTCATTAGAGAAATGCAAATCAAAACCACAATGAGATACCACCTCACACCAGTTAGAATGGAGATCATTAAAATGTCTGGAAACAACAAATGCTGGTGAGGATGAGAAGAAATAGGGACGCTTTTACACTGTTGGTGGGAGTGTAAATTAGCTCAACCATTGTGGAAGACAGTGTGGCGATTCCTTAAGGATGTAGAACCAGAAATACCATTTGACCCAGCAATCCCATTACTGGGTATATACCAAAAGGATTATAAATCATTCTATATAAAGACACACGCACACGTATGTTTATTCCAGCACAATTTACAATAGCAAAGACTTGGAACCCATCAATGATAGACTGGATACAGGAAATGTGGCACATATACACCATGGAATACTATGCAGCCATAAAAAGGAATGAGTTCATGTCCTTTTTAGGGACATGGATGAAGCTGGAAACCATCATTCTCAGCAAACTAACACAGAAACAGAAAACCAAACACTGCATGTTCTCATTCATAAGTGGGAATTGAAAAGGAGAACACATGAACACAGGGAGGGGAACATCACACACAAGGGCCTGTAGAGGGGGAGGAGGTGAGGGGAAAGGGGAGGGAGAGCTTTAGGACAAATATCTAATGCATGTGGGCCCAAAACCTAAATGACGGGTTGATAGGTACAGCAAACCACTATGGCACATCTATACCCATGTGACAAACCTGCACGTTCAGCACATGTATCCCAGAACTTAAAATAAAATAAAAAATTCTGGAATCATTAAAGCAAATATACTCCAAACTTTTCATCTAAGTAATGTGCATATATATTCAACCTTCAATTTTAAAGTGACCATTTTGCTTTGTAATAACAATTCATGTTCTTCTGGGGATGCTTAAAGTTATATTCAAGTTTCCTAGATTTCTGCCAGAACTGTCAATAGAAGGAAGGTCACTGCTCCTGAAGGATACAATAATAGATGGAAAGTTTTTAGTAGGAGACATAAAGGCTTCCACATTATGTTTCCTACCCAGGCAAACTAGTTTTATCTATTTGATGTGATAATTCTTAAAGGATAATTTATCATTATCAGCAAATGTTACATGGAAATAACTTTCTTTCTGGCATCTAAATGTCCTGAGAGACACCCATGAGCATCATTAGTACATAAGATAATTAGTCTATTTTGCCCTTGGAAAGTGTCTATGAGGGAGTGCTGCCCTGAGTCTAAACACAATTCTCTGTGCTAGAGAAGGTGTTCTTAAGTAAGTAGCCTGGAACTCCTGATGTTACTTGCAAAGGTTTCCAGGTAGGTCCATTTTCCATACTCATTTTTTTTTTTTTTTGGGAAAAGGGGACCATTGCTTTAATCAAAGAATTATCTGCCTCTAAAAAGCAATAAAAATGACCACCGTAGGGAAACCATCTCCATTTTCTCTCTCAACTCTTCCAATGGGGACTGATTTGAACAAATTAATTTTCAGTACAGCCATGAAAGTGAATTCAAAATCTTTAAAGTTAAAATGACTAGAAGATGAAATATGCATTAAGTCCTTATTTCACATTTTAAAATAGCTATAGAGACTAAAATGACTTGATGAAACTATCAGTAGTAGTGGATGCTAAAGAGAAGAGAAAACCACAGGCAAAAGTTCTGGATAGTACCTCTACTCACTGCATTACTGATGGAAGTGGATTGAGGAGCACACATTTAGATTCCTTGCCACATTATTACACTTTTTGAAGCATCCGCTAATTGTTCAAGAATATCCTCTGGGCATGCGAAAGCCAGAATACTCCTCAGTGAGTCTCAAGTTTAGGTAGATAATAGGATTCCTAAGGATATTGTGCCTGGCACATAGAGAGTCCCCAAAATGCAATTTTTGATGACTGAATGAATGAGCAAATGAAAGTGGGTAAGATAAAACGTTGAGTCTTGGGTACCCCATCCTTTTAGAGAATTAGTTGCTCTTGCTAACTATTTTTCCAACCAAATTTTATCTGTGTATTTTGAAGAAACGACCATTTTTATTTTCCCCCTTTCCCCCATAAAAATGCTAATACAGGCCTGTTTTAAAATTCTTAAAAACATCAATTGGTTCAAAGAGGTATAAGCATGAAAGCAGGAATACCATCATCACTGATCATTACTGTTTCCATTTGGCAAGTATCTGTCTTGATTCTTCTGTGTGTGTGTGTGCGTGTCTCTCTCTCTCTCTCTCTTTCTACACACACACACACACTGCATGTATTTATAAGTTAAATATATATATTTACATATGAATACATATTCATGAAAAGAATACTTAAAATGTTATAAACATAATTTTATGATACTGACACAATTTGTACACTGGTTATTCTCATTGATGTTTTTGTTTTGGGTTCTTTAAAAATTATGAAATAAATATTCTGATGTTTACATCCTTTTGGACTCATTCTCTTCTTGGGAAAAGTATACTCTGCCTCAAAGTATATAATTACTTAAAATTCTGATACATATTGCCAAACTGTCATACAGGTTTTATTGACTTAGAGTTCCATTAGCAGTTCATTTCTCTCATCAATCAACCCTGGACATGTCCATTAAAATTTTTTATTACTAATCTCATAGGCTATATATCATACACCATTGTTAATATGTAATAATAAATCAGTAGCTACTTTGAACATCAGTAGTTATTTTGAACACCATTCTTTTCCAACATCATCCTTATCTTAATAATACGTTCTTTTGAGAATTGTCTTTATCCTAATAATTATTAAAATATTCCTCTTTTATCAATTGATTTTGAAACCCTTATTTCAGATTATAATTTATATATTCTGACAATATATATTTTCAATTTGTAATTTTTAAGCCTTATGTATTAGTACATTATTATAACAACAAGAGCACGACATTTATAATAGCGTGATTTGATGAAGAGGTTTTAGGGCCCAGATGCCTTTGATCTTGTGGCTTCACTCTCCCCTCAGGCCTTATCATTGTCCACACCCAGGTAGGGGCAGGAAGGGAGTATGGAAGAGACATACTAGCCTTTTATAAGCCATGACCTAGAAGGTGGCATGAATTACTTTCATTCATATTTCATTGGCAAAAACAAGTCATATGGCCACATCTCATGGCAAATGGGATAAGGAAATTTAGTCCTCAGCTGAGCTGTTACTTCCATCTACAACTGTATACTATAGAAAGGATGAACAAAATTTAAGGTAGAGACACTATTTCTGACATAACTTGTTTCTGATGTTTTTGGCAAGCATACGCTATTACGCTTTATGAAGTTAAATCAATCATTATTTCTCCTCTCAAAATATTTCCTGATTCACTGAATGGGGGCATGAAGCAGCAGCCTAGAACTTGCAGCACTTTTCTCTTTGGACTGGGGAGACAGAAATTGGAGTTCAGAGTTCCCAAAACAACCATTCAGGACTTGAAGGACCAAGATCCCAGAAAAAAAGAGGACTGCAGAGAAGTGAGCCTGATTTTCTGTTTGTAATCTGCCCTCAATATATTTGTTAACTCCTAGCTAGTTTAAGTGTGGTAAGAAAGTCTGACAAAGCAAGCAGAAAGCAGCTTCTAAAAGGTTGACCCTTTAAGCAGAGAACACTGTAATTAGATGTTACCAGGAAAACAGAATTTTAAGTTCATGGCCAACCAAAGAAGAATGTCCCATGCTTCCTGTTGAGAACCTGAAGGGGCTATGCTCTAGGAGTAGGGGCAAATAAAAAATAGAACCATACAACTGGATATAACTCCCTCCCAGAATAATATTAAATCTCTTGAAAAAATTAATATCTGGCAATTCCACTAAAAGCTCTCTGTGTCTGTTTATAAATAGAGTGATAAACTATTTACAGGGAAACAAGAATGATTCAATATTTTCCCTCTCTCCTCCCTTTATCTTGATTTTACTTTATTTTTTTAACTTTGCTTTTCCTTTGAAATAATGCTGGTGAACTGCCTTGGAATTGTCAGGTTGGCTTTTTTTTTTTTTTCGTTTTTTTCCCCCCACAGAATATGATTTGCTTAATCTTCCATGAGTTAAGCAGCCTCTGTGGGGTGTACCAACTTTCTTGTTTTGAAATCACATTTCTAACTTTAAAAATTATTTTTGCTAATCTGAAAATACTTTTCATTTTGATTTTCTATGAAAAATATGTATATAGAAAAAGAGTCATAGAAGCCAGAACTTGTCATGTTTCCAACAAATAAAGAGAATAAGCTTGTCTGTAGACATAAGCCCTTTCTACTATTGTGGTGGGGAAGTGTATTAGTTCATTCTCGTGCTGCTAATAAAGACATACCGGAGACTGGGTAATTTATATAGGAAAGAGGTTTAATTGACTCACAGTTCTGAAGGGCTGGGGAGGCCTCAGGAAACTTACAAACATGGCAGAAGGGGAAGCAAATACATCCTTCTTCACGTGGTAGCAGGAGAGCAAAGAATGAGTCCCCAGAGAAGGGGAAAGCCCCTTATAAAACCATCAGATCTCATGAGAGCTTACTCACTATCACGAGAACAGGATGGGGAAACCACCCTCATGATTCACTTATCTCCACCTGTTCCCTCCCACCACACATGGGGATTATTGGAACTACGATTCAAGATGAGACTTGGGTGGGGACACAGCTGAACCATATCAGGATTGTGGGGAGTGTGTAGAAAGTAAGGGTCCAATTTAAAATTTAGTCTCCTTAGTGGCATCAAAACAAGTCCCTGGTCTAACATGGAATCCTGTCACACCCCCTTGCTCCCAATACACTCACAGAAATGAAAGTATCCATGCCTGTCAAATACAGATTAAAATAACAAGGTATTATATAAACATAAAAAATTTATATAAAAGTAGAATAGATCTCATGAGGTATTTGGAGAGAAAGTAATTATTTTTGTTCTATCCTTTTTGTTTAAGGATATTTCTGAAAGGGCTTTCTTATTTTGTAGTTATTTGAAATATTTTATAAGCTGTTCCTAAAAGAACAGTTGGGCTCATCAGAGAACATAAATGCAATTTTAATTCTGTATTTCTGCCATATTTCAATTTTAAAAGTTTAAGCACAGTTTGCTAATTCTACTCTATTCTTTTTGTAACAGCACCAGTTCACAAATTTGTGGTAAATCAGTTCCAAAATAATTTCATTTTACCTGCACAGATTTCAATTTTATGGGTATTTTACTTTTGAAATGTATAGATATTCTCTGTCTTTTTACTAATGTGTTCCTATTTTAATTTTTACTGAGACTTTTGCCTGTTTACCTAAATATTTGATGCTTCAGGCCATGCATATTTCAAGAAAATCCCATGTTGGACTTTAAAAGAATTGG